>NC_000011.10:1575151-1878181 GCF_000001405.40 Homo sapiens | reverse complement strand
GCCATATTGCTCCCCGTGTTCCCATGTCCCAGCCCCTCCATGTGAGCAAGGGCTTAGCTGGGGTGTGTGTCCCTGGGCCTGGGGCATGAGAGGGAGCCCATGCTCCTCCTTGGACCTGGGCTTCCGATGGGTCCAGGGCCCTCACTCCAGCTCCACAGACCCCCTCCACCAAGCCATAGGGGAGGCGGGGCTTGGAAGTACACATTGGCGCAGAGACCCCAGAAGCTCGTGTGCACACGTTTCCTCAGGTCCACCCCTATGGGCAAGCAGTCCGGGCCCCAACAGCCCCACAAAGGCCCTCACTCTGCTCACAGCTCATGCCCAACACATGGAGTGCGGCCGGGCGCAGGACTCCCTAGGCCTGGGGCACACGCAGGTGCACACCCAACTCACACACGTTCTCCACGAGCCCACGCTCCAGCCACACAGGCATACATGCCCGCACCCCATGCACATACAAGTATGCACGTGCTCACACACGGGAACCTTTGACATCCACGTGCGTGTGCAGACAGGCTTGGGAACAAGGGGACCACGTCCCCCTCCAGGGATCCCTTCAGGGTGCCGCAGCCTCACTTTAGTGAGGCAAACGTTGACTGTTTGCCTTGCCATTGCCCCGACAACGGCGGTGCCGGCCCTGGCACGAGGCCCAGGTGTGTACTCTGGGAACATCGTCCCTGCAGAGCTGGGCCCCTGGAGGATCACTCCGACTGAGCTCTCCCTGGCTAGGGGCCTGGGGGACAGAGTAGGGGATGCAGAGTAAGCATCTCCTGGTGTCTCCCCTAAAACCCAGTGCTGGGGAGAAGCCCGGCCAGCCCCTGGCCTCTGACCCAGCAGCCTGAGGACGTGGAGGCCTCTGGGCCCCTTCTACGTCTCCTCCCTTTCCCCTACCCCAGGATATGAGTCATGCGGGCCCCCTCCCCATGACCTCACCCCCTCACTATTCCACAGCTGGGCTCCGTTCTGGGAACTGAAAGGGGGGCAGCTCTCCTGGGGTGGGGTGGGGGCCTCTGGCCTGGGAAAGGCGCCCCCCGGCCAGCGGCCCAGGCCCCTTGGCATGCACCACGGAGCTGTCAGGACTCTGGGATGGCCGACCCCGCCCGTGGCCCTGGCTCAGCCCCGTGCAGCTGCGAGGGATTTGGTGTTCCTGCACAAATGCAATTAGGCGATTTCCTGTGTCTGTTCTGGCTCCGAAGCCCAAGGTTCAGCCCAAGGGGCCAGGCGGTGGGGGGGCTCCATCCACCTCCCACCCCAGCACACCCCCGCACCCTCACAGTCCCAGGCTCCACTTCGGGGCCTGGCCCCCAGCCAGGGACACCAGTATGCACAGAACTCTGACGGATGCCTCGTTCGGAGTGGAGCTCCCCAAGCTCAGGTCTGTTCCTGCCGGCCTCATCCACTGCCAAGCACCCCCCGACTCGGGACGCTGGCCCTTCTTCTCCTTCCTCCACAAACCCCCACCCCCACTTCTACCTCCCAGTCCCCGCTGAGGGCCTGACAATGCCCATCCTCGGCCCAGCACTCCCAGCTACCCACCTCCGTCCTCCCCCTGCAGACACTTGCAGAATGGGTGTCCGGCTCGGTCCCCGTCCCGACTCTGCCCCCTGCAGGCAGCTCCTGTGGCTGCCCCACCCGGCTGTCCTGAGCCCAGAGGGCGGCTGGAGAGGGTCCGTCCTCTCTGGGGTCCTGGGGAGTGAGGAGGCTCTGGTGAAGAGCAAGGGCTGCGGGGAGGATGTCGAGGGGAGGGGGAGCTTCTCCTCCAGGCCTGACCACAGGTCCCTTGGACACCACAGGGAGCTGGCAGGAGGCCTGGGGAGCTGGGCTGGGCCTTCCACCAGGGTGGTTCGGGGCTCCCTGCACAGCACTGAGGTCTCTGGTCCCCTCATGAGCCCAGCCTCCCCTGGGGTCCTAGACTTGACCCCTCAAGTCACTGCAGAGCCCAAGAGTGGAGAGACACAGCACCGTGTGCCGGGAAAAGGTGCCCACAGGGGCCCTCCGTGGCTGAGGCTTCCAGAGGGTAGTGGGACAGCAACCCCGCTCCCCGCCAGCCGCCCACCACAGCGTTCATGATACAGCTTCGGAGTGTGTGTCGGGGCCTATCTGGGAAGCCAGGGCAAAGGCGGTGGCAGCTGGCAGCACCCACACCCACAGCTGGGGCACTGCTCACATGAGCCCCCATCAGCAGGCCCCTTGGTTGTGCCACACGCAGGGGTCCTGCCCCAGGGAGGGGGCAGTCCAGGGAGGGGCTCGAGGGTGTGGCACAGGCCAGCTGTCACTCCTCCCTGGAGAGGCAGCTGGGGACGCAGCTGGGAGGGGAGCCAGGAGCAGAGACAGCCCGGGGCCAGCAGGTGGGTGACAGGTGGGGCAGCGGGAGGGGCATGCGCCGTCCGCCTGGGGCTCGGGCGTAGAGACGGGAACCTGCCCCCCAACGCCTGGTGCTGGCCCAGCCTCCCCCCCGGGGCCTCTAGCACCTTCCCGGTTGTGGCTGCACCCTGCTGGGCATGGCAGGGGAGGGTGGGGGTCAACCCCTTTCCTTGTAGTCCCACGCCAGTGGGCAAGGGAGACGCCGCAGTGAGCAGGACCCTAGCCTCTCTGCCTGGGGAGGCCGAGTGATGAGCCGCCCGGAGCAGGAGGAGGCCTTGAACTTGGGTCTGAAAGATGAGCAGGGATTTGCTGGACTGGGTGCAGGCAAGAGCTAATGCAGGAAGGCAGAGAGCAGGATTGCTCAGAGGGAGTGGCTCTGTGCAGCTGGAGCCGGATGGGTGACCCTCACTCAGGAGGAAGCACTGGGACCCTCTCTGCACGCGCTGGGTCCCCCGCCTCCTGTTAGGATCCCCACACCCAGGTCCTTCTGGGCCTCTGCTGCACAGATCAGGTCTGGAAGGCTCCCTGGAGGAGGCAGCGCCTGGACTTGGACATCGGCCTGCAGAGCTGGCTTCCCTCACAACCCTGGGAAGACAGAACTCCTCAGCGGGTTGATGGGGGGGAGGGCGGAGCCTCCCTCCACGGCACCAGCCCAGTGCTGGGGGCGACACAGACAGCCAGAAGCTGGCAGGGGCCGGAGGCTCTGCCCCCCATGGGCTTTACATGCCGAAGCCCCCATGGCCGAGCTGGGACCCAGGGTCAGCCCAGGGAGGCCGCGAGAAAGGAGACTGTGGGCCCCACCCCATCACACAGGGAGGAGGTGCTGTGCCCGCTGTGGGGGGCAGCTGCCCCTCTCTGGGCCCTTTGGGTGGGAAGAGGCTTGGTGAGGTAGAAAGCCCAGCCCCAGCCGGCAGTGTTGCCTTCTCACAGTGGCAGCCCTTTGTAACCAAGGGGGGCCCTGCCGGGCCTCTCCTTGTTTCCTCACCATGGGGCAGCATTTGGGGACCTCTTGAGGGACCCCCTAGGTGCTTCTACTCAGAGCCCCCAAAGCCAAGGAGCCTCCACTCCTCCGTCTGCAGCCTCCCCTGCCGGTTCTCACTACCCAGGGTTCAGTGGCCTGGGGGCTGCCGGAGGGAGTCGCCTCTGCCAAGGCCCCTCCCGGCGCCTCCCTGGCTCATCCAGCCCACCTCCCTCCCACGCTGGCTCAGGCAAAGTGCTCTGGTCACCAGGAGCCCTTTCTGACCAGCCCCGGCCCCTTCTTGGCCTTCGCCCCACCTGGCCTCCCCTGGAGCCCTGGCCTGGGTGCCGGGCCTGCTGGGTCCAGAGCCCACCCCACCCTGAACAGCCCTGAGTCTCAGCCACCCTCTGTTCTCACCCATTTCACAGCTGGGGAGTGAAGACTGGGCCTGAGGTCTCGCTCCCGGGAAGGGGTGTCGGGAGACCAGATCCTCACCCCGACACTGCCCCCACTGTCCCCAGCCTGCCCCCACTGTCCCCGGCCTGCCCTCACTGTCCCCAACACTGCCCCCCCGTCCCCGGCCTGCCCCCACTGTCCCCAGCCTGCCCCCACTGTCCCCGGCCTGCCCTCACTGTCCCCAACACTGCCCCCACTGTCCCCAGCCTGCCCCCACTGTCCCCGACACTGCTCCCACTGTCCCCGGCCTGCCCCCACTGTCCCCGGCCTGCCCCCACTGTCCCCAGCCTCCCTCCTCTGCCGGCCTCCCTGCTCTGCCGGCCTCCCTCCTCTGCCGGCCTCCCTGCTCTGCCAGCCTCCCTCCTCTGCCGGCCTCCCTCCTCTGCCGGCCTCCCTGCTCTGCCAGCCTCCCTCCTCCGCCGGCCTCCCTCCTCCGCCGGGCTCCCTGCTCTGCCGGCCTCCCTCCTCTGCCGGCCTCCCTCCTCCGCCGGCCTCCCTCCTCTGCCGGGCTCCCTGCTCTGCCAGCCTCCCTCCTCTGCCAGCCTCCCTCCTCTGCCGGCCTCCCTCCTCTGCCGGCCTCCCTCCTCTGCTGGGCTCCCTGCTCTTCTGGTTGCCACCCTGATGGCTACTTCCTGCCCCACAACCACCAGACTAGCCCAGACTTGGTTCCAGCTTTTTCTTCTCAGCCTGCCTGGGATGGCCCAGGGCATGATTCTTCCATAGCCATAGCCTCGGTCCAGTTCCTCCCTCCTCCCTCCTCCTTCCATTCTTCTCCTTCTCCTTCCCTCCTTCCCTTCCTCCCTTCTCCATCCTCCCTTCTTCCTCCCTCTTCCTTCTTCCCTCCTCCCTCTATCCTTCCCTCCTTTCCTCCCCTCCTTCCTCCCTCCCTCCCTCCCTCCCTCCATCTTTCCTTAGCCAGCAGTTTATTTTGTCAGGTGCTAGGGACCCAAAGACGGAGGAGTGAGATCTCCTCCCTGCCCTTACAAATCTTAGCAGTTGCCAAGAAACCAGCGCTGACCCATGATGTGGATCAAGAAGCACAGAGGGGAGCTGGCAGGAAGTCTCTCAAAGGAGGGGCTCCTGTGCCTGCTCTGAGCCTCGGGGTCGCCGCAGTGGGCAGGGTCCTGGCAGGGAGGAAGGGGTGCAGTGGCCGTGCGTATGCCTAGCGGTCCCCAGGGAGGCACAGCCAAGGGGAGACAGAGCCGCCCCCCACCCGCACAGCCCTCCCCTCTCCCCATCCTCCCTGTATCCCAGATGCCAGCCCTCAACTCTTGATGACCTGAGGCTTGTCTCTGCCCCCTGCCTCCACCTCTCCCTGCCTCCATCTCTCCCTGCCTCCACCTCTGGGGAGAGGTGCACAGGGAGGGGTCTGTTCCTCTGGGTTCCTTACCCACCCAATCCGAACCTGCTTCCCCCTATACCCCCACCCCCCACCGCTGGGACTGCTGTCCAACTTGGGATGGGATAGGGTCGCCTCCTCCATTGCTGAAGCCCCCTGAGCTTCATGACCCACCCAGTGCTGCATGAGGGCCCTGAGCTCCTGCATCAACTTCGCCCCAGAGTGGTGATGCCAGGACTAGTCTGAGTGCGGGCCGGGGTGACTGCAGCCCAGGCATGCCCGCCACACACACCCCGTCCCAAAGGTGCCCACGCCAGCCGGACAGACCCCAACTCTACCAGCGCAGGCCAGGGTGACTACAGCCCAGGTCTGCCCGCCACACACACCCCCTCCCAAAGGTGCCCACGCCAGCCAGACAGACCCCAACTCTACCAGCGTGCACCGGGGTGACTGCAGCCCAGGCCTGCCTGCCACACACACCCCCTCCCAAAAGTGCCCACGCCAGCCAGACAGACCCCAACTCTACCAGCGTGCACCAGGGTGACTACAGCCCAGGCCTGCCCACCACACACACCCCATCCCAAAGGTGCCCACGCCAGCGGACAGACCCCAACTCTACCAGCACGCACCAGGATGACTGCAGCCCAGGCCTGCCCGCCACACACACCCCGTCCCAAAGGTGCCCACGCCAGCCAGACAGACCCCAACTCTACCAGCATGGGCTGGGGTGACTACAGCCCAGGCCTGCCCACCACAGAGACCCCGTCCCAAAGGTGCCCACGCCAGCCGGACAGACCCCAACTCTACCAGCGTGTGCCAGGGTGACTACAGCCCAGGCCTGCCCACCACACACACCCCGTCCCAAAGGTGCCCACGCCAGCCGGACAGACCCCAACTCTACCAGCATGCACCAGGGTGACTGCAGCCCAGGCCTGCCCGCCACACACACCCCCTCCCAAAAGTGCCCACGCCAGCCAGACAGACCCCAACTCTACCAGCGTGCACCAGGGTGACTATAGCCCAGGCCTGCCTGCCACACACACCCCGTCCCAAAGGTGCCAACACCAGCCAGACAGACCCCAACTCTACCAGCGTGCGCCAGGGTGACTACAGCCCAGGCCTGCCCGCCACACACCCCCCCTCCCAAAAGTGCCCACGCCAGCCAGACAGACCCCAACTCTACCAGCGTGCGCCAGGGTGACTACAGCCCAGGCCTGCCTGCCACACACACCCCGTCCCAAAAGTGCCCACGCCAGCCGGACAGACCCCAACTCTACCAGCACGGGCTGGGGTGACTACAGCCCAGGCCTGCCCGCCACACACACCCCCCTCCCAAAGGTGCCCACGCCAGCCGGACAGACCCCCAAGTCTACCCAGACACCCAACAGGAGGGGTGCCCGTGCAGCGGCAGACAGCGCTGACCAAAGGGCATCTATGACCCTGGAAACCTCATGGTGTGGCCTCCGCAGAGCCGCAAGCCTTGGCCCCCTGCTGAGACTGGAAAATGGAGCCTGGTTTCCCCCAACCCCTCTACCCCTGGCTTCCCATTGGTCCTCAGAGGCTGGGTCAGGGACCGTCCTCAGAGCAGGGTCCAGAACCGGCTTGATGTCCTGCTGACCAGCCCATCACCTCCCTTGCGCTGGGTGCCCTACCTCTTTTGATGTGCTCTGTGGTCAGCCCTGTGCCGGCAGCACCCTTGTCCCGCTCTGCAGCTGTTTCACATCTCTGCCCCCATCTGCGGCGACCAGCCTGGGTCGGAGGTTAGGGCCCCGCCCTGCTCGTGGGTGGCCCTGCCTGCTGCATCCCGGCGGCGTGGCTGCGGCTCTGCCTGCCCCGTGCCTGCTCTTTCTTCCCCCCTCCTCCTGTTCTGCGTGCTGTGCATATGGCTTTCTGTCTTCCTCCGTGTCACTAACCACAACGCTGCCGAGCCCGTGCCACGAGCGAGGCGACCTGCGGGACCTTTCTGGGGCCCTCGCCTGCACTCCGCGATCAGCGTCCTCCGCCGCAGCTCTCACCCTCGCATGCGTCTACATGCAGCCCCACTCGGTGCCTGCTTCCCGCAGGAGGGGACCAAGGAGCCCTGATACCTACAGGTCCACCGACAGCCCGGCTGCGCCTCCCGCCTTTGCTCGACGGCCCTCGGGAGCGCTGCGGCGCCTGGGCCAGCTGGGACTGCCCTGGCAGAGCTCTTGCCGTGCTCACGAGGCAGGCTTTTGGCACGTTCTGGGACACGCAACCAGTCCCTGGCAACGGCTCGAGGCTCTGCCATCCTCTTTCCTTCCCAGCTAGCCATGCCCAGATGTACCTCACATCCCTGAAGTCTCTGCCCACAGATGCTGCCCGAAGCGCTCCCATCCTCCACGCAACCAGAGGCTTCATACATTATTCAGACGTGGTGCCCACCTGGGCGGGAGCCACAGCCGGCACCCAGAGAGAAGGACCAAGCCAGCCTGGCATTCAACCACCTGCTCCACTCCCACAGCACCGGGATCTTCCTACCGTAGCACCCAGCAGCCAGGCCCTCTTCCTGACACCCCCACACCATGTCTGCCTGTGGAGCTCTGGGGTGCCCGGCCTGGCCACCGGCCCCTCCCCGAAGCTTTCATGGCTGACCAGCCCCTCCCAGACTCATCATCCCTGGGGGTGCAGGGAAGACATGGCAGAGCAGAAAAGAGTCTGCCCCTGGGCCGGCACTTCTTTCCCAGGAGACTCCCCGGTGTATGTCCCCGGGTGCTGCGGGCACCCCCTGCCAAGCCCCAGGATGGGAGTAAGCTTTGGTGCCTCCCTGAGCCTCAGCTTTCCTGTTTGCAAAATGGGGTATGAAGGACCAGCTTCAGTGGGCCGTGGGAGACTCACATGGCCTTGGGATGTCCTCATGGCTGAGGTCAAGTGGACCGGCCTTGGTCCTCTGCACCAGAGGTCCAGACATCCCCGTTTAAAGAGGCACAGTGAGCACCAGTGCAGCCAGCGCCTCCGTCCTCACAATGGTCGCCAGGGGCGCAGTCCTATCATCCCCATTACAGATGCACAAACGGAGGCTCGGAGGTGCACCTCTCACGTCTCACGCAGGGGTCCCAGGGAGCTGATGACGTGGCTGGGGCTCCAACCCCTCAACCCCCAAGAACCGGGTGTGGGGAAGACCAGGCAGGGACAGAGGCCAGAAGAGGTGCTGCTCCTGAATGTGAGTGGAGGGTCCTGACCCAGGGGGTCCCAGTCCGGGTGCAGAAATTCATTTCTCAGTCTCGGGGAAAACCAGCCCCCCCCACGCCCCCTCCTCTGTGGGGCGCCCCATTTTCCTCGCCCGCCCTCTCCTTGGCAAGCTCGCCAGCCCTCGCCTGGCCTCACTGCGTTCCTCCAGCATCCATTTCTCGCTTCTTTGATCTTCCTCCTACCGCCCGTCTTTGGAGCACCAAGAAGCTGTGTGAGACAGCGGCTCTGAGCCTTCTGCCCCGGCACCTGCTAGGTGCGGCCCACGTGGGAGAGACCCCTCCTCCCACACCTGGGGTCGGCGGCAAGGGGCAGTGCCCGGGACCCTCACACAGCTTCCATTCGCACCTCAGCCCCTCCCTCTGCCCTTCCCATCCTGCCACCACCCTGCACCCGCTTCTGCTCCCCCTCCCTCCTCCTTCAAGGCAGCCCCTGCTCTCCCTCCCTCTCAGCATTTTTCCCTCCCTTTCTCTCATTTCTTTCTCGTGCCTTCGCTTTCTTTCTTTCTTTTCTCTGTCACTTCTCCCCAGGTAGGGTTTGTTCTCGTCAAGAGACCCTCACAGCCCCAGGCACAGGGTTGCCCCCCTCCCAGCATCCCTGGCCAGGCCCGGCCCTCAATCTCACCTCCGCAAGCACCACCTCAGCTCGCACCAATACCTCCCCAACCCGTCATGGGTAGCAGCCGACCCTCAAGCCTCCCGGGTCTCAGCCCACTTGGAGCCTGGGGCAGGGGCCAAGCCCCTCACCCTTCTCCCTAATGGTCCCCGCCCCATCCAGGGGTCACCCAAGGGCTTCTCTCCCACAAGCTCCCACTTGCAGTGGCTCCTGTCTGCCCTCCAGAGACCTCTGTGGTTAACCCCAGTCCACCGACCTCTGCCAAGCCGCTCTGAGCCGGATGCTCAGTCCCCGGGGCCATGCTCCCTCTGGCCTCAGGGTGCCTCCCCTTTACGGTTCCAGCAGGGGCATCTGGGGGTCGAGTGCCCAGGGCACCCTGGCTGCCGCTTGCTGGCCGCTCTGCCCAGCTCTGGTTCGCCGGCTGGGACTGAAGCCTGAACCGCCGTCCTCTGGGCTCTGGCCCTGACACCCTGCCCAGGGGGCTGGGCCACTCGGTCCCTGCACCCCTGCTGCTGGCTCGCCTGGGCTTCTGGGCAGGACGGGCTCTGTCCGAAGACCGACTTCCAGCCCTGCCAGGGCGGGGGCTACCCCACCCTCAGGATCTCAGGCCTGGATGGGCCCAAGGCAGCCACACCCTTTTGGACACTGTGGTTGGAGGCCTGGCTTCCCCCAGCCCCCTCAGGGCCAGCCCAGCAGGCTGCCAGCCCATTCCTGCCCCACTGGCCACATCAGGAGCCCCAGAGGTCCCTGGACCAGGCTGCTCAGGGTGGGTCCCTGCCTGAGGGGCCTTAGAGCCCTGCGGAGAGCCAAGCACGGTGTGGCTGCCACATCTGTATATGTGTGGGCAGATGTGTGCCCGAGATGGAGGGAATGGAGGGGCTCACACCGCCCAAAGAGCCATGGCTAAGGGTGGGCACGGGGCTCCGGGGACCTCAATGCTTGATAAGAACGTCTGCCAGGCTGATCCCCAGCCCCCCTCTTCACTCCGGGCCAGGCTACAAGGCACTCTCAGCCGGCCTGGTGCCCTCTCACAAAGCCAGGACCCCACAGGTAGCAGGGCCAGGCCGCTGGCTGAGTCCGGGTGACGTCTGGAGTTGAGTGGGCTGAAGTCCTCTTGAGGTCCCCTGACCATCCCTAACACTTGCCTTGCCCGAGCTGGCCCTGGGAGAGCCCCGAGTTGCCCAGGGGCAGGCAGGAGGCACAGGGCAGACTCCCAGGTGCCTGGAAGGGCAGACTTGGCAGGGAGGCATTGGGGGTAGGTCAGCCCAGGGCCTGACCCTGCCAGCCAGAAGCCGCATTCTGGCAGGGGCTGGGTACAGCCAGACCTGGAGAAAATGGTGTTATGGGACTACATGCAGAGCCCCTGGGCTTGCACTGGGTGTAGACAAGGAGAATCGCTGGGGCAGGGGTGGGGGGCGACGGGGCAGGGGGGACACGTTTTCCCACTGGCCCAGAGCACCATTTTTAATGGATGTAAACTGCATTGAATTTATTCCCTGGCAGCTGCGGGCACCTAGCATGGCCCTTCAGGGTTCATCACTGAGGACACAGCACTTTGCCTGCAATGCCTCTCCCAGCCCTGCACCTGACATGGCAGGACACCCAAGGGGTCCCCGGGAAAGGGGTGGGGTGATGCGGGTGGAGGAGGGACCCAGGGACCCGGGCTCATCATGCCCGGCTGAGTGGCCTTGAAGTCTCTTCACCCACAGCTTCTCTGAGCCTGGCTCACTCCTTTATCCAACAGGGAGTGGGTAGGGGGCAGTCTGCCTGGCCTGCAGGGCTGGGACTGGGGAAGTCCGAGCTGTTGGAGGCTGCAGAGAAGAGATCATGGCAGTGGTGGTGAGCGCAGTACTGTCCCGGGTGGTCGTGTGTGTGTGCATGTGTGTGTGTGGGTGTGGTGGGTGGGTGGGGTGCAGCGGCCTCTGGGTCTGTGTCCTGGAGGGGGTGTGTATTAGTGCACACGTGTCAGCCTTGCTTCATGTAGCTCACCTTGGTGGCTCCCCTTAGCTGGACAAGGGACTCTTGCTGCCCTCTGCCCAGCCCCCATCAGGACAAGTTCCAAGGGAGTTCAAAGGGACGGGTCCTTATGCCACCAACCCACTGGCTGACCACCGCAAGTGAGGTCCCCTCCTCACTGTCTCCTCCCCAGGTCCACAGGGACTGGCCCCGAGCCTGAGCCCACGCGGCTTCAGTGCCTCCTCCCCAGGTCCACAGGGACTGGCCCTGAGCCTGGGCCCACGCGGCTTCAGTGTCTCCTCCCCAGGTCCACAGGGACTGGCCCCGAGCCTGGGCCCACACGGTTTCAGTGCCTCCTGAGTGCGGCTTGCTCACCTGGGGCTGCAGTTGGTGCTGGGCCCGCTGGACGGATGCTCATGGCCGAGCCCCTGGTGACAAGGGGGTGAGCCACCGCACAGCCAGGCAGGGGCTCTGCCCCTCCTCCGGGGGCTGCACTTCCTTCTCTTGGGCCCATTTGTTAAGTAGCACTGGTGAGCCTGGGGGATTGACCCCAGGCACTCCTCAAATCCCAGGCCACAGAGCTCCTGGTGGACAGCAGCGTCCCCTGGGAAAACACATTCCCGTTGGGCAGGGAGGGAGGTCTGACCAGCAGAGCCTGGAAGCCCAGGAGGAGGAGGCTTATGGGGGGCCAGGGGTAGGGGGAGGCTGGGATGAGGTGTGCCCAGCCAGGGGCCCACTGCAGATCCTGGTGCTGGTCCTGAACTCAGGTGACAGCCGGAGACCCTGCCAGGTGGGGACCAGATCGGAGCCATCTCTCTGCATCTGCACGGACCCAACAAGTGGGAGCTGGGGAGGAGGGGTGAGCCGGGCTGCCCTCAACTCCTCAGACCCCACTTAGCTCACCCCCATGGGCATCCCTGGCTCTCTGGCCTCTCAGAGTCTCAGCACTGAGTGCCTGGCCTGGGTGGGCAGTGGCAAGCCGACCGATGCCAGCCCTGCCTTCCAGTAGCTCGAGGTCCGGCCAGCATGCTCCATGCCATCAAAGGAAGTCAGAGCAGGACAGCCCTCCAGGTTAGGAAGAAGCAAGGCAGCCTTCAAGCAGGAGGTGGTGTTTCAGTTTGGCTTAAAAGCCTGGAAGGGTTGAGGAGGAGAAAGGGCACTACAGGCGGCTCAGAGTGGCTGACGGTGCAGAGGGATATCTCTGAGACTGCCCAGGCTGGGTCTTGAGGAGCCTTGGGCCCTCCAAACTCTGCTCTCCCACCTGACCCCATGAAGGGCCACACCACTACTTTACAGAGGAAGAAACAGGCTGGGAGAGGGCACCACACTGGCCCAACACCTGCAGGTGGACAAGGCCCGGGCACCTTCCCTGGCCCTGAGGAGCCTCCCACTCAGGGTTGGTGGCTGCAGCCAGGGCCGGTAAGCTCAGCCCAAAGTTCAGTTTCATGATCTGTGAAGTGAGGGTGACTGAAGGGTGCCCAGGATCCGAAGGACCCCACGGGAGGCCCCAGAAGCCACCCAGAGGATGGGCCCTTCATTTTGGGGGCTCAGAGTCAAGCAGAATCCCTGGGGCTCGGGGAGAGGTGTGAGCAGGTGACAGTGCAGCCGGCGGTGCAGGTGGGACGGCGTGAGCGGGTGACAGTGCAGTCGGTGGTGCAGGTGGGATGGTGTGAATGGGTGACAGTGCAGCCGGCGGTGCAGGTGGGACGGTGTGAGCGGGTGACAGTGCAGCCGGCGGTGCGGGTGGGACGGTGTGAGCAGGCGACAGCGCAGCCGGCAGTGCAGGTGGGATGGGGAAGGAGAATGCATGGGCAGCTGCCAGGAGCCAGGAGGAAGAGAGGCCTCAAGCAGCCTCCGCACTCACACATGTACACGCAACCAGCCTGGCACCCTCTCGCTGCCCACGCTTGGGGCAGCAGAGCCTACCGAAGCTGGGGGGAGGCCCAGTGGCCCGGTGCATGTGGCAGCCCAGCATGGGCACCCTGCCCTGCCCTCCATGCCCAGCCAGGGCAGGAGGGACCTACCTCAAGAGGTATCCAGGCCCTGTCTGCTAGAGTTCCTCCTCAGAAGCCCGGGACTGCCCAGGCTGCAGCCTCTGCTCAGGCGGCGACCTGGCCTGACCCCAGCCCCGGGGATAGAGCAGCATCTCAAAGGCTCCTGTCCTGCTGGCCCTCCTCTCTGCTGCCCTCCTCCCGCACCCCTGCCCCCCTGTGCCCAGCTCTCCTTGGCTTTCCTGCCTCTCCTGGCCCCTCTCACTCCTGCACTTCCTTGGCGCTCTGCCCTGGCCCTCGGTCTCTCGCTGGCTGTCACCCCTCCCCTGTCCCTTCTCTCTGTCTGGTGTTCTCCTTGTCCCTGTGACCCTCTGCCTGCCTGTCTTGGCCCCTCTGGCCCCTGGCACAGGAGTCTGTGGGCCGGCTCCCTTGGGCAGCCTGGTCCCTCCCTCTGGCACCTGGCACAGGGGTCTGTGGGCAGCCTGGTCCCTCCCTTCGGCTCCTGGCACGAGGGTCTGCAGGCCGGCTCCCTGCAGGCAGCCTGGTCCCTGTGTCCCCATCCCTGTGGGTCTCCCTGACTGTGGGTCTCCCTTTCCCCTCTCCTACTTCAGGACTCTCAGCAGCTGCTTCTCTTTTGTTTCCCCCAGCCCCCTTCTCCTCCCGCCTCCATCTCTTCCACCTCCACCTCCTCCTCCTTCCGAGAAGAGTAAAAATGTCAGAGCGAAAACTCTCCCAGCCCAGCAGCGTGGGGCTCAGCCAGACCTCTGTGGCGCGCTGATGGGCAGCGTGGCTGCCTCCTTCCCTCCCTCCCTCCCTTCCTCTTTCCCTTCCTCCCTCCGCCTCTGCCCTCAGGCCACCTTGGTAGCCGCTGCCCGCTTCTCGGTCTCCCCTAGCCCTCTGTGGTGCCCCTGCCCCAGGCACAGGGGCCTATTCTGCCCATCGCCGCCTCCCACCTCGGAGTGCCTCATGCCCTCTGCCAGGCCCTGCCCGGGCCCTCCTCTGTTCTTCTCCTTCGTCGGCCGTTCTTGTCCAGCCCCTCGTCAACCTGCCACCTCCCTCACCATCATCGCAGGCCTGGACCCTTCGCTGGTTCCTCTTTGTCCCGTCCCCTCCTTCCCCGTCTCGCACTCAGCCCCTCTCTCCTCTCTCCTTTCCCTCTGGTGTCTCTGTCCCTATCTCTGTCTCCCTCCCTCCTTCCCTCCTCCCTCCCTTCCCCTCCCCTCCCTTCCTCTCCCCTCCTCCCCTCTCCCCCGCTCCTGGTTCTCCACTTTCCCTTTGTTCATTCCCGGCCTCTGCTCTTGTTGTCACCTCCAGAGAAGGCTTGGCACCCCAAGAACCCTCTCTGTTCCCCAAATGGGGAGGCTGCTGCCTTTCCTGGTGGGCCCAACCCCCCAGCCAGACTGCAGAGTTGACCCAAGAGGCAGAGACGCCACCAACGCAGCATCTTCGGTTTGGTATTGGCACAGCATGGTCCCAAGAGGTGGCCAGTGGGCACAAAGTGGGCCTGGTGCCCTCGCCAGCCAGGCCCCCCTTGCCCGCGTCCTCTGGCCCTGGCCCAGGGAGGAGCAGCCCAGCCCTCTGTTCCTCTGGTTGGGCTTGGCTGCTGTGACTCACTGGAGAACACTCGGGGCTAGTGGCCGGACGGACGAGGGGTGGGATGGGACGCATGTTCAGGGCTCACCGAGGGTCAGCTCCGCGACGGCAGTCTCACATCCGGCGGTTTGCCCAGCTCGCTGGCACTCAGAACCACCATGTACCCATGTCCAGGATGGAGAAACCAAGGTCCAGCCAGCAGCACTGGCATCCAAGGTCACAGAGTGAGGGCCTGGCACAGCCAGAACCAGAGCCAGATCTGCCGGCCGCTGGCCACCCAATTAGTCCTGGGCCACCATCTGTGCACGGGCACTCATCTGCCCATGCCACCCTCTGTCCCTACATTCAAGGAGAACAGCCACCTCTTGCCTCCCCAGCTATCATGACCCTGGCCAGGCCAGGGAGTTGGGGTTGCGCAGCACCTTGGGAACACTGAGGGAAGCAAGGGTGAGGCTGTGAGCAGACGGGCAAGCGGGTGAATCACCGCGGAGGGCAGCACGCCGGGGGTGGCGGCAACAGTCGGAAAATTCCACATGGGACCATAGACCGGGCTGTGGTGACTCAGGTGGTGGGCTACCCCATGGAGACTGCGGGAGTCAGGAAGTCCGTCCCCACTCCCTACATACACACCAGACTGGGTCCCAGGGCCAGTCCTGGAGAGAGGAGCCCACAGCATCTCCCCTCCCCCGGCACAACCCAGGAGGAAGCAGGGAATGTCCACTAGAGACCATGGTGTTGGCCCCACATCCCCAGCATCCACAAAGCTGCAGAGACCACAGGATTCTGGAGTAAGCAGGAGGGATGGTAGCCAGGGCTGGACCTCAGGTTGGACAAATGTTTAGTGAGCTCACCCAGGGGAGGGGAGGTCACCCAGAGGAGGCAAGATTACCTGGGGGAGGTGAGATCACCCAGGGGAGGTGAGATCACCCAGGGGAGGCGAGATTACCTAGGGGAGGTAAGGTCACCCAGGGGAGGTGAGGTCACCCAGGGGAGGTGAGATCACCCAGGGAAAGCTAAATCACTCAGGGGAGGTGAGATTACCAGGGGTAGGGAAGATCACACAGAGAAACTGAGATCACTCAGGGAGGACAGATCACCCAGGTAAGGTGAGATTACCTGGGGTGGGGGGCAGTGAGCATGTGCTTCATTTGCACCTCAACCTGCCTATTTCCTCCTTGCCTCCTGTTTTAACTTCTGGAGGAGTCCCAGCCACAGACAGCCAGGAATGAAATGTGGCCAAGGCATATTTTAGTTCAAAAGAAGGAAGAATATTCCCACAGGGAAAAGAGCTACCTTGGAATGGCAGGACTTCCCTGTCACTAGAGAATGATCATCTGTCAGAAATGCTGATGGATGGGAAGTGACAAGAACAGATATTTACATGTAGCGGCCAAGATTCATGGTTTTACAACTAGAGCATGTCCTGTGAGGGACAATATGGGAGAGTATTTGATGTCAACTCCACTGTTATGTGTGCGCTCATCCATTCACCCACTCATCCATCCATCTACTCATCCATCCATCTCTCTGTCCATCTCTCCATTCATCCATCAGTTCATCCATCCATTTTACCCATCCACCCACCCATCTATTCATCCATCCATTTATCCACTCATCCATGCATCCGTCCATCCACCCATCCACTCATCCATCCATTCATCCATCCATTCATCCATCCATCCATCCACTCATCCATCCATCCACCCATCCATTCACCCATCCATCTATTCATCCATCCATCTATCCATCCACCCATCCATCCACTCATCAATCCATCCATCCATCCATCCATCCATCCGTTCACCCATCCATCTATTCATCCATCTATCCATCCACCCATCCATCCATCCACTCATCAATCCATCCATCCATCCATCCATTCACCCATCCATCTATTCATCCATCCATCTATCCATCCACCCATCCATCCATCCACCCATCCACTCATCCACTCATCCACCAATCCATCCATCCATCCATCCATCCATCCATCCATCCATCCATCCACCCACCCATCCACCCATCCACCCATCTATCCATCCATCCATCCATTCACTTATCCATCTATTCACCTATCCATCCATCCATTTACCCATCCATTCATCCATCCATCCAACCATTCATCTATTTATCTATCCATTATCCATCTATCCATCCATTCATCCATGCATCTATCCATCCACCCATCCATCCATCCACCCATCTATCCATCCATCCATTCATTCATCCATCTGTCTATCCATCTGTCTCTCCATCCTTCCATATATTTATTCAATAAATCTGTACTGAATTCAGACACTTTGAAGGTGCTGGGGATTCAGCATTAACAAAGTCCCTGCTCTTATGATGATCATGTTTCAAGTGTGGGAACAAACACATAAATAAATAAAGGTCAGATGATGGAAAATATGACAGAAAATATAAATCAGGGTAAAGGCATATGGAGTTCTGGAGGGGATTGATATTTTACGTATGATAGCCTCATGGAAATAAGTAATTCTTTCCTTGGGTCTTTATATATGAAAGCCTCATGGAAAGAAGTAATTCTTTTCTTATTTGAAAAGAGATGAGAGAAATGGGAGGAAGTGTTCCTGGAAGAGAGTGCAAAATTCCTGATTTAGTAGTGTCTACTCACACATCCGTCTTTCTAATAGTTTACTCAGCACGGATTCAATTGTCTATTGATTCATTATCTATCTATCTTTCTACTCATCTCTTGTTATATCCACCCACGTATCCATCTATTCATCTATTATCCATATCCATCCATATGTCTACTTCTCCTGACATCCTTCTATTAATCTTTCCAATCATTTATATGTCCATATTCCAGCCATCCAATCATCCACCCATACATAATTCCATCTCATGTGTCCTTCCATCAATACATTCATTTACCCATTTATACACCCATTCATCCATCATCCATTCATCCATAAATCCACTCATCTTTTGTTTTGGTACATTTGCTCATTTAGCTGTTGGGCTGATGATCAGCCAATATGCACAGGTACAACACAGTTCAATATAGGAATATATATAATCAGCACCCATTCCAGTAGATTCATATTTGTACCACATGCTTTGTTAAATATTCTAAATATCACATCTGCATTTATCTATCCACCCATCCATTCGTTCTTTCATCCAAACATCCATATATACATACAGATGTTCTTCTGTCCATCCATCTATTTTTTGTTCATCTGCTCATTTGTTCATCCATTCATCAATTACTAAATAATTCTTTCTATTTATGCATGAGTTATACTCTATTTATACATGAGTCCATCCAACCCATTCATTCATCCACCCCATCCATCTGCCCATCCATTCACCCACCTGTCCATCGATCCATGCACCTATCCATCCACTCATCCCTCCATCCATCCACCCATCCATCCATCATTCAATTATCCATCCATCCATCATTCAATTATCCATCCATCCATCCATCCATTTGTTCCTACTTCCTATCATTCTTCATTCATCTTTCCATTCATTCATACTGTTCTCCATAATTGATTCTTTTCTAATCTTTATTTTTCCTTTCTTATGCAACTAAGACATGGTTCATAAGCTCATGGCCCAAGGATAAAGCAGACCACCATGGCCCAGGAGGCTGAACACCTCAATAGAGCCTAAGCAGGGGCTACAGGGGCAGGGATCTGTCTTCATATTGACACATTCTCATCATCCCCGACACATACCTGCGAATGTATGTTCACAGAGCAGCATCCCAGTGAAAGGTGCTTTGAGCACTGAGAGAGCCCATGGGGACAGGGGAGGTCAGGGTGGTGGCCTCATTGGCTCCCGAGTGATCCCTGGTGGATAAATGTCTGTGATTTAAAGAGGAGGCAGCCTCCAAATGCTTGCAGCATGCATCTGTTCAGTGTGGCCCTCTGTTCAAGCAGGCACTGCTGACAGCAGGAGAATGGGCCAGAGCCACGGGTAGGGGGCAGGGTGGTGGGTCATGGGTGCTGGGGGCTGGGGGCTGGGGGCTGGGGGCTGGAGGCTGGGTGGTGAATGGTGGGTGCTGGGTGGTGGTGATGAAGCTCAGATTTTGGTTGGGACTGGGTCTAAGAGAAAGGCTAAAGGATTATTTCTAGATTCATCTGGAACGAATTGGCTAGATCCTTCTATCCCAAGTCCCATTGCTTTTCTGAGGGGAGGTACCTGGGACAGGAGGAGGAGGCAGCCTTGCCTCAGAAACCAAACTGTCAAAAGTGTAGGTTCCACTCAGGAAGGAGGAGCACAGGCACTTTTGAGATGAGGGGGACGTGCTCTTCTCTGGAGCAGAAAGAAGCAGTAGGTGAGGTCCCACCTGCCAGGGATGGAGCAGGAGAGTGACCCCTGCATAACCTTGAATCCTCATCTGCAGCCCATGAGCAGCTGGAGACTGGGGACTCTGGGAAGGGTACTGGGCTTAGAAGCCACCCCCTGCCCCAGTGGACAGAGTATCCTGGACACCTCAGCCACTCTCCCTGAGCGTGTGGTGTGTGTAGAGGCCCCTGCGTCTATACCACTGCTCCCAGGGAAACTGGGAACCCAGGAAGTATGCTGGAACCCTTCATGCTGTGACCTACAAATGCCCCACCAGAGCGGCCCTGCTCCAAGCACTGAGGTCAGGGGCCCATGTGCCTGCCTCCTCCTGCCGGGGGATACAGGGGACTCAGAGGCCCTCCCTGCCACAAACTCCCTTCCCCGACAACCCACAAGCAGCTTGGAGGCAGTTAGCAGATGGAGTTAGGATAGGACTTGCCTGGCCCCAAGAAAGGGCCAGGGGCTTTCCTCCTGCCACCCCTGCTCAGCATCTCCCTCCTCCCTTGTCTGCCTGTGTCTGGCACTGGTGGGGCCGTGCTGGGTGGGACACGGCTAGGAGGCCTGGCTTTCTCAATCCCCTAATCTCCTATCAACCCCACCCCCATGCAGCCCCTCCAACCTCTTTTCAGGTCCCTAGATGTTGGGGAGGGGATGGGGGCTGGGCCGGCTGTAGAGAGTCTAACCCTGGGGAAGGGGCCCTGCTGGGCTGCCCCCTGGCCGAGCCTCTCCAGCCCGCTCGCTTCCCTCTCTTCTAAGTATCAATACAGCCTCGTCCACAGCCAGGGCCTGGTTCTGTCTGCCTCAGCGCATGTGGAAAGCCCTCTTCGATTGCCTTATGGTCCTGGGCTGCCATCTCCCAGAAGGTCTTTAGTGGCCCCCAAAAAGATGCTGAGGGCTGGGATTTGGGCGGGGCTGGGCTGGAGGGAAGTGGAGGACCTTGCTGGTCCTGCAGCGCCCGGTCCCAGTTCCGCTTTTCGGGACGGTCCCTTTAAGTGCTTGCTGAGCTTGGGCCATGAGCAGTGCTCTGGTGCTCTTGGGAGCCTTTGAGTCCAGAGTGGCTGGTGTGTGGTGTGGGGTCAGAGAGACCCCGGGAAGGGCAGCCCAGCCCAGCTCCCTCCTGGTGCCCGCAGGTCTTGTGGGCCCTCAGCACCCGAACCCCACAGGGGCAAGGACTCAGGCCCCTCCCCAGGCAGGGAGCAGCCCTTGGACAATGCACTTGGCCCCTGTGAGCCTCGGTTTCCGTCTGTGAAATGGGAGGCTCCAGGGACCTGCCTCACAGCTCCGGGGGATGAAACAAGAGCCTTGGTTTAAAAAGCTTGGCAAAGGCAGGGCGCGGTGGTTCATGCTTGTAATCCCAGGACTTTGGGAGGCTGGGGCGGGTGGATCACCTGAGGTCAGGAGTTCAAGACCAGCCTGGCCAACATGGTGAAAGCCTCTTCTCTACTAAAAATACAAAAATTAGCCGGGGGCAGTGGCAGGTGCCTGTAATCCCAGCTACTCAGGAGGCTGAGGTGGGAGAATCTCTTGAACCTGGAGGGCGGAGGTTCCAGTGAGCCGAGATTGTGTCACTGCACTACAGTCTGGGCAACAGAGCGAGACTCTGTCTCAAATAAATAAATAAATAGCTTGGCAAAGACTGGCATGGAGTGAACGCTTGGTCTGAGTGGCTACATTCTGAGTGTGCAGATGGGGAAACTGAGGCTTCAGAGGGGTGCGGCTTACTCATCCAGAAAGCACTCCGAGGGCCTATAGCAGCCGAAGCAAGGCCAGCCCTGGGGCCTTGCAGCCCATCCCCCTCCCGCCGCCCCAGCAGTGGGATCTCAGGGGCTGGGACTGCAAGGCAGAGCTCACGCCCCCACCCCTCACCAGGCTGAGGACTCAGAGCGGGAGACCACTGGGCCCTTTCCACTGCCAACACCCTCCTCTTCTCTAGGGCTCACCCATCCCTCTGGCACGTTCTCAGGGAACTGAGGTGGAGACAGGCTGGCCCGTAGGGTAGCGGAGCAGAGGCCCACCATCCTGCCACCCCAGGGTGTCACCGGCCAGGGCCTGTCCCAGCTGGACCCCAGACCCTCCTGGCACTGCCCTTGTGTGGCTCCAGGATTGTTTTAGGAGACACGAGGGAACCAGGAAGGGGGCGCAGGAAGAAAGGATTCTGGCTTCCAGAATCAGCGGGGGTGGGGCCTGTGATGCTCCCACTTGTGCGACCAGCCCAGCTGGGTGTCGGTGGACAGCAGCGCCTGCCAGCCCACGAGGAAGAAGACATCCTTCTGCTTCCCTGGGAAACTTCCAGATGCCTCAGACCCCTTACCCAGGGCAGGAGGAAGGGGACCTCCCCAGGGATCCTGGGTCCAGACATCAGGTCTTGACCACAGGAAGGTGTAGGGAGGGAGCCCCAGGGCTTAGCCCTCAATCCTAACCTCCCTCAGCAGCCCCTGTGGGGCTAGGGCTGGGGCTGAGGTGGCTTCCCCAACTGTCCCCAGCTCTGCCCTCTTTCCTGAGCAGTCGTGGGCACCGCTGGGGGCTCTCAGGGCCACCTGCCCCAGCGTGGAGCATTGCACATCCTCCAGGTGGTGCCTGGCCTTGGCTCGGAGGGCAGGTGGGCGGGAGGGCTGCCCAAGGGCCTGGCTGCCTGGGGGGTTCCATCCCATGGGCTCCTGCTGCTCAGATGAAGACTTCCAGGGGGCTGCCGGGGGCCTCCAGCCCCTTCCTCCTTCAGAATCTGGAGCTCTGAGGGTCTCCAGGGACAGATGGCCAGAAGGAACCCTGCCAGAGCAGCCCCTCAGGTCATCCCTGCCCTTCCCAACTCAGCTCAGCACACAGAGAAGCGAGGGAGGCTCCGATGGGCCAGGCGGGGCTCCAGGACTGGCCCTGTCCATGGCAGGTGCTGCCAGAGCCCTGGGCAGCGGCCTCCCACCGCGGGCTGGGCAGGCCTTTGAAGGTCTGCAGAGGAGCAGGGCGGTTGGGTGATGCTAGGAGGGGCATGTGCCAGGGCTCTGACACCTTCCAAAACTGGGAAGAGCTGGGAAAGCTGGTGGGATGGGAAGTGAGTTCAACCAGGCCAGGAGGGCCTGGCATGGCCACCCAGGGGCATGGAGTTTGCCTGTAGCTGGTGAATGGTTCTTTCCGTGGGAGACACGGCCTGGTCGCTCATGGGGAACAGACTGGGGGTAGGGTCATCCTGATGGGGGCCTGGGCTACACAGGGGCAGACTGAGAGGGCAGCCAGGGTGTCTGTGGGACAGGGTGGCGGCAGGCAGACTTGCCTTCTAGGTGTGGACATGGGGTGGGCACGCCTGGGCGGGTGGGCACCCCCGGGCAGCTGGGCCAAGGACAGGCACTGCAGCCAAAAATGCAGTGTGACCCCAGGGAGGGTACACCCCTGCAGAGCTGGGCTCCAACATCTGGATATGTCGAACCCAAGGTCTGAGAGGGCAACCTGACCCTCCCCAGCTGTGGACCAGGACGCCCCGTCCTCATCGCCTCAAGGCCTCCAAGGCCAGATAGTTCCTCAGTGTGGGGAGAGCCTTGCTCTTGGGGGCTATAGAGGGCAGGCATCCCCCAGCGTCACCAGAGAGTCCCCCCAGAGCCACAAGGCAGCTCTGTGAAATCCTCGTCCCTGCCCCCAAGGGACAAGGACAAGCTAGTGACTGTCTGCTGGACAGCGGGGCGAGACAGGAGTGCCCCCGAGTGGAGGAACCGCAGTCCAGCCTGGCTGGTAGCCGAAGCGGAGCCTGGACCCCGCCCAGGGTCAGGGGACCTTCTTTGGCCTGAGGCCTCGTGGGAGAGGACAGTCCTGTCCTGGGGGCATCTGAGAGACCACATCATGGAGGGGTGGTTCTGAGGAATCTGGCCCCGTCCCGGGCAGTCTGAGGGGAGGGGCCACATCATGCGACAGTCTGAGGGGCTGGACCCACTTGTCCAGCTGGAGGGGCTTGGCCTGCCCTGGACCTAGTGTTGAGGGCATGTCCTGAGACCGTCACAGGCTGGCGTACCTGGCACTCTGTGACATGCACGGGGGGCTGTCTTGTCCACTGCTCCAGCCCCAGCTGAGCCTGCCCAGCCTGGGCCTTCCTGGGGACTCCCGTGTGGGGGCTTCCCAGGCCATACATCCCTGCCTGGGTGCAGGGGACTTCTGTCCCATCCTAGACAGGAAACTCCCCGGTTCCCTTAGTCACCTTGTGAAATGAGAAGCCTACCCCACTGGGGCTCTCAGTTTCATTCTGAAAGGTCAGGCTTGGCTGCGCACCCCATGCAATTCGCGGGGGCAGGGGATGTCCAAGGAGGGGGTCCAGGCTTTGCAGAGCCCAGGAGAACCGCCGCTCTCCAGCTGGAGCGCCTGACAGCCCCGGCACAGGTGCAGCCCTGGCCTCCCAGGATCTGCACCAAGATGCCCCAGGATCATCTGTGCCTTGGCCATGCCCGCTCCAACCCCCCCTCCCCGCTCCTGGCCCGGGGGATCCAGGGCATTTGAGACAGCTGGGAGGGGGTGGCCAAGGATGAGGCCAAGGAGGAAGGCGGGGGTGCCCCAGCCCAGAGGCTCATGTCCTGCCCTTCTATGGGCATGAGGTGACCAGGAGCAGCACCTAGTCCAGGGCTGGGGGTGGTGCTGACAGGAGGGCCCGTTTTGCAGCTGGGACACAGCTGTTGTGCACCCAGAAGCCTGTCTCCCTGCACACGGCCTGGGCAGGGCATCCTCCCACCTCTCCCTGGGGACAGGCACGGACGTCCCGACCCAGCCCTCAGCCAGCCCCGGCCTCTGCTTAGCCTCCACTCCACTCACGGCACTCGGGGTCCCTTCAGTGGCCCCCCGCACCTGTACCCAAGTGGGATTTGGCAGCAAGAAGTCAGAGATGCAGACCCCTCACACATACCAGACCCACAGCAATGTGACGGCCACCAAGGACACAGACACAGGACAGTGACTGCAGCCACCAACAGCACAGGAGCTTTGTGTGAAGGCCGGGAGGTGGTCCCTGCACCGCCCCGGGTCGGGTAGACCGGGACCCTCTGCTGTCAGCACCAAGGCAGAGACTGGTAGCAGCCCTGGCTGCAGTTTTGGGGTATGTGAGCGTCACCCTGGGCCTCCTCTCAGGTCCGTCCTGTGTGGCTGCGGGCATCACACTCTTTCTGCAACCTGGGCCCCAGCGCCTTCCCTTCCGCACACCAGGCCACAGCCCCCGCTGACCTGCTCCTAGGCCGGCCTCTATCCCCAGCACCGGATCCCCATCCCCTGACCATTAGCACGTCGCCCCTCTGCCCCTCAAAGCCCTACCTGTCCCTGCACCGCACGCCCTGAGCCCTCCCATCTCTTCTGGGACCTGCACCGGGGGCAACTCGGGTTCCCCTGGCGAGGCTCAGCTGTGATGCCTGGATGCCTGCTGGCCGGCAGCTCCCCTCTGCCAGGGAGCCCAGTTACTAAGCCGCTAGCCCTCTCCACCCACCCCAGCACAGGGCTGGATGCCCATTGGTACCACAGAGTACAGCTGCCCGCTAGGAGGCCTTTGGCAGCGGGGTTTTTCTGCCCAGCTCTGGCAGTCCTACACACAACCTCTGCCATGCCCCCTCATGTCCCCACTCCAACCAACACACGGTGCCTGGCACCCAGCACAGGCACCTGCCAGAATCCTTGGCCTTGTCCTTTACCGCAGGTCAAGGGCAGCTTTGGGTGCCCTGCCCTGAGGCCTGCTGGGCCCCAAGCCTGGCGGCCTCCAGACCCTCAAGGCAGGATAGCCCCTCTCAGATAGTCCTGTGGGCAGGTGGCCAGGCCCGGGCCAGTTCCACCCATCCCAGAACAGCTGCTCCCCAGCCCCCACCTTGCCTCTTCCCAAGCTAACAGGGCCCACAGTCCCCAGCTCCTCCCTGGCAGTCCAGGACACGTCTTGGGGTCTCCTCGCTTCAGGCATCCACCATGGGCTTAGGATCCCACGCGCCTCCCCCAGTGAGTCCAGGGCACAGAGGCAGGCGGAAGAGACCTCCACCCTTGTTGTGAGAGGGGGGTCCCAGCAAGACTTCCTGCCACCTGTCTGTGGGTCCCCAGTTTCCCCATCGGACATCCAAGTTCTCCCATTGGGGGCCCCAGATTCCCCATCAGGCACCTCAGTTCTCCACCCTCCATGCAGCTCAAGGACTATGCACCCGTGGACACGGCACAGGGCGCCGGGCGTCGCCGCAGACCCTTACCCCAGCAACTCTTCCCGCTCCTCGGCACCCGGGTCACTCGAAGCCTCCGCCATCAGCCTGTAGTCTGGGCCCCACAGGGTGCTGGCAGATCCCTGGAGTGGGTGTACGTGCTGTGGCTTTCAGTGCTTTCTGGGGCGGCTTCTGAGCCCCCACCCCCAGCCGAGTTTCACTTCCCCCTTCCGGCTGCAGGTTGAGGTTTGGAACCTGTCTCGGCTTGGGTCAGGGTGTTGTTTTTTAATCTGTTGCTACAAGAGGAGAGGAAGAAAAAAAAAAAAACCCAAACCACCCCTCAGGAAGCGTTAAGCAAGTTACAGGGGCCTGGGGTGACAGAGACGGGGTGCGAGGGCCAAGATGGCCGCAGGCAGCTCTTCATGGCTCGGGGAGGGGGACCCATGTTACCCCTGGTCCCCGCTAGTAGCTCTGGCCATCAGGTCCACCTGTGAGTGGCCAGTTCTCCTGCAGCATCAGGGACAAACACGTCTGTGATCCCATAAGCACCACGTGAGCGTTTTAGCTTCTTTGGGTGAAATCTACCCAGAGGCCGGCTCTCCTACAGGTGCTCATGGAACTTGGTGGAGTCTTTTCTCGAAGCCTGGGGTCATAGCCTTGAGCACATCAAACAGCTGTGGGTCCCAGGTGGCTTTGGGGGCTGTGCCCGGGATGCCCCTGCGTTCTACCCGTCGGGTGCCTTGTTCTGTCTTGGACTGCCTTGCTGATGCCGAGCTGTCGGGCATCCGCCTCGTCCCCCCGCTGCCCCTTGCTCTCCGTGCTCTGGTCGCTGGAGTTGACCACCGAGTGGTTCGTGTCCCCAGGCTCTAAAGGCAGTGCCTCAGGGACCCTCCCAAGAGGCATAGGCCAGCCCGAGGGGAGGGATGGAGGCTGTTTCCAGCCCTCACTGTCCCCAGCTTCTGGGAGTGACCACGCAGTGGCTCCAGGGTCAGGAGGAGGGATGCATGACTGCAGGAGCCAGACCCCAAAAGCTGAGGCAGGGGAGGACTTAAGCTGGGCCAGAGTAGGGCAGCCACAGAGGTGGCGAAGGCTTCCCTGCTGGAAACCTCAGCGCAGGAGAATGGGAGAAGGGAGCCCTGGCCAGCGGCTGGGCCTGAGAAATCCAACCAGCAAGGACTTACAGGGGGTCCCAAGGCAAAGAGGGGCTGGAGAGAGGCCAGGGGTTGGGAGGGCCCTGGGCCCAGAGTGTTGACCCATCAGGGTGGGGCCGAACCGGAGGCCGCCTCCTTGGGACTCAGCGAGCCCCCCACCCACCAAACACACCACAAAGACCAGC
The DNA here is from genome assembly GCF_000001405.40 of Homo sapiens. Taxonomy (NCBI): domain Eukaryota; kingdom Metazoa; phylum Chordata; class Mammalia; order Primates; family Hominidae; genus Homo; species Homo sapiens. Next base: position 1,851,912 of record NC_000011.10, on the reverse strand, counting down.
AGAGGCTTTCAGAGCCCCACGAGTGGAGGCACCAGAGGGATCCGTGGCCCAGACGATGGGCAGGGCTAAAACCAGATCAGGCCCAGCGCCATGGAGATGAACAGGCCATGCCTGTGTCTTCCCCACGCCTCCTCCCTGGGGGTCCCTAAGGGCCCCCAAGTCCCCCTTGCAGAGTGGCACATGGCAGAGCCCTGCGGTTCTCACCATGCGGCCTCCATCCTGAGGCCATCCTGAAACGGCTCCCCTCATGGTGGTAGGGTCTCGCCTCCAGGTTGCAGCCATTCCGCTCACCCACCCGTCCAGGCACTGCATCGGCAGGTGCAATGCCTGTGTCCTCCTGCCCTTGAGGTCCTTCCCTTGGCCTGCAGAAGGGCAGCCCCAGCATCGTCGCTGGGAGCTTCAGGAACCTTGCCAGGAAGAGGACAGGCAGGTGGAGGCTGGGGTCCACCCCCTCCTGCCCTCTACTGCCCGAAGGCTGGACCGGCTGCCTCACTTTTGGAGCTAGAGCAAAATGAGAATGCAGAACCCTGTGGTTCAAAAACTGAGAATTTTGGCCGGGTGCGGTGGCTCACACCTGTAATCCCAGCACTTTGGGAGCCCGAGGCAGGTGGATCACTTGAGGTCAGGAGTTTGACACCAGCCTGGCCAACATGGTGAAACCCCATCTCTACTAAAAATATAAAAATCAGCCAGGCGTGGTGGCGGGCGGCTGTAAGCCCAGCTACTCGGGAAGCTGAGGTAGGAGAATCGCTTGAACTTGGGAGGCGGAGTTTGCGGTGAGCCAAGATCGTGCCACTGCACTTCAGCCTGGGCGACAGAGCTAGACTCCATCTCAAACAAAACAAAACAAAAACAAAAAAACCCTAAGAATTTCAAGAGGGAGACACAGAGCACAAAACCACACTCAGCCCCAGGTCTACGAAGCCGCTCGGGCGGAGGGGGAGGCCCACAGGCCCTGGAGCTGAAGGCTGGGGTGACGATCGGCCTGCCCCAAGGGCTTGGAGAGTGTGCCCTCCTCCCCTCTGCCTACCCAACCCTGTTGAAGCTGAATCATGCCCCTCACCCACATTCATATGGTGAAGTTCTAACCCTACCCCTAGCCTAACCCCTCAGAGCGTGACCGTGTTTGGAAGCGGAGTTGCTTCAGGTGTCATTAGCTGGATGAGGTCACGGTGGAGGAGGGTGACCGCTCAGCCAGTGTGACTGGTTTCCTTACAAAAAGAGGAAATGTGAGCCAGGCACGGTGGCTCACGCCTGCAATCCCAGCATTTTGGGAGGCCGAGGCGGGCAGATCACGAGCTCAGGAGATCAAGACCATCCTGGCTAACACGGTGGAACCCCATCTCTACTAAAAATACAAAAAAAAAAAAAATTAGCCGGGCATGGTGGCATGTGCCTATAGTCTCAGCTACTTGGGAGGCTGAGGAAGGAGAATGGCGTGAACCCGGGAGGCGGATATTGCAGTGAGCTGAGATCATGCCACTGCACTCCAGCCTGGGTGACAGAGTGAGACTCTGTCTCAAAAAAAAAAAAAAAAAAAAAGAGGAAATGTGGACACGGGACACAGACACCCACGGTGGGGAGCTCCCCATGAGAAGACAGTGGAGATGAGGGTGAGGCATCCACAAGACAGTTGCACCAAGGGGCACCGGGACCCCCAGCAGTGGGAGAGGCCTCAGGAGAACCAGTCCTGCCCACCCCAGGATCTCGGACTTCCAGAATGTGGGAGCTCAACGTCACGGCAGCCACAGGGCAGCAGGACAACCCCTCCAGCGACACGTCTCACAAGCAGGCCACGGCGTGGGGGAGCCCTGCCTGTTCTCAAGGAACCCAGGCCGAGGAATAGGCACACTCCAGGATGCTCACGGGGCTCTGGGAGGCCTTCTCAGCAGATGTACGCCCTCACCTCCCGAATCGCAGAGGAAAGGGAAGCCAGGGTGCAGGGTGTCCTCCTGTGGCCGTCCAGCCCTCTCTCCTGCCCACATCACCGTCGTGGAGAAGGCAGACTCTTGCTCTCTCACTCAGCTACTCCTCCGCAGACGCCAGGGCCATCTTGCGGCCCATCCACCTTCCTCCCGGTCCCCCAGCCTCTCCTCCCTACACCCTCCACGTTGATGTGCAAATCACTCAACCTTTTCACAAAAAAACAAAAGCAAAGAGCATCCCGGAGGCTGCCCAGCCCATGTGGCCGCCCGCTTCTCACTCCTTCCCTCCCTGGCCAAGCCCCTGCCTCCAGCCCTTCTCTCCACTCAGCCTGGACTGGCAGGCGTGGGCAAGGGAGGAGGTGTCCCCAGTGAGGGCCCAGCCACCCCTCAGGCCGTCCGGGCATTTCTGTGTGTGTGTGTGTGTGTGTGTGTGCGCACGAGCGTGTGTGACAGGGTCTTGCTCTGTCACCCAGGCTGGAGTGCAGTGGTGCAACCAGGGCTTACTGCAGCCTCTACCTCCTCGGCTCAAGTGATCCTCCCGCCTCAGCCTCCCAAATAACTGGGATCACAGGTACATACCACCACGCCCAGCTAATTAAAAAATTTTTTGTGTGTACAGATGGGGTCTCACCATGTTTCCCAGGCTGGTCTTGAACTCCTGGGCTCAAACCATCCTCCTGTCTCAGCCTCCCATAGTGCTGGGAGTACAAGCATGAACCACTGCACCCGGGCAGTGCATGCGTGTTTGAGAACGGTGTGGGCCTTGCTGGGTGGGAGGTTAAACAGGAACAGAGCCTTCCTCTGAAGAGCTAAGAGTCTACCCAAGAATCAGATGCAGAATCATTTCTTCCCTCAGTGCCTGAAACTCTAAGGGAGGTGTGTGGAGGGCAGACCCCGGCCCCTCCGTTGTCCTGTCTCCAAATCTGGTGCAGGGTCCAGCGAGCAGCACGGGGACCAGCAAGCGGCTGCATCAGGTGATGAGTTAGTTTGGATTCTGGGATGGAGCCAGCTGAGGGCATCAGATTCCGGGGGATGGAGCCAAGCAGGGAAGCCTTGAGGGGTGAGCCAGGAGGAGCTCTGTGCCAGGCGGGCAGGACACAGGGACACTCCAGGTGCAGAGGCCACAAGGCAGATGTCTGAGAGGTGCAGACCTGGATTTGAGGGGAGAAGCCGGGGGTTGGGACCTGTGTAGCAGGCTGGAGGTGCGTGTAGAAGTCCCAGCCGAGCAGGGAGAGGCCTGGGCAGGAGATGCTGTGTGCTGGCACCATGGGCTGGAAAGGACGTCCCGCAGTACAGGCCATCCCGCAGCGCCCCTCCCTGGCAAATCACTCTGTGGGCACACGCAGGTGCTGGAGGGGTTTGCTGTGGGGAGCAAAGCTGGGGGCTGTGCCCTCTCCCTGCACGCGAGCTGGGGTCACTCGGCCCCTTTCCTTCCACTGGCCGTGGCCACTGGTGAGCTTGGGAATCTGGCCCAGGAGTGAAGAGAGTGAGGAAGAGAAGCTCTCAACGGGGACAGAGACAGACAGGAAAGGGGCAGGGAAGGCTTCGAGGGGGCCGGGTGGATCGGAGGGATGCCAGGAGAGGGCAGTGACCAGACAGCTGCCCCTAGCAGAGCGGACAGGCCAGGCGGGGTGGGGAGGCAGTACTGGGGGAGCCCAGGGTTCAGGGCCAGCTGAGAGTGGAAGAAGCTCTCCAGCAGGCGCAAAGAGACATGGGCCAGGTCAGAGAAGATGGGCGTCGGTCGGCACAAAAGGCCTTGGGTCGGAGAGCTTGGCTATTTATTTTGTTTGCTTTTAGTTTTTACTTTATTTTTTTTTTTTAATTTGTAGAGATAGGGTTTTGCTATGTTGCCCAGGCTGGTCTCAAACTCCTGGCCTCAAGTGATCCGCCCACCTTGGTCTTCCCAAATCCTGAGATTACAGGCGTGAGTCATCAGCCTGGCCTTCTTCTTCTTTTTTTCTTTCTTTAAATTCTCAAAGCTTTTATTTTTTGAGATGGAGTCTTGCTCTGCTGCCCAGGATGGAGTGCAGAGGCGTGATCTGGGCTGACTGCAACCTCTGCCTCCCGGGCTCAAGCAGTCCTCTTGCCTCAGCCTAGCTCTACCTCCCTAGCTGGGACCACAGACATACACCACCACACCCGGTTAATTTTCATATTGTTTTGTAGAGACACTTTGTTGCCCAGGCTGGTCCCGAACTCCTGAGCTCGAGGCTCCCCACGCAGCCTCCCAAAGTGCTGGGATTAAAGGTGTGAGCCACCACACCTGGCCTTCATTTTTTTTTGTCTCTCTCCCTTTGAAAATCTTTAGAGCTTGGTGTTGTCTCCACTATTTGGCGGCGTCAGAGTGACCGGGGCCTTCACTCATGAGAAGCTCAACCTGCAGCGACAGCAGGGCCGGCTGGGACCTGCAGGCGGGGAGCTGATCTGAGAGCCGTGAAGGGCCTCGCTGTGGACATGTGCTCCGGGGGGCACGGGACGCTTCGTGAGAGGGCGGTGACAATTGCTGGGTTCTGCCCCGATGGCCTCTGGTTTGAGGTGGGGGGCCCAGGTGATTTGGGGTGTGAGTGAGAGATTTTGGGGAGCTTGGTGGGGGGGGCGGAGGGGAGGATCAGAAGGAGGAAGCTCGTGGAAACCGTGCCTGGCCCAATGCCGCGCTGATTCTCGGCGGCCTGCCGGAGGGGCAGCCGCAGAGACTGGAGCCTGCCAGGACGCAGGCCTTCCCGATGGCTCGAGGAGGGGACAGGGAGTCAGGAGCAGCTTGGCAAGGAGGGGGAGCAATGGGAGATGACAGGGGGTGGTGAGGAGGTAGGGGTGACTGGGGCCAGGGGAGGGAGAGGCCCTGGGGCCAGGCTGTGCTTGTCGAGGCGGCGGAGGTGCTTGCAGGAGGGCAGGAGCAACAAGGGGATCGGGGGGTTTCCAGCGTGGTCACGGCCAGCCCCGCACAACGGGGAACACTGGCTGCCAGAGGACTCCAGTGTACATGGTGGCCCCAGCGTCTTGTAGGGACTGTTAGACAATCCTCATGCAGACCCGTGTCCCCGTCCTGAGGTCCCGTCACAGGTGTATGCCTCGCCCCAGCAGCACTGACACAGCTGCAAATAACTCCAGGTCCCTGACTTCGTGGATTTTCCCTCCCAGAGGAAGAGACGGACAGTGAACAAATGAAAAAACAAGTCCATGGTCATTCTGGAAAATAACCAGGAGAAGTCACAGAGATGGCTGGGGGACTCACGGAGGGCTTCACGGAGGAGGTGACCATGCTGGAACTGAAGGGTGTGAAGGAGATGGCCACAGGGAGAGTGGGGAGAAGCTTCCAGGCCTGGGGCAGAGGCAGGCTTGGTGGTCCTGGTGTGATATTCAGCAGCTGGGTGGTCCAGGGCGCCGAGCCAGGCCTTGCTGGGGCTGGGGGAGAGTCGGGCTGACTCTGGGGGGCACATAGGAGAGGAGTTTAGGGAGGCAGGAGGTGCCAGCTGGGTCCCTGCCTACCTGGTGGTCCAGTGAGGCAGGCGCTCTCATCTCCATGTTCATTGTACATCTGGGTAAACTAAGGCTGGGCAGCCCACTGGGGTGGAGTGGGGGCTGAGCCACAGAGGCAGCTCTAACCCTGGGCTCCAGGGCTGTCTGGGGAGAGCCGGAGCCGGAGGAGTGGGGGTGGTGAGGCCCTGGCAAGCGCCGGACTCAGCTTTCCAAGGATGGCTGGAGCCAGGCACCGGCCTGCAAAGGTGGGTCTGGGCCCAGGCACAGCCGGTGCCAGGGGAACAAAAAGGACACAGGGCTGCACAGGTCAGGGGTGAGGTGCAGCTGGAGAGAGAGGGTGAAGCCCAGCCCTGATCCGGGGGCCCCTCGGTGGAGGCCCAGGGAACCCCTGAGGACCACACAGGGGGTCCAGCAGGTGGACATTCATGGGGGAACTCTGTGTCCCCCTCTGGGACCCCACTCCTGGCTTCCCCTTGATCGAGTGCGTGAGGGGGTGAAGGTCAGGGGGAAGCCCCCTCTGAGTCCAGCCCTGCGGAGAGAATGAAGCCCCGTGACCTGCCTCATCCTAGCTCCACCCAGCGCCCAGCATGGCCAGGGCACCGGGCCTCCCTCCTGCAGTCCCTGAAAGGCAACTTTCCAGCCTTGGATCCCTGGCCCTAACCCTAACCCTAACCCTAACCAAGGTGTCCCCGGGGGCCTGGCACCCAGCCCCGCCCTCGGCCCTCAGCCAGGGGCACACACACAGTCCTCAGCCTCCTCCACCACCCCGAAGTCCCCCACACCCTCTGGGGCACCTTTCTGCCCACACCTGAGCCCTGTGAGGTCCTCTCTGTTAACTTGTGGTATTTTTCATGTCATCTGTTTTTGTTGTCGCTTACGAATTGTATTGCTTTAACGTTCAAAGAAAAGTTTAGCTTTGGGGGAAGTCATTTCAAACCCACAGAGAAGTTTCAAGAATAAGAATTTGACAAGGTGCCTCTGTACCCCCCTCACCCAGGGCACATGTCCACTTTGCCATTCGACCCCTGCCTCTCCGCCTCTCAGCCTCTCTGTTTCTCTGAGCCTCTGTCTCTTTCTCTCTGCTTCTGTCCGTGTCTCTCTGCCTCTGTGTCTTTGTCTCTCTGCTTCTCTGTCTCTGCCTCTGTCTGTGTCTCTCTGCCTCTGTGCCTTTGTCTCTCTGCTTCTCTGTCTCTGCCTCTGCCTCTCTGCCTCTGTGCCTCTGTGTCTGTCTTTATGTCTCTTGTCTCTCTGTCTCTGTCTCTCTCTCTGCCTCTGTCTCTGTCTCTCTGCCTCTCTGCCTCTGTGTCTCTGTGTCCCTCTGTCTCTTGCCCTCTCTCTGCCTCTTTGTCTCTCTTTGTGTTTCTCTCTATGTGTTTCTGTGTCTCTCCATCTCTCTGTCTTTCTCTGTGTGTCTCTCTGTCTCTGTCTCTGTGTCCCTCTGTCTGTCTCTGTCTCCATGTCTCTCTGTGTCTCTGTCTCTGTGTCTCTGTCTCTGTCTCTCTGTCTCTGTCTCTGTGTCTCTGTCTCTGTGTCTCTCTGTCTCTGTTTGTCTCTGTCTCTGTCTCTCTGCCTCTGTCTCTCTGTCTCTCTGTCTCCCTCCTTTCCTCCTGAAGATTTTAAGGTCTGTTTCCTTGGAATGCAGATGTTGTTTTGTGTAACTATGAACTTGAGCACATTTACCGCGGACACTGCTTGTTATCTTGTCTGCCGGTCTGTGTCCTGATGGCCGCTCCCATCAGCGGGGGCACAGGGCAGGCCCTCTGCGTCACCACGGCCTCCTAGCAGAAAGGACATGTCAGGCTCTTCCTGCACGTTTCCTGCCCCACCCTGCAGTCAACCTCTCTTCCGAGGAGCCCTGGGTCCTTCAGGGGAGGACGGTTTTAGGGAGCAGAGCCTGGGGCCCGGTTTGCTCCTGGACACTGGGGTGTCTGCATGTCAGTGGCTCAGCGGCAGAGCAGGAAACACCCGCGTGTGCAGAAGCACCCACCTCTGCCTCCCCCGAGGAACCCCTGCCTTCTGTCTCCAGCAGCCGCAACTTCCAGGGGTGCCCCGTGCACTTCCTCCCACCCCTCCCTCCTTGGCCCGCTGTGCCCAGTCTTCCCCAACCCCTTCCTGGCCACAGCCCAGCACGGGTTACCTGGGACTTCAGAGGCCATGTCCTCCCCGACCTCCAGAGCCACGCACAGGGCTGCCCACAACCCCTGCCCTGGGCCTGTCCCCCTCCTCTTCCGGGACTCCCCTGGGGCTCATGGTGCCTGCCCCGGCTGCCCTGGCTGTCCCTACCCTCCCCCTCGTCTCCTCTCGCCCTGGCCTTAGGCACCTCTGCCCATCGGCTCACCACCCAGGACACCCACATCCACATCTCCAGCCCAGCCCCTGCTCCAGCTGCCTGGGCCAGGTCTCCCCTCGGAATTTCCACAGGGCCCCCAAACCCAGCAGCCCCAAAGTGAGTGCCTCACCTCCTCCCAAGGCCACTTTCTCACGGCTCCTGCCCTGGAGAACAGTCTCTGCCCACCCGTGCCCCCAGCAAGGTGCCTGCCTTCCTCATGTCCCTCAGCCAACAAGTCCTGGGGACCCGGCCCCTTCCACGTCTCCATTCCTCACCCCCCAACCCAGCGGTGACTTCCGCTGTGCTCCACCCTGCTGAGGCCTTTCTAGAATGCAGAGCTGGGGGACAGCCCCATGGGGTACTGGCTGCAGGCCTCACTTCCAGCAGGGACACCAGAATCACCCGAGAGGGACGGAGCCGGGCTCAGAGGGGCGCCGGTTTGATATTTGCTGGTTTGCTTTCCGCAGGCCTCTCACTTACTCCTTCATTTACTCATTCACTCATCTATTGGAAATTTAACAAACACCCGTGCATCTACTATCCAGCCCAAGAATTAAAACATCCCCCAAACCTGCATCAGCGTAGGGGTCCTGTCTCCATTCTGCCCCTGCTCTGCCCCCACCCCACTCACCCCAGAGGGTCACTCTTTGGAATTTCGTGTTTGTGTTCAACATTTCCTTGCTTTGAAATAAAAAAGATAATTTTCCCACACAGCGTGTCTGCCCCGGCCAAGTTGAATCTTGTGGTTGGCAGCCAGGTGTGATGCGCCTGCCCCAACTCCTCTGCCACACCCCCCTGACGCCCTGTGGGATTGGGTCCCGCCCCCTTTCCCAGTAGGCACAGGCTCTGGAAAGGTGCCATGTCCCCTGCAAGGGGTCCATGGCCAGGCCCCACCGCCGCCTGTCCCTCGCTCTGCCTGTTGCCTGCCTGGCTCTGCATGGGACGTGCTCCAGCCTGCAGCACCCTCTGCCTCCACACTTGTCCTCCCTCAGGTCTCAGCTGAGGCTTGGGCTTGGGCAGCTTCCCCCCGACAGGCCAGGTCTCGGGCCTCACTTCTGTGCCTCATGGCCTCCTACACCCTGGGCCTTGCCTGGTCCCATCATTCTGGCATGGGGTGCCATGCACCTCTGCCACAGCTGCACCCACCAGGCAGTGCCCCCTTGGCCCCAAGCTGCCCTGCTCGGTGCCTTCCCCTACAGAAGGCTAAAGGAGAAGGCCCGGGTGGGGGGTTCGGACTGGCGTGGGGCTCCAGCTACAGAAAAGGTCAGAGCTGAGTGCCAGGGCTGTAGGGTACCCGGGAAGCAGGGGACTGCACACAGCCAAGGCCGTCCCGGGAGCCCACTGACGTCAGTCCCTCAAGGCAGCCCGAGGCGGAACTGCCGCTGCACGTCCACCTCCGGCAGATCAATCGATGGGACCTCCCGGGGGCAAGGGCACAGCGCAGGCTGGCAGCCTCCCCAGCGCAGATCTGAGCACAGGGACCTTGGCGTGCCTGCTCTGTCAGCCTTCAAAGAGCAGGGCTGATAACGTGGCCTTGCTGTCACCGGCCTTGTCAGAACCTGTCAGCTGCCTTGTCCTTGGTGGCCAGATGGGGCTGGGTCTTGGGGCTGAGTGGAAACGAGACTTGGGAGCCACACTGGAGCCAGGTCAGGGCCAGGCCTAGCCCCTGCCTGATGGGCACAGGTCTCTTGGTCCCCTGGCATGGTGAGGAGTGACACAGCCTGCCTTTCAGGGTGGCAGTAAGGACCAGAGACCAGGCTGGCCAACCCCCAGCACCATGCTGGTCCCCAGCCCGGAGACTGCCAATTTGGCCTGGTCATGGCCCACCGTGCAGGCTCGCCCCTCCACGCTCCCCGTGCCCAGCCTCAGTGCTCAGGGCAGGGGGCAGATAGGAAAAGCAGGGAGGCCCCGGGGCTGGGGGTCTGTCCCAAAGTGATGTGGGAGGGGGATGAGCAGGAGGATCTGGGGGTGGGCACGCGTGGACAGCAGCCTGGGGTCTAATGTGGCCCTTGGCTTCCTGCCTCAGATGAGCTCCCTGAGGAGGGGCAGCTTGGGAGGCATAGGGGGCTGCCCCCAGCACTGCGGGGGCCACACGTGTGTCACATGTGTGGATCTCTCTGGAGCCCCGGGAGGGCCTTTGCGTGGCTGTGCAAATGTGAGACCCACTTATCTCAGGAACTCCCACCCAGACCTGGCTCGGTCCCACAGCCTCCATCCCCAGCCCTGCATGTTGGATGTGCCCAGGCCGAGCCCCAGGAACGCCTGGGGCACTATCAGGGCCCTCACCAAACAGCCCCGTGCAGCCTGGGGTGGATTCCCCTGTAGGGGCCTTCCCAGGCTCACCTCCTTGCTGGAAGCAGCTTCCCTCCCAACCTGAAATCCCAGGCCCCGTGTGGCCTCCTCCCAGGCTTTCCCCGCTGGCCACTGACCACACTGCAGGCCACCGATGCGGGGGCCCAGAGCATGGCCCAAGAGGCTGGGGAGAGCCAGACCAGACCAGCCATGGGGATTCAAATCCTTTATTGACGGTGGTGGTGAGGCCAGCCCTCCCTGGCAGGCTCTGGGTGCATCTCCCTAGTATGTTCTGCTGGGAGCCGGGCACCGGGGCAGGCGTAGGGGCAGCGAGTGGCCTAGGACTCGGACTCAAACATCTTCTTCCGGCCCTCCATGCCAGACTTCTCCTCGATGTTCTTCCTCCAGTCACCCACGTCTCGCAGGTCCCGCTCCTGTGGAGGAGAGGGCAGGAGAGAGCTCAGGCTCACCCACTTATGCACGCACCCTGGTCCACACCACCTTCAGCCTCAGTTTACCCTCTGCATTGGGCAGTGGAGTGTCCCCTGCATGGCACCCTGGAGGGGCAGTGGTACAGGGCCCCCGGCAGGGCAGGTGTGGGAGGTGGTCCCCAGGCGGGGCAGGTGTGGGAGGTGCTTCCCCGGCAGGGTAGGTGTGGTGGTGCTCCCCCCGTGGCACGCACCTTCTCTGTGTCCTCCTTCTTGACCTGCTTCAGGTTGGCCCTCAGGTCCATGCACACCTTGTGCTTCGAGCCCAGCAGGGCCTTGAGCATGGCATCGGCCGACATGCGCACCCTCCGCAGTGGGGGCCGCTTGAACTTGCCCCGCAGATCAAATAGCTTCTGGTTCATGTCCTCCAGCTGTGGGCAGGGGAGCCGGGTGGGAGCCCGAGGTCCCGGTGGTCTCGGCCTCCCCGGCCCGCCCCGCCTGCCCGCTGGGCCACCGCCTACCCGCCTGCCGCCGGCCCGCCGCCACCACTCACCTCCTTGCTGGTCTTCTGCACCCTCACCTCCATGTCGTACTTCTCCTCTTCAGCCGCATCGATCTTGGCGTGCAGCTGTTTGCAGAGCTCCTAGGGGTGGGTGTGGGGGCGGGCGGCCGTCCTGACACTTGGCAGCCACGGTCACCTGCCCCTGCCCTGACCACCCCACTGGCCCTCTTGACAAGTGGGGAAACTGAGTTAGCAGGCAGGCCTGCTGCTGGGGAGGCGGGGTGGCCGGGGAGGGGCTGGTACCTGCACTTCAGACATGGAGCCCGGGATATGCAGCGGCGGGCAGTGCTCCGCCAGGTAGTTCTGCTTCTCTGCCTCACGGCGGCTCTCCTCCTTCTCCAGCTCCGTGGCCGCTATCTGCAGCATCACACTCTGCGGTGGGGCAGGCGGTGAGGGGCTGCAGCCAGCTCCCCTGCAGACCCACCTGGGCCACCCCCCCGGGAGCCCACACCTACCTTCAGGTGCTGCCTGCGGGCCGTGATGGCCCTGTTCCGCTTCTGCAGGGCAGGGGACAGGGGGTCGAGTCAGGGCCTCCAGGCCTGGAGCACCCCCACCCCCTTCCACGCTCCCTGGCCAGGTCAGGGGCTCCGGCTCCGGGACCAGCAGAGCCTGGGGGCTCCTGAGGCCATGATGGGCAGGCTGGGCCTCCCTGGCCCCAGACCTTGCACTGGGACATGGTGCTGTGTGGTGTGTGACACTTTGCCAGGTGGCACATGGTGCTGGGAGGCCAGAGGCTGGGGGAGAGGAGGGCCAGTTGGGGGCAGGTCGGCCGGTGAGGTGGGGGCGGGAAGTGCAGGAATCAGAAAGAAGAAGTGATTCCCCTGTGACCAGGCCACAGCCACACTTCCCCTGCCCCAGAAGGCTTGGGGCAGCCACTTCCTCTCTTTCAGCAGCGTCTTGGTGGGTGGGTGGGGCACTTTTGCCAGCGGGGAGGGCCAGGCCATCTTCTCTGGGCCTTAGGGCCTTGAGGCTGTGACCTATGACCTATGCTGAGTTGGGGGAGCCCCCTCCTCGTCATGTTTTGAGCCCCCAGCAACTACTTACCTCCTCACTGTCCAGGGAGGGAGGACGCAGGCAGGACGGGGAGAGAAGACAGAGGTTAGGGCCATGGCTGGCGGGGTCGGAGTGTGTGATGGGGTGGACAGGGCAGGAGGTGGGCAGGGTCACTGTATGGGGGTACAGGGGTACCACTTACTCTCCCATCCTGAGGTCCTGAGCTTGGAGCCTGTGGGGAGAGGAAGACAGAGGTGTTGGCCAGGCCCTTGCCACCGTGATGCCTGTGCCCATCAGGTAGGTGGTGAGGGGTTCAGGGCTCCTGATGACAGCCCCCTCCCGCCCACCCCCTACTCTCACCTCCTCCCCCTACTCTCACCTCCTTCAAGGACAATGTCTTGGAATTCCCCAGGGTGAGAAGTAAGAGGAGAAAGTGTTCCCAAAATGTCCCAGGCATAGCCTGAGGAGCTGCAGCTGTCCCCGAGGGAGGGTGGGATGGGCCAGCGCAGGTGGCCGCCTGAGTGACGCTGTTATTTTTAACCCTCTCTCTTTGGCTTTGGGCCTAAGTGCATGGAAGAAATCCCTCCTCAGTTTGGCCTGGGGGCTCAGGTTCTGGGGCTTCTTGACCCCTAAACTCTCCTTCCAGGGTCCCCAGAGGTGAAGCCTGGTGGTCAGGGAGTGTCTAATACCTGCCTCTCGCTACAGCTGCCTCCCCAAAGCCTCTCCTTCTCACTCCCGGACCCGTGCAGGCCCCAAAGGGGGCTGCTGGTGGCATCCCCCAGGCCCCCAGACCCCCGCCCCAGGAAGTCCTCCCTCAAACCAGCTCGAGCCACGCCCTGTCCCCCGGCCTCGGCGGGCCGGGCTGGGCCTCACCTAGAATCTGGGCAGCAGGGCTGGGAGCGAGGTCAGGCCGGCAGCGGCGAGTTGGGCTGGTGGGCCCAGGGGGAGGGGTATAAATGGCCTCCCCCAGGCTGGGCCCCTGCTCAGAAAGGGCATAGAGTCCTCCTCAGACCAATGGGGGCGTGGAGAGCCACAGAGACCTCCCCACCTGTCCGGCCGCCTGGCCTGGCCGCGTGCTGCCGCCCAGTCCAAGAAGTCTTGGTGGGGGGTGCCGTGGCTGGGCTACTCTATTTAGGGCTCGGTGACGCGCTGGAGATGCCTCTGTCGTTCTCGTAAGGAGCCTGAGGACAGTGTCCCTGGCTTTGCCTGTGGCCTCAGCCGGGCACACAGCTCGGGTCAGCTGAGGGGTAGCTGCGAGTATCCACACCTCGCCTCAGCCCATCTCACCCGAGGTCAGCGTCCAGTCCACCAACCTGGCTGCTTGCTGGCGACAGCCACAGCCTCTCCCTGCGGGGCCAGCTCCCCGGCTCAGCCCCTGCAATGGGTTTCCCACTTCAGCCCAGGCCTGACCCCCTTCTGCAAGCCTGGCTTCTGGGGTGAGGCCTGGACCTCCAGATGTGGCCTTCTGGGCCCTGCCACAGTGGCCGAGGGCTGGGGGCTGCCCCCTCCCTGCGTGATGCTATCTTCCTGCCTGGGGAGCAGGACCAGGAGTGAGGGGCACGCCGCACGTGCCTCTGGGCCCCTCCCGCCTGCCCAGAACGCCCTGCTGCAGTCCCCTTGCCGGGCGACTTGGAACACATCCTTCAACCTAAGGAGAATGGCGCCACCTGCATTGGGAGCCTCTCACACCCGTGGGGGCTTGGGGCCCTCCTGGCTGCCCGGGCAGGCCTGGCATTGCCCTTTTCACCCAGGCCCGAGGCCATCGCCCCCCCAGCCCCCAGGCCCCCGCCCTGCAGAGGTCCCCTGGACCGTGACTTGGCACCCTCTCGGAGTGGGGGCTCTTGGCCCCAGCCCTGCCGGCTTCGCAGCCCCGTGGGGAGGATCAGAGGAGACAGCAGCGTGGAGGCCCCAGCCGCTAAGGCAGCCCAGATGTGTGGGGACTGGGAGGGGCATCCGGCCAGGACTGAGCCCCTAAAGGCCCCAGCGGCTTCCGAAGGCATCTGCTGCCCCCTGCTGCTCATGCAGGGAAGGCCCTGCAGCACAGGTCTCTGAGGTGTTGGGGGTCCTCCCTCCATGCTCACCAGCCCCCAGACACCATTGCCCACTCTGTCCCTACAGGGCTGGCTCTAGCCCGCCCCATCCCATGTGGTCCCGACTCTCTGGCCCCCACCTCCCCGGTCTTCCCAGGCGGCCCGGAGAGGGGAGATCTGTGCTCCCCGGGGAGGTTCCCCACCCCTACCCGAGGGTCAAGCAGGGACCGGTCAGAGGCCTCAGGGCCTGGCTGAGTCTGGAGAGGAGCCCCTCCCCCGTCCTTGTCAGGGGACCCTGGTGAGCGGGCCCGGGCCCTATTTCTGCATCCCCTCCAGGCTCCAGCCGGACACACAGTGGCAGGAGAAGGCGTTTATTGCAGTGGTCCTGCAGGGCGGCCTGGGCAAGTGCCTGGGCTCAGCGGGGAGACAGAGGCATGTGGTGCATTCAGGAGTGGGGCAAGGGCAGGCGCAGGCGAAGGCGGGGCTGCAGGGCCAGCATGCGGTCCACCTCCCTGGCTGGCCGCAGGGGGTGCCGCTGGGCAATGGGCCGCCGGGCGTGGGCCAGCATGTCTGCCCAGTGCTGCAGGGGCTGCCCCGAGGCCCGGGCACCCAGGTGCACCTTGCCTACGGGCTCAGTTCGGAGCGGCAGGCTGCGGTCCCAGACAGCCAGCACCAGGTCCACATTCTGTGCAGAGACAGGCCAGAGGTTGGAGTTGGGGGAGAAAGACCACAGTCATCGTGGTCTGGCACTGGGTCTCGCTCTGCCCCTGCCTCCCGGTGGCCCACCTGGACCTGGCTGAAGGGCACCAGGAAGGTGAAGGCCTCATTGAAGTAGGGGGCCGCCGTGCCCTTTTTGGTGGCTGTCTTTCTCTTCTTCCACTTCCTCTGGTTCAGCATGAGCTGGACCTTCACGTAGGGCTCTGGGAGGGCAAGGTTGCCGAAGGGGCATCCCAGGGCTCGGGGCTGAGCACGGGCCCCCCCTCTGTACAACAACGTGGGCAGGTGTGACCCTCACCTGCAAGTCCTGGACGCAGGCCTCGAGCCTCCAGCACCACCACGGTCAGCCGGCCTGAGCTGGGCACGTACCGGAGAGAGAAGCACAGCTCCCCGACCTGCTCGGGCTGTGGGCAGCAAGAGGGGCTTCAGCCCGGGAGGGTGATTCTGGCCGAGTTGGGGCTCAGACCCCCGAAAATGCTGCCCATCAGGCCTGTCTTTCCGATGGCCCATAGGGCAGGGTCCCTGCCAGCTCTGCCTTGGGCTGTGGCCTGGTGACCAGCACCTCACCTGAGTGGCAGCCGGCGGGCCCAGCAGGTACCAGTGCTCCAGAACATGCTGCAGATCCACGGTGCCCAGTGGCAGACGGAGCTCACCCAGGGGCTCATGCCCCGAGAAGCGCTTGAAGTTGAAAAGCTGCACCTGCAGGGTGGCCCCTGGCAGCTCCGCCTGCGGGATCTGAGGCAGCGGCGTGAGCCAGGCCCTGCTGCCCTAGCTCAGGCCCACCCAGCTGCCCAGGCCCACCCAGCTGCCCAGGCCCACCCAGCCCAGGCCCATCCAGCCGTCCAGGCCCACCCAGCCGACCATCCCTGACTCACGTGGAAGCAGCAGGTCTCGTCAAACACGGGGCAGAGCGTGCCTCGGTGCACTTTTGTCTCATGTCTGTGTCCGGCCTGGGTGGAGACGCTGACCCGGGCATAGGGGTCCACGGTGCCCCCAGGCCTCAGGTCGGCTGCCTGCCTCAGGCCCACCCTGATCTGGGAGCCAGCGGGGTGGGCTCAGCCAAGGGCCCCTGCCCTGTCAGCTCCCCACCACCCAGGGCATGGGGTCTGCCCTTCCCCCGTCACCCTTTCCGGAAACTCGCAGAACCGCTGGTCCTGCGCAGCGGGGCCCTTCACCTCCTGGCTTCCAAAGTCGAACTCCAGGGAGAGCTGCAGGCACCCCCATTGCTGAGCATCCCCCGGGCTGGACTCCAGGCCATCCACATCAGGTTGCACCTGGAGTGAGTTGGGACAAGGGGCAGGTGGTGCTGACATCATGCCTCATCAGAGCCCTGGGCTCCCGGGCAGCCCTTGCATGACATGGGTCAAGACCCCCCGCCTCCAGGCCAGGCCACCCAACAGGCACAAATCGTCGGCTTCGCTCTGTGAGACCGGCCAAACCCACCCAAAACGTGGCATCTGGGGTACCCCCTGCCTTCCTCAAGAACCCGCTGTGGCTCCCTCGGGCCCATGGGGCAGCCCCTGTTGCATGGCCTCCTTCTCACCTCTGTTCACCCACTTTCCCTGCCAGGAAGGTCCTCAACGCCCTGCCTCTGTGGGGGTTAAACCATCCCTGGGGCTGAACTCGCCTCGCTGCCCTGGGCTCTGGAGCCTGGATTTCAAGCCCTCTCTGGACTGAGTGAGCAAGGAGCCGCTCCTCACCAGGTGGGTGGTGGTGGTGCCGCGGGCACTGCCCAGACCCACGGACTCCTTGTCCCTGGGCTTCTTCCTGTGGCGGCGGCAGCAGCAGCAGGCAGCACAGAGGAGGCAGGAGACGAGGAGGACGCCCGCGGCAAGGGCGCCGGCAATGAGAGCCCAGCGGGGCCCTGGGGTAGAGGCCAGGCTGAGTGCATCTGTGGACAGCTGCAGCCCCCACTTGGCTGGGTTATCCCCACACCCCTCTTGGGAATCCCACAACTCACAGGGGGTCCCGGCGACAAGGTCTGGAATAAGCCCAGGTATAGCTGTGGTGCCAGCTGGGGCCGGGGCACTGGGAGAGACTGGTGGGTGCCCCATCTTTCTACCCTGCTGGTTTGGAAGAAGCGGCCCAGGAGGCTGGGTCAGCTGGGAGGGTGGCCCCTCCGGCCCCTGCCCGCTACCCCATCTGACTAGCAGCAGCCAGTGCTGGGTCTGCCAGGGCAAGGAGGCAGCACGGGGTGGCCAGGGGCGAGGGTTCTGTGCAGCAGGAAGCTGAAGGGAGGGAGGCTCTGGACCCTGGCCAAAGCTCCAGCTTAGCTGCCCAGGCCCAGCCTCCCAGCCACCTCCCAGCAGCCCCCAGCCCCAGCCAAGCAGGCAGGGCCTGGGCAGCCTAGTCCCTGCCTTCACCGGACCTCAGAGCACCCTTGCCCCCACTGTAGGATGCGTCCTCCACCAGGAAGCTCTCTCCCTCCCTGCTTCTCTCTCCTGGGCCCTGGACCCTGGGCCCTGCCTGGGGGTCCCATCTCATCCCTGGGGGTCTCATCTCTGCGGTCCCATCACTTCCTTGCCTCTACCCCAGCACGCACCACAGCTGGGGCCCACCATGGTTTGCCAGCCATGCAGGTGGAGCATGTTCACTGCAGCCCCCAGGAACTTGGAAGCCCAGAGGGGTCTGCAGGGTCATGGCGGGAGGAGCAGGGCTGGCTGTCGGCGGAGCTCACTGAGCAGGCCTGGGCTAAAGGTGCATTCCTGGCAGGGGCTCAGGGCCGCAGCGCCTGAGGATGAAGGTGAGGTGGTGGCAGGTAGGGGCAGGGTGCAGCTGGGAGCGGCCAGAACATTCCACACACACTGACTCAGCCGCTGCCTGGACTCGTCCACCTGCCTGCCTGGCCACCCTTCGGCATGTGGGTGGGAAGGAAGGTGGGGCGGGCGCAGCTGCTGGCCCCTGTACCCGCCTGCCTAGGGCCTGGGGAGGGAGCACACCTGGCTGGGCTGGCTCCTGTCACCTACAGGCAGGGGAACCAGGGTGCTACATGGGGCCTACGGTGACCCCAGGCCCAGGGTGACTCCCCAGCTCAGCTCTTCCCTGACTCCACCCGCTCCAGAGAGCAGCAGCCAGCCAGGAGACTCTGTTCCTCCACATTGGCGCCTCCCCTGCTTTGCCCACAAGAGCCTGGGACCCCTCTTGCCATGTCCAAGTCAGCCTGGCCTCAGGGGCCCAGCCCAGGCCATCCCATCGGGAATAAGCAGCTGTTGAGGCCAGATACCCTCACCTCTGCAGCCCCCCAGTCTGGGGCAGAGCAAGGAGACAGACAGAAAGGGACCCTGCCATGACTCCAGACACACACACACACACACACACACACACACACACACACACACACACACGCACGCGCACACAGCATCAATGCCCCACTCCCTGGCAGGCTGGGAGAGGCAGCTGCACTCCCAGAACGGACCCAAACCCCCAGTGTTCAGATGAGGGGGCTGCAGCTCAAGGAGGGGAGGGAGGGTCCAGGTTCCAGCCCCACACGCATGTTGACCCTGTGAGGTCAGCAGGCCAGGTGTTTTACAGACGAGTGGACCGAGGCTGGGAGCTCTAGTTTTGTGGCTCTGGAGGCCAGCATGGCCTGGGAAGCCCAGCCTGTCCCCAGAACACAGGGGCCAGCACAATGGAGGGATTATAGGTACAAAAAGGAGATGCGGAGGTCAGGGCCAGCTTTCCAGGCTGCACCCTGTGCGCAGGGCCCCATGCTCAGAGGGGTCCCTGCTTGGTTTAATGCGTGCTGGGGCCATCTTGAAATTCTTAATTTTGGAACAAGATGCTGCACATTTTCATTCTGCACTGGGCCTCACAAATGACGGAGCTTGTCGAGTTCGGGGGACCCTTTGGGTGAGTCCCCTGCAGATGCAGTGTGGGTGTGCAGTGAAGCTCACGGGCCTCGGCAGCCCCTCAGCTCCTGGGGGACACTCCCAGGTGGGTCCGGCGTCCCACACGTGGCTGGCGGAGCGCTCCTACTGGTGGTGGCTGATGGAATGGGCTGGGTCCGCAGGGTCCCTGGAGCGGGACTGTGCCGGCCAGATTCAAACAGGCCACTGCCTCCTCCCTACGTGGAGTTTCAAGGCAACTTCTCTTTTTGAAATGTCAGAGCCTGTATACATGCTGAGATTAAAGTAGCTTCACTCCAGATTTTTATGGTTGAGATTCCGGATAAGTTGCCAATACAGAATCTCCATCTGTGAGTGCGGGCATGTGTGCGTGTGCGTGTGCGTGCGCCCCTCCCCTGTGCCCCCGCTTTGCTGGCGTCCCCCCTCCTTTAGTCTAAGAACAGTCAGGGCCGGGCGGGGAGAGCTCCCCTGCAGTGATTTGCCGCGGCCGGCCAGCGGCACTCCCGGGCCAGCCTGGTGACCTTGTCCCCAGAGGAGCACAGGGGCCACCCAGAAGCTGCTCCGGAGAACCCCAGGACCCTGGGGGCGCTGGCTGCCGATGCTGGGGGTCCCAAAGCCTGGGGAGGTGCGGGGTCCCTCCGGACCGCCGGGACCCCAGGGAGGTGCAGGTGCAGCGGGCGCATGGCCACCAGGTGGCGCCGTCCGCCCCTCGGGACCCGGCCTCCCTCATGGCTCCCGGGGACAGTGCCCTGGAGACCCTTGGGCGCTGGGGGCTCTCGGGTCTCCCCTCCCAGATCTGGGAATCCCCCGCCCTCCCTGCCTGAGCCTCCCGGGGCTGCTCTCCCCGTTGTCTAGCTTTGGCTGTCTGTCTCCTGTGGCCCTGCTGGGAAAACCTTCTCTGGGAGTTCACGCCATGTTTTCCCAGGAAAGGGAGACGGTCCCTCCTCCCCGGCTCCCCCCTGGCCACCGCTCCAGCGGGCTCCTTAAGGCTCTGGAAACCGGCTCCTCTCTCCCCACGAAGGCGGCTGCTCTGCTCCTGCAGCTGCCAAGCTGCTTAGAAGGCCTCTCCGCATCCCCATCCGACTCACCCTCCAAGGCCAGCGTGAGCCCACCTCTTCCAGGGAACCCTCCCTGGTCACCCCAGGACCCCCAGACCTGCCATGACGTTTTGTGCTGAATTCCACCCCGTTAGGGCCCCCAGCCCCCACCAGGCAGAACGGGGGTGAGCCCCTCCTTTAGACTTCATGTTAGCCCAAGGCGGGCACCATTTCAGGCTTGCTAATGCTTCCCTCCAGGGTGAGTCTATACGGAATGGTTTCTGCTTCCGTGGGAACACCTTTCCGTGAGCCCTTCCTCTGGAAAAGCAACGTTTCCCCGAGTGCTGGGGCTGGCAGCCCCCCAGGTGTAAATGCTCTCACCTGACGC
Source organism: Homo sapiens (assembly GCF_000001405.40). NCBI lineage: Eukaryota > Metazoa > Chordata > Mammalia > Primates > Hominidae > Homo > Homo sapiens. The sequence continues at coordinate 1,831,889 of NC_000011.10, read as the reverse complement.
CCACCACTTCCTGTGGCCGGCCAGCCACCAGGCCTTCCTCTCAGACACCCGAAGGCGGGTCCAGCTCTCGGACAGCACTGCCTCTGGTGACGGGGAACTCTCTCCTGGGGTAGGAGGGGGTGCGGGGGCCAGGGCTGCAGGAACCCCACCTTGTGGCCGGAACTGCTGGCCCGTGATAGCTGGGCAACTCCCTTTGGGAGGAAGGTCTCCCCAAGACGCAGAGGCTGAGCATCTGGGCTCCAGCCTATTTCCAAGGGTCCCTTGGGGCTGGGGGCACCCTGAGCCCTACCTAGCTTTGCAGGAGGGGGCGATGGGCCCGTCAGGCTGGCCTTGGTGAGGGGCAGCAGGAGGTGGCCTGGCTGAACCTGGTTTGAGCAGGTTCTGCACGACGGGGAGGGGTCCTGAGGTGCAGGGCTGCCTGGCTTGGAAGAGGGCATCCTCAGGTGCTGTGGGCTGGGGGGAACCAAGTGTGAGGAGGGTAGGGGCCGGGCGGGGGCTGCCCTGGGCAGTGTGGGGCAGGGGGCTCACAGAGAGCCAGGTGGGCCGGCTTGGCTCCGCCACTGCCTCTGCTTCCAGCCCCAGGCACCTTCGGGCCATTCCCCTCTGTGCCTTTGTCTCCTGCTGGGCTGACCCAATCCCTTGAGTTCTTGGTTTCCTAATGAGTGATCCTCTTATCAGCTGGCCCCCGGGTGAGTGGCTGGAAGTCCTCACTCTGGTCTAACCTCAGTGCCTCTTGCTTCAGTTGGACCCCCGAGCAGAGCCTATAGCCTAAGCTCCTCTCCCTCTGCTCTGCCAGTTAGTCTGGTCTGGTCACTCTAGTCAGATCCATGACTTGGGCCTACCGAGGAGCAGCCATCCCAGGTCAGGGCGTTCCCTCAGAGCCCTTATCTGCTGGTGGTTAATGCTTAACGGGAAAACCTGTCCCAGCGGGGCCGGCCCCACGGGGCTGGTCAGGCAGCAAGTGTGGAGGACATAGCCCAGGCTCCGAGGATGCTTTCGGGCCACAGCAGGAGGACGTGTGGGCATGCATGTGCACGTCTGGGCCCGTCCGGTCACACGCGGCCCTGGGCGTGTGGGGACTTGTACGTCCTTCTGGTGTTTGCACAGGGTATGGGTCTGTCTCCTAGTCTGACTCAATCTGGGATGAGAAGGGCCAGAGGCTGCCCTAGTGGGGCTTTTAGGCAAGCAAGGGGACACATGCAGGGGGTGGCTCGACGCTGGCCCCAGGGTACAGCTGAGCTACGTGCCCTGCGCGCGGTTCTCTGCAGCCAGCTGTGTAGGGGCTTTGTACTTTCCCCAGTATATGGGCGCCTTCACAGCCAGACTGGCGTCTGAGGTTCCAGGGCAGGAAGGAGAAAACCAAACAGAGCTGGAGCCCGAGGCCAGTCCCGAGGCCCCGAGACGGTGGCTTGGCAGCCAGCAGCCTCATGGAGACCCTGGTGGGGCTCCTGGATGGGGACGCTTCCTCTGAGGTCGCCTGGGGAATGCTTGAGGTTGGACTGCAAAGCAAGCGCTGGCTCTGGGGAGCCAGGAGTCACTGGCACACAAAGAAAAGTGTGCTGGGTGAGCGCGTGTTTGCCCCACCCACTCTGACCCCAGCTGCTGAGCCCTGCAGGGCTGGGGCACCCTCATCAGCTGGGGCCCGGGATGGCCGGGGATGGGGGAACTCAGCTTGCCACAGTTCTCTGTGCTTTGGGATGCCCTATGCCCATTCTCTGTGTCTTAGCTTGTGTGTGCCACACTCACCTTTCATGCATACTGTCTGTGCCTCTTCATCCCGGGAGGCTGTACCCCATCAACCAGGCATCTGGGGAGGCTGCACCCCATGACCTGAGCCTCTGGGGAGGCTGCACCCCATCACCGAGCCTCTGGGAGGAGGCTGCACCCCATGACCTGAGCCTCTGGGGAGGCTGCACCCCATCACCGAGCCTCTGGGAGGCTGCATCCCATGACCTGAGCCTCCGGGGAGGCTGTACCCCATGACCTGAGCCTCCAGAGAGGCTGCACCCCATCATCGAGCCTCCGTGGAGGCTGCACCCCATCACCGAGCCTCTGGGAGGCTCTGCTCCGTCTTGGGCATGGGGGTCTGCACCCTCTGAACATGGCTGGTGCTGATTCCATGGGCTCAGTTCCTATCCTCTGAGAATCTGCATCTGGATTTTGGTGATGAAAACCCCATGTCTTGAAGTGTCTGGGTGGCCACCCCCGTCACCTGGAAGTCTGGGGGCATGTAACCCACTCCTCAAATGGCTGGTACTGCAGCCACCATGTCAGAGGACGGGGGTTCTCCCGGTCCTCCCCGCATTGACCTCATCTCCCAAGGGCCTTGGGGACCTCATGGCAGGGGCCTGATCCCCCACAACTTTTGTGTGGACCCCATTTACCTTGTTTAGGGGGGTCTGTGTTCATGGGGAACCCTGGCATCAGCATCTTTACACCCCACGCCTGAGAGTGCCTGGGAGACACAGCTTGGGGACCTGAGTGCCTGTGCAGCCCCCTCCCTCATGCCCAGGGCCAGGTGACCTGCCCCTCCTTGGTCTCCTGTTGTCACCAGGGTGCCACGACAGCGTGCCCCCCACCTGTTGAACCCTCTGAATCCCCCATGACACATGGTACTTAAGCCTGGGTGTCAGCCCAGGGCCGGGAGCCTGGTGCCTCATTCCTGTGGTTTTGGACGTCCTGTGCTCCAGGCATCTCACTGCTGGGTGCACCTCCTCTGCCCTCGTGTCTGCCCTGTCTGAGAGCTGCTCATTCCCATGGCTCTGTAATGTGCCTCTGAGGAGCTGAGCTTCCACCTCAATTCACTGACATCTAGACACGTGTACCCCATTATTCTAAATACCTAGAGCCCTGTACTCCATTGGTGTCAGTGTGTGGGTTCCTGTCCCCATCAGCCTGAGCATCTGGGTCTCTGGACCCCATTACTGTCAGTGTGTGGGTTCCTGCACTCATCAGCCTGAGCGTCTGGGTCTCTGGACCCCATTGCTTGGAGGCTTGGGCAAGTTTCTGTCCATCCGCCCTCTTGACAGTTCTGGAGCCGGAACGCTAATCACTCGAATACCTGGATGACAGAGAAACGGGCCCTGATACCCCACTTGTCTGAGTATCTGGGCAGCGTGGATCCCAGGACTCTGAATGTCGTGGTGCCCTATATGTCAGAAGTGAGGTTATCTTACCCTGAGAGCTCCGGCTGTCTCCTTCCACCCGAGGGGCTGGTAACCCTTTCTGCAGCTCTCTCAGCGCAGGTGCAGCGGGTGCTCCTAGCCCACATTTCTGAGTGGTGTGTGTCTGGAATCCTCTGAGAGTGTGGGTGATATTGCACACATCTGCAAAGGTGCCCCCAGTCCCCTGAGGACAGAAAGCATAGCCCTTATTCACCCACGTGTCTGGACACACACCCTCCCTTCTGGTCCCACTGCAGGGGGCCCTCTTATTGTGAAGGTTCAGGTCCTGCAGACCCAGTCACTCAGACAGTTTGGCTCCAGTACCTCCTTACCTGAGTGTCCGGCAGCTGACTGGGTGTCCTACCCCCTCCTCCGACCATCTGAGTAGTGAGGACTTCAACCATCACCCTGACGGGCACTCTGCCCTGGGTTTTCGGGTCTCGGGACGCTCCACCCCAACCCTCTGTGCGACGGCTTACCTCGCCCCCTGCAGCGTCGGGAGCTGTGCACCCACATTCCAAGCCCTCGAGCCCCCCTCTTCTCTAGCTGCTTGAGGGCTTTGATGCCTTGTACCCTGTCCGTCAGGGTCTTCAGCAGCCTAACCCCCACTGCCTGCCTCGAACGCAGATGCATATCCCAGGTCGAGGGCCCCAGTGCCAGTTCCAAGTTCCCCTGTTTCTTTGGACGCCTGCTGCCCTTTCATCAGCGGCTGTCTCGGCCGTGGGAGCTACATTCATCCCTGTCCAGACACCCCTGTGCCCTATTCACGAATTCTCAGCTTCATCACCTAAGCCTCCAGGGGTTTGTGCCCCTTCCTCAGAGGCCTGAAGTCCTCACAATCCCAGAAGCATCTGAGAGACATGAACCCCACTGACCCTAAAATTGGGTGCCTTGTCCCCCCACGACCCTGCACAGCCAGCGACATGCCCTTTGCCTGTGACTGTAGATGCCCATCTGGAATCAGGGTGCCGTCGCTCATACACCCCTCCTGAGCATCTGGACCACGTGTCCCCGTGAGTCTGAGTATTGGGGTGCTCTGCTCCCCATTCATCAGGGGTTCTTAGCAGTGTGTGCCGTCAGCCACCTGTGCCCCGCACCTCACACAGGCCGAGTCCCAGGCTGAGGGCCCCCAGTGCCGGTTCCAGGTCCTGCTGCATCTTTGGACACCATTCACCGGTGTCTCGGCCTGTGTGAGCCCATTCACCCTTGTCTCGGGGCCTGGGTTCATGCGCAGCTCCGGGCAGTCTGCACCCCATCCGCCCACGTCTCAGAGACAGTCTGTGCATTGTCGCCCTGTTCCAAGAACAGCTGCCGTGCAGCCAGCAGGCACATTCCAGGGTTTGGCCAAAAGCCAATGCAAACCCTCATACTGCTGGCACTAGCAGCACCGAGTGGGGGCAGACGCAGGGACTGACCTAGGTGGGGCACGAGGGGAGAATGGGGACCCACAGTTTGGAGCCGTGTGCTCAAAGCCTTCCCTGTACACACAGGGGCCTGGAGAGCAGGGGGTGTCGGGGTGTGGGAGCCCAGTCCCCGACAGAGGCATGTCCTGGACCAGCTGCCAGAGGGACCAGCGAGTGTGCAGGCTGGAGGAATGTTCCAGGGCCCTCCACCGCGTTGCCATTTCCTGCCCAGGCTGCCTTGGCCACCCACCCACTGGCTGCCCGGGCTGGGACACATGGCGGCCTGGCTGTCAGATGTGTCAGCATCGCCTTGGGACAGGGTCCCAAGGCCAGAGAAGTGGGGGACAGAGGCAGGCAGTAGGGGTGTGACACCTCTGGGGGCTGCAGACCCCTGCCCCTGCTCCAAACCTGGCTGGGACGCTGGGTGCTGTGAGGCTGTGGCCCAGGGAGGGAGCCCATTGGAGCCCATTGAAACCCGCGCCCCCACCCACTCTGACTCTTTGCGGGAAGGCCCTTCGCTCAGCCTCCCAAGTTTCCTGGCAGTGCGCTCCCTGGAGGTCAGAAAATGACGTGGTGTGCATGCAATGTCTCCTGTCCTGGGGATTCCTGGGGTCACCCTGGAGCTGCCCCAGCTTTCCAAGCCCTGTGTGAGTGCGAGCTGGGTCCTACCCACCAGGGCCCCCGTGGGAGAGATGAGCGGGCAGGCTATGGGATACGCAGGGGCCGTCTGGGCTCTCTGGGAGGTGGATGGGGGGCTGTTCAGGTTTTCTGGGGAAGAAGAGGAGGCCTAATTCAGGCTCTGTGGTGGGCAGGGTGGTTTGTATCCCTGGATAGGAGGGCAGTGGGTCCCACCCTGTGGGGTCCCCACACTTAGGACCCGGAAGTCGCAGTTGACCCCCAGGTTGGAGAGCCCCGGGGCCCCCACCTGTCCTGGTGCTGCATCCTCCCTGCCCCGCCCCCTTTCTACTTGCTCGGGATTCCAGCCTCGTTCCCACGGCTGCTGGCCCCACACTCTCCAGGCACCCCCAGCTCAGGGGCAGACCAGAGGTTTGGCTTTCGGAGCCCCCCGGGGTTCCTGGTAGGATGAGCCAGGAGCTCCCTTCAAGCAGGTGGGGGACTTGCAGGTGCGACGGGGGCTTTTCCACACCTTGACCAGGCTGGACCAAAGCCCCGCGGCACCGCCTCCACCATGCACGCACCTGCCGTGAGCAAACGCCCTGCGTGCAGGCCCCACTGTGGGCAGACGTCACTGCGTACAGGCATCACTGCATGTAGGCGTCACTGCGTGCAGGCCCCACTGTGGGCAGACGTCACTGCGTGCAGACGTCACTGTGGGCAGGCCCACTGCGTGCAGGCCCCACTGCGTACAGGCATCACTGCGGGCAGGCCCACTGCGTGTAGGTGTCACTGCATGCAGGCATCACTGTGTGCAGACATCACTGCGGGCAGGCCCCACTGTGTGCAGGCATCACTGTGTGCAGACATCACTGCGTGCAGGCCCCACTGTGTGCGGGTGTCACTGCGGGCAGACCTGGGGCAAGGGTTGTGTGACACAGGAGTCCAAGTAAGTGGCTGCTGGGCTCAGAGAATAAGGAAGGAGCCAGGGTCACCCACGGCCCCCAGCCCCACCCTGGCTACAGAGTCCTCCCTGCAGTTCCAGAGGGCCCCTCCAGCCAGAGGGTTTCGGGCCTGGAGCACGTGGCATCCTGAGGGCCGCACTTCTCCCACTGCCCTCGAGCAGGCTTGGTGCATCTGTGATGCGGGTCGGGGCTCCTCGTTGCCCAAGCCCTGACTGGGGCCCCCCACCTGCCTGGCCGGTGGGCTAGGGGTTGAGTCCCAGCTCCCCTGAGTTGGCTCCAGGGTGGCTCAGGATCCAACCCAAGGTGCCCTCAGGGCCTTTCTCAGCCTCCCCCATGGGCATCCCCAAGGGTGGCTGCTGGCCGGGGATGACCGACTGGCCCCAAACAAGGCACCTCTGCCATGGGGGTCCCAGCAGGAAAGCCTGGGCTGCACGGGGCAGAGGTTGCTGGCAGAGCTGGATCATTTGGGCTCCAAGCTCCCCCTGCTGTCTGCTGGCCGCTCCTGGAGGTGGCCTGACCTCCGGCTCCCGCCCGACCCCTGCTCCCTCCCTGCCCTACGGGCCAGACTCCGCCTGCTGCCTCCCAGCCCAGCCTGCCGGCCTGGCAGGCGTTCGGGCGCCCCCTTCCGTACACAGGCCTCTCGCAGGCCTCTCCAGTGCAGGCCTGGACCCTCCTGCTCCCAGGGGCGCCGTCCTGGGACCCCTGACTGTTCAGAGCCTTCCTCCTGGGGTCCCTCTCCACAGGGGCCCTTTTTCTAGATAAAAGTCTCTGTCCTGGGAGCCTGGTCTGCACAGAAGCCTCTGAACTGGGGTCTCTTTGGAACAGCTCTCTGCCCTGGGACCCTCCGTCCCCAAAGGAGCTCAGAGCAGGGCAGTTCGTGACCCCAGGAGATCCAGATCATCCTGGAAGGGGTTTTAGCTTCCTGATCTCAGATGTTCCCCTCGCCCCCAACCCAGAGGGTCACCTTAAGTCCTTGACATTGAGGCATGAGAAGCCACCACTGAAGTCATCTGAGTGGCTGGGAGAGAAGGAGAAAAAGACCCAGCGAAGCCGGAAGGCCACCCAGCATGTCGGGGTCTGTGGAAGTTGGCAACCCAGCAGGACTCATCTTCCCTGGGGTGACATGGGAACACCAGGCCTAGGCCCACACTTCGCGGAACAGGGGTGCACAGACTGCCCATGTCGGGGTCCAGAGGGGCCTGCCTAACACTAGGCATCAGCTTGCAGGCGGAAGAGGACAGGAGACCCTTTCTGGCAGTGTCAGCCCCAGCCCTCACCTGTGAGTGTGGGCGCTTGACCCACACAGCCTCACACACACGCACACGCCAGGCACGGGCACACTGCTACGCACCTGTGCACACAATGCACGTGCACACTCACCCACGCACACACGTACTCGCTCTCTCCACGTCAGCCCCGCAGGTGACTCTGGGATCTCCACTGTCGCCCCGATTCTTGCAGCTGCCTTCTTGGTGGAAACATTCTGCAGCTTGTCTAGACTCTGCACAAACCTGCTTTGGAAGGGCCAGGTCTTAGTTCCCCGGAGGCCACTGGCTCCCTGCACCCTGCACTGCCCTCCTGGCCAAGGCGCACACAGAGAGACGTCAGGTGCCACCCAGCTCTGTGAGCACACGCTGGCAGGTGAGGGCATGGGTGGGTGCCAGGGCTGCCCAGCGCCTGCAGGTCTCACCGCCTCTACCTCTGCTCCTCACCACTGGCCACTTCCTTTGGCTCCCAGTGGGGCACATGGGGTCCACCAGTGGCCAGCACAGTGGCCAGCCAACCAAATCTGGCCTCATCCAGCAGGATGGAGAGGAGGCTGGGCCCACCCTCCTCTGGGCACCCTCCACCCAGCCCCAGCCAGCGGGTACGGCTGTCCTGCCTTTCCCGCCTCTGACAGCCACAGCATGTTCCAGCCACGCTGGATCGCGGGGGCTTCCTGTTCACCTCCATTAAGTCTGGGGTGGCTCTCAGCCTCCAGCCTCTGCCACCTTTTTAGGGCCAGATTCTGAACAGAGGTGAAGACATGCAAGAGCCTGGTGCTGGGCGGGGGAATATGGGGGCCTCCAGAGGCCTGTAGCCCACCTGCCCCCTGGGTATGCTGCCCCTCACTCCAGCCTGCCCTCCCAGGCCTGGCCACCAGCAGCCCCTTGGGCCTCCCTGTCCATGCTCACCCTCTCCAGAACTGGACATGGTCAGGGGCTGGTAGGTAAGGGACTCTGACCTTCGGGAAAGGTCCTCCCCGGGTCAGAGCAGACCCACCCACAGGGTGGCTCGTCTTCCCAGGGATGGCACGGGAACACCAGGCCTAGGCCCATGCTTCGGGGAATAGGGGTGCACAGACTGCCCATGTGGGGGTCCGGAGAGGCCTGCCCAGCGCTAGGCAAGAGCCTAGGCCCACAGTGTTTACCAGGGGAAAAGAGCCCAGTGGGCCTTCAGTGACCTGGGAGTTGTCCTAGGACTGGAGATCAGAGGGCCAGTGTTCTAGGCAGAAGCAATGCAGGCACACAGCAAGGGCGCAGGACCAGCTCGCCAGAATCCAGCCAGGCTATGTTGACCTAGAAGCTGCCCTGCGGTGACCTGGGGACCTGGAACTTCCCAAGCTCCTCTCTCTCCTTGCCTGGAGACCCTGACTGGCTCCCAGCTGCACTTCCAGCCCACTTGGCTGCTTGTTTGCCCAGTGCCCACAGGGCAGGGTTGGGGGATTAGCTCAAAGTAGGCCAGCAAAGGGCTGGTTCTTGCTAAGGCTGCCGGCCGGAAAGGCAGCATCTCCAAATATAGAGAACTCTGGAGGGCTCAGGGCAGGCCCTAGGGTAGAGAGGAGGGTTGGCCTGGGGGTGGTGGCAGTGGAACCTCTCTACTGCTGGCCTCAGTGGCTTCTTCAGGCCCTAGAGTCACCTCATGGTGACAGCTGCTTCTGGCTGGGTTGGCTGATTGTTGGTGGCCCAAAGCCAACCCTCCCCTGGTTACTCTCGGCCACCCCTCCCTGACCTAACTGTGGGCATATCTGGCTGGCGTGAGGTGTGGGGTGTGGGGTGTGGGGCTGAGGAAAGTTCCTTTAACCCATCCAGTCATCCTGGTAAAAGAGCTGTCTGGGTTTGTGTGTCTGCCTGTGTGTGTTCCCCTCTGTGGTTCCAAGAATCCTCCTTGGCTCTTGAGTTTCTGTGGGCCCCTGGTGTACTTCTGGTACTTGTGGGTGTGTCTGAACTTCTGGGTCATCCACAGGCCCCAGCTTCTGTCCTCTCTGTGGGCCCATCTGATCTCCAGGGGCCTGGGTAAGCCTGCATTTCTGTGGGTCCTAGCATGGCACCCAGAGACGCTTGGTGTGGGTCCCTCTGCCTACTAGCTGCAGGATGCTGAGCAAGAAGGAGGGCCCTCCTGAACCTCACATGCCCCCTCTGCAGTACACACATCCAAGGGCTGCCATAAGTTACCACGTAGGAAGCGCGGAGAGCTGTAAGGTGGCTGGGATGTCAGAGGCTATTCCTGCTAGTGTGTGTTCATCTGCCTGTCCATGGGGCTCTGTGTTTGCAGGTATGCTCATATCTGTCATTTCCTTCATCCTCTGTGTGCCCCTATCTATCCTCTCTCTGCATCTATCTATCTAGCTACATGGATAGCCAGGTGGATAGGTAGATAGATTGGTAGCTAGCTAGCTAGCCACTCACTCATTTACCCGCTAATCCACCCACCTATCTACACAACCATCTATCCATTCACACAACCATTCATCCATCCATCCATTCACTCAACCATTCATCCATCCATCCATTCATCCATCTATCCACTCAACCATCCATCCATTCCTCTATCCACTCATCCACCCACTCATCCATCCACATCTATCCACCCAACCATCCATCCATCCATCTATGCATCCTTCCATCCATCCATCCATCCATCCATGCATCCATCCATCCATCCATCCAATCATCAGTCCATCCATCCATCCATCCAATCATCAGTCCATCCATCCATCCATCCATCCAACCATTTATCCATCCACTCATCTACCCACTCATTCATCCATCCACCCATCCATTCATCTACCCACTCATTCACCCATCCATTTATCCACTCAACCATCCTTCCATCTACCTATCTATCCATCCATCTATCCATCCATCCATCCATCCATCCATCCATCCACCCATCCATCCATCCATCCATCCACCTACTCATCTGTCCACTCATCCACCCACCCATTTATCCACCCAAACATCCATTTATCCATTCATCCATCCATCCATCCATCCATCCATCCATCCATCCATCCATCCACACATTCATCTACTCATTCATCTACCCGCTCACTCACCCACTCATCCATTCACCAATCCATCCACCCAACCATTCATCAACCCAAGCATCCATCCATCCATCCATCCATCCACCTACTCCATTTTGCCTTCTCTCCCTCCTTCTTCTCCTCCCTCCCTCCCATGTATGACTTTATGCAGTCATGGAGGTGGTGCTGGACACGCAGGCCCCAAGATTCTCATGGTAATAGTCAGTGGCTGTCATCCTGGCTTGCTGGGTCTGGCGCGATTCGTAAGCTGCCGCATTGTAGGTGTGGCCCCGTTGTTCTCAAGCTCCTATGTACCGAATATCTGTTGCAGCTTGTAGCTGTGCTGAGTGAGTAGGATGGTGCAGGAGCAAACTTTTAAGACCCACTGGGCGGTCCCTGGGTGATTTTAGGCTTCTCAGGAATTAGGCGTTCAGCTGCCAAGGCCAAGGTGGAGGGAAGCTGGGTTGTCCCTTGGGAACTTGAACAGTGGCCCCCAGGGCCACATGGAGGGAAGGAGTCCTAAAAGCTGCTGCTGGCCACACTCTGGCACACAGCATCCCTGACTCACAAATGCCCAGGGGCAATTTCTCCGTAACAAGTCACAACCCATGTTTACCTGGAGTGCTTGGTGGAGAGAAAGCCAGGTACCCACAGCTCTGAGGGGCTCCCCTGGCCCCTGGGCCTTTCCGTTTGAAGCTTGCCTTGTAGTCTGAAGGCAGATTATTCCCAAACCCTCTATTGGGAGAATTTTACACACACACAGAAACATTCCAAGGCTTCCTTAGATTCCATGAGTACCGCCAAACAGCCAGCCAGTGCCTCCCACCCTGCAACACCCTCTCTAGATTCCTTTTATTATAGCAAGCCGCAGTGGGCCTCTGTCTCTCTTCTCATGTTCCCAAAAGATAAGAACGCTTTTTCAAAAATCCATTTTCACAGCTAAACAAATACCAGTAATTCTTAAATATGATCAAACCTGGACAGGGCTCAAATTTCCCCCATTGTCTCATCAATGGATCTTACGGATGGTGTCTTCAAGTCACCCCACATGGAACTCATGTGCCATCTTGCTCCTGCGCCTCTGGAGCCCCCTTTGATCAATTAGTGCCTCTGTCTTTTCATTCTTGCCACTTATTTGTTGAAGAAGCAAGGGCGCTCATCCTAAGGAGTTCCCAACATTCTGGGTTTCACAAGTCGCAACACAGCGTTTCAGGTGTCTTTCCTTACTCTATAGTGCTGAGGCCTGATCAGTGTAAGGTCAAGCCTTTTGGCAAGGCCGCTTCATGGAGGGAGATGGCACTTCCTTTGTGCATGGCGGGAGGCACTGGATGTCCTGGAACTTCCTCCTGGGATATGGGGCTGATCAGTGAGTAGGTTTGGGTGTAGCCAGCTACAGCCATAAGCCACTAAGTGCCCAGTGGCTTTTCTTTTCATGGTTTTAGCAGCTGCTGGTGACATTTCCTAGAACAGGGGTCAGCAAACTACAGTCGCCCCCGGCCAAATCTTATTCCCCATCTGTTTTTGTAAATAAAGTTTTATTGGAACATGGCCCCCACTCATTCACTTATGTACCATCTGTGACTGCTTTCATGGTACCATGGCTGTGGTGATTCCAAGAAGGTCCCCCCAGACTTTGTGCCGTGATTCCCAGAATTGTGAATAATTCTCACCCTTGTGAGTGTGTTATGTTGTCTGGCAAAAGGCATTTTGCGGATAAAGTTTAGGCTGCTGATGAGTTGACTTTAAAATAGAGAGAGGATCACGGTGGGCCTGGTTGAATCCCATGAGCCCTGTAAAAGCAGAGTTTGGGTTGTTTTTTTTACCCCCCAGCTGGTGGTAGGAGAGAAATTGAGAGGGATTCACAGTGATTCTCCTCGAGGAAGGCTCTCCATGAACCAGGGGAAAGGACTGAGCACGACCTCCTGCAGAGAGTCACCCTGCCTACAGCCAGCAGGAAGATGGGGACCTACAAACACAAGAACCGAATTGTGTCCACACCGTGAATGCCCCGAGAGTGGAGTCTTCCCCAGCACCTCCAGAGAGGAGCCCAGCCTGGCTGGCATCTGCTCTCAGCCAGTGAGGACCTAAGGAAAAAGCCCTACAGGAATGCCCAGAGCTCTGTTCCACAGGATGCACAGGATTTGTTTCACAGCTGGGTTTGTGGTGATTTATTACACAGTGATAAAAAACAGACACAATGACAGAGAGCAAATGGCCTGCAAAGACAGATGTGTTTGCAACTCAGCCCTTGTAGAAAACAACCACAACAACAAGCCCTAAGTTAGGTTTCTCAGTCTTGGCATTGTGGGCATTTGGGGCCAGGCTGTTAGTTTTCTATGGTGTGGAACAAATTGCCACAAACTTAGTGGCTTAGAACAACACATGTTTCTTATCTCACAGTTTTTGTGGGTAGAAGCCTGGGGCACAACTTAGCTGGGTTCTCTACCTCAGGATCCCATGGTGTCAGCTGGGGCTGCATTCTCATCTGAAGGTCCAACTGGGACAGGGCCTGCTTTGCATTCACTTAGCTTGTTGGTAGAATTCAGGTCCTTGTGGTTGTAGCACTGAGGTCCTCACTTCCTGCAGGCCACCCATAGTTCCCAGTCTTGTGGGCCCCTCAAAGGCAGTTCACACATGGCTCTTGCTTCTTCAAGGCCAGCAGGAGACAGAGAGAGTGACTCCAGAATATTATATACTATAATATAATCCCAGGTGTGACATCTACCACCTTTGCCATATTCTGTTGGTTAACACTTTCAAGGAGAGGGGACAACACAGAAGCACAGCCAACAGGAAGCAGAAATCACTGTGGTTCACCTTAGGGTCTTTCTAACCCAGCCAGATAATGTTTGCTGTGGGGCTGTCCTGTGCACTTTAGGATATTTGTCAGCATCCCTGATCCCTACAGCAACTCTCAGTTACAACAATCAAAAATACCTGTAGATATTGCCAGAGGGGCAAAACTGCCCCCAGTTGAGGACCACTGCCCTAGATCCATCATTTCATTAGGGGTTGCAAAATTGCAATTTTCTAAACTTGGTATTTCTTCAGCATTTATTTGCAAGAGTTCTTCTAAAGATACACTTTCCCACATCAAATATTTGGTACAGGGAAGGCAGAGAAAAATATTGATTATTTTAAATATATATTATTGTGAAATCATAAATTGAAGTATATTACTTAAATGTACTGTATTGAATGTGTGCAGTAATTCTCAATGGCTGTGGAACAAATTGCCACAAACATAAAGCTCCCATTTAGTATATGCACTTCTGTATGCCAGATGTCCTGGTATAGCTTAGCCAGATTCCTCACTCAGGGTCTCACTAGCTTGAGATCAAGCTGTCAGCCAGGCTGTGTTCTCATCTGGAGACCCAACTAGGGAGGGAGCAGCTTCCAGGCTCATTTAGGTTTTGGCAGAACTTATTTCCATGAAGTTGCAGAATTCATGGCAGCTTCCTCCTTCAAAGCCAGCAACAGAGAGAGAGGGTCTCTGCCCCTTCGAGTCTCTAACTTCAGAGAAGCCCTAGACTCTCTTACAAAGGGCTTGCCTGTTAAGTCAGGACCACTGAGAAAAATCTCCTTTTGATTAACTCAAAGTCAACTGGTTAGGAACTTAATTATATCTGCAAAGTCTCTTCACTTTTGCTTTAATCTCTCAGTCAAAGAAAAATCACAGATTCTGCCCTGCCTCAGGGCAGGGGATTAAATAAGGCCATTACTCACTGGAGGCCGCATTAGGGTGTGCCTGACACAATGCCCTTCCATTCATTGAACTTATTGTCTTTACTGGTGACCATGTGGTCCCACATTTGGTCAATGGGGATACATTTAAGTTGACTGGTATGTCATCTTGAAATGACCTCAGTAGTCTTTGATTGTTTCTTAGCTTTCTGATGCAATGAGAAGTTCCAGGTTTATCTTATGTCATGGCTATGTCATGGCTCAGCCCAGAACCAGTCATTTCTCCAAGGGTTCACGGTTCTTTTTGAAGGGAGTTTGGTGGGTATTTAGAGGTCCCACTTTGGGTGCCAGGGTGCTCATTGCTACTAGTCTATTTTCATTGTTTCTAAGCTTTTACTGTGGACAGAATTAGGCAAGACCTATTTTTCCAGTTTTTGTATGGTGGTAAAATATGTGTAACAAAATTTACCATCTTCTAAGTGCACAGTTCCGTGGCATTCAGTACATTCGCGCTGCTGTCATCCCACTATCCAGCTCCAGAATGCCTTTTGTCTCGAAAAGCAGCAGCTCTGCTCCCATTAAATCCAACTCCCCCTCCACCTCCCCCAGCCCCTGGCACTCGCCATCCTACTTTCTGTCACTATAAATTTGACTACTCTAGGGACCTCATACAAATAGAATCATACAGTATTTGTCTTTTCTTTTTTCTTTTTTTGACTGGCTTAGGAAATAACTTTTTTTTGTTTTGTTTTTTTAAGATAAAGTCTTGCTCTGTCACCCAGGCTGGAGTGCAGTGGCATGATCCCAGCTCACTACAACCTCCACCTCCTGGGTTCAAGCAATTCTCCTGCCTCAGCCTCCTGAGTAGCTGGGATTACAGGCATGCACCACCATGCCCAACTAATGTTTGTATTTTTAGTAGAGACAGAGTTTCACCATGTTGGCCAGGCTAGTCTTGAACCCCTGACCTCAAGTGATCCACCCGCCTAGGCGTCTCAAAGTGCTGGGATTACAGGAGTGAGCCACTGTGGCCCAGCTGGAAATATATATTTTTAAAGGTAAATATATCATGGAATCATACTGATATTTCTAATTTACCTACAGGATTTTAAGTTTCTTTCTTGACTTCTTGGAGTGCATACGTTTATCTGAACCGTTTTATGACTGTGAACTGTTTTATGTGAACTGTTTTATGACTGAAAAAACTACAGGGCACAGGCAGGTTGCTCAGCATCCTGGTTGCTGTCTCTTTCAGGTGCCCCTTGCCCCTTTTTGCAAGCTTTATTTTTATTTTTTTGAGACAGAGTCTTGCTGTATTGCCCAGGCTGGAGTGCAGTGGTGTGATCTCGGCTCACTGCAACCTCCGCCTCCTGGGTTCAAGTCGTTCTCCTGCCTCAGCCTCCTGAGTAGGTGGGGCTGCAGGCGCCCACCACCTCACCTGGCTAATTTTTGTATTTTTAGTAGAGACGGGATTTCGCCATGTTGCCCAGGCTGGTCTCAAACTCCTAGCCTCATGTGATCTGCCCGCCTCATCCTCCCGAAGTGCTGGGATTACAGGCATGAGCCATGGCGCCCGGTCTCTTTTTGCAAGCTTTGATTGACAGTTCCATCTTTTAAAAGATATTTATTCACACCCCAAAACCTTTCTTAGTAAACGACAGTGTGTTAATCCCCATCTGGTCTGCCCCATGTTGAGTGCCCCAGACACGGGTCTGGGAGACCAGCCACAGCTTTGCCCAGAGCCTCTCACCCACTGTCAGCCACAGAGGCTCCCCAGCGTGGACACCCCTTGGTTTGTCCAACCAGACCCACTCCAACAGGTGGGTCACCTGCGCCATTTGCTCTTACATGGGGTGCCCCATGCATGGCCAACACAGCCACCGTTTGTAGGTTTTGAGGCAGTTTGGGTGGCCCCAGCTGACATCAAGTGGTCCTGGATGACACCTGTGTTCTTAGCCAGCCTAGAGCTCCTGCCTCAGCTGCCTTCATCCCGGGAATGCGTGGCAAGGCAGCTCTGTGGGCTGCTGTCTTCTGGTGCATTCTCCCTGAGTTTATCCAGAAGTTAGTCCCATTCCTGGGCCCACTACAATGTGGGTTAAGCCCTCATGACTCTGAGATCTCCTCATTCCCGAGGAACATGCTAGCACTTCTTGCAGCTCCACATCTCCCCACCTTGTCATCCTGGAGTATTCTCAGAAAGGCCAGAAGTTGTCACCCCTTCTAGGGGACTCACACGTGAGCCCAGCCCCTGTCCGTTTATGGAAGGAGACACCCCTGCTCCCATGGGGCCCTTCTCCTGGGGAAGGGAGGGAAAGAGCTTGGTGTTTGGGCCTGTATCTGGCCTTTCTCCCGGGAAGGCCCTGGACGTGATGCCCAGAGCGCCCAGCCACCCAGCAGGCTCCTGGCCGCCCATGCCCCAGGCCCAGCCTCCTAGGGCCGTAGCCTCCCCAGGGCCTCAGTGCCCCACCACCACCGGGAAATTCCAGTGGAATCATCACAGAGCCCTGGGGATGGTTAAGGCTCTCTGGTTGCAATAACACAAACTGAAGCTGGCGAACTTAAGCCAGGAAGAAAAGAGGGCATTTATTGGAAGGAGGGGCAGCCGTCAGACCAGAAGAAAGAACCAAAGAGCCCATTCAGGCTTCCTGGTCCGGGAGCCCATGAGCAGTCCCTGGAATGACACGGTCTTCCTTCTCGGGGAGCATGGCCACAGCCACCAGTTGATGGACAGGCCCACCAAGCTGCCCCTCCATGGAGGAAGGGTGGTTCCTTGCAGGGGAGGGGACACAGGCAAGGCCCAGGCCCAGAGCCTTCTGCAAGGGGAGGATTTCTTGTTTGTCCTAACACAGTGCCACTCAGGCTCGCCATGCACCATGGCCTGGCCCCGTTCAACATCAGCATCTCTTCCCTGCAGGCTCCTCTTTGGGACACACTGGCGCTGCCGTCGGGGGTCGGGTGCTGCCCAAGGACCTGAGATCCTATTCCATTCCTGACTCCCCCGGAGCTTGCAGCCTCCAGGAGACGGGTCTGATCTCACTTTCAAATCAAAGTCTTTCTGCATGAGGTCTGGTCATAGAGAAGGCGGCCCCTGTGGGCCCCCGGTTTGGGGACACAGAAATCCTTTCACTTCTGCAACCTCCCAAATGCGCTTTGAGCAGTTGTGTTATGGGCTAAATTGTGTCCTCTCAAAATTCACATGTTGCAATCCTAGTTCTCGGTGCCTAACGATGTGATTGTAGCTCGAGATGGGATCTTCTTTTTGTTTTTTTTTGAGACAGAGTCTCACTCTGTCACCCAGGCTGAAGTGCAGTGGCACAATCTCGGCTCACTGCAACCTATGCCTCCCGGGTGGGTTCAAGTGATTATCCTGCCTCAGCCTCCCAAAGTGGCTGAGATTACAGGTGTGTGCCACCACGCCTGGCTAAATTTTTTATATTTTTAATAGAGATGGGGTTTCACCATGTTAGTCAGGCTGTTTGAGATGGAATCTTTAAAGTGGCAATTAAGTTAAAATGAGGTCTCCAGGGAAAGCCCTAATTCAGTGTGGCTGTGTCCCTACAAGAAGGAGAGGTAAGGACAAACACACACCGAGGGACGGCTCTGAGGGCACACAGGGAGAAGGCAGCGTCTGCAAGCCATGGAGAGCGGCCTGGGAAGAAACAGCCCTGCCACAGGTTGATCTCAGACTCCAGCCTCCGGGACTGAGAGACAACAGATTCTCGCTGTTCGAGCTGTGCCACAGTAGTCACCCCTCATTGTGGGTTCAGTTACCGATGGCCAAGTATGGTCTGAAAACATTAAATGGAAAATTCCAGAAAGATGCAATTCATAAGGTTTTTTTTTTTGTTTGTTTGTTTGTTTTTTGTTTTTTGTTTTTGACAATGTCTTTCTCTGTGGCCTGGGCTGGAGTGCAGTGGTGCGGTCTTGGCTCACTGCAACCTCTGCCTCCTGGGTTCAAGCAATTCTCCTGCCTCAGCCTCCTGAGTAGCTAGGATTACAGGCACCCACCACCACGCCTGGCTGATTTTTGTATTTTTAGTAGAGATAGGGTTTCATCATGTTGCCCAGGCTGGTCTCGAACTCCTGACCTCAGGTGATCCACCTGCCTTGGCCTCCCAAAGTGCTGGGGTTACAGGCATGAGCCACCAGGCCCCGCCTTGTAAGTTCCAAATTGTGCAGTGTTCTGAGTAGCACGAGGAGCTCTCGTGCCCTGCGGGCTCCATCCCTTTTGCCTCACAGGAAGAAGGGTGAGCGCAACATAGGCCACATCTCGTAACTTTGTTGCAGTATACTCTTACAATTGTTCTCTTTTACTGTCGGTTATTGTGAATCTCTTACTGTGCCTAATTTATAAATTAAACTTTAACACAGGTGTGTATATAGAGGGTTCAGGGCTGTCTGCCGTCCCCAGTGTCCAGCATCCACTGGGGGGGTCCTGGAACGTGTCCCCCGGGGAAACGGACCCCTTGCTTTGTTATGGCTGGGGGGCTGTCTCACATGAGCCATTGCACGGGGAATATTGTCATGTATCTCTTTAATGTAACTCTGAGTCTTATCTTCAAGAAATTAGATAAACCAAATCTGGCATAAAACTTGAAATTATGAAAAAGAATCAAATGGAAATTCTAGAATTAAAAAATAGAAAAACCTCGGTGGTGGCGGAAACGGACCTGCTAGCAAGTGGGTGCCCCTTGAAAGAGAATTCGTGAACTGGAAGGAAGACAAAAGCATGCGGGAGGCAGAACCGGCAGGCGCGATGGGTGAGGCGGGATGCAGGAGAGCGTCTAGCAGGTGGTGGAGCCTTAGAGAGAGAATGGAACGGAGATGAGAAGTGGACGTGATCACTGCCGAAAGGAGCCCCAGCCATGGTCTAAAGAAGCATGAGAAACTCCAAACCCCATCTCTACTGAACATACAAAAAATCAGCTGGTGTGGTGGCGGGCGCCTGTCATCCCAGCCACACAGAAGGCTGAGGCAGGAGAATGGTGTGAACCTGGGAGGCAGAGCTTACAGTGAGCCAAGATCGCGCCACTGCACTCCAGCCTGGGTGACAGAGCAAGACTCCATCTCAAAAAAAAAAATCTGTGCATTTTATTGTATTTAATCATATCTTAATAAAGTTGATAAAACAAATCTCCATAAGCAGTGGGAAGATAATCTATGGAGCTGGAGAAGATATTTGCCACACTTATCACTGAAAAGGACAGGTGTCCAGAATAAAAAGGGCTCCTGGAAATCAGTGAGGATATGGGGATCATTTGATCAAAAATGGGCAAATGACCTGAACAGGCACTTCACCTGACAGGATGTCCTGTATACAAACTGGAAAAGCCAGAGAAACTGATGGAGACGAGTTGGGGAGGCGTTCATAAACAGTAGCCAGAAGAAAAGGCAAGAGAACGATGTTCACACAATTTAGGATCGTGCCAGATCACCCAACAAAAGATGGCTAATACGCTGAAAGCAGGTCTCTTGGCAAAAACAGGAGTATGAAGAATGTGGACGTACATTTCCAATTGCTCGTGGGAGGCCAGGTGCAGTGGCTCACGCCTGTCATCCCAGCACTTTGAGAGGCCGAGGCGGGTGGATTACTTGAGGTCAGGAGTTCGAGACCAGCCTGGCCCACACAGTGAAACCTGTTTCTACTAAAAATATAAAAAGTAGCCGGGTGTGGTGACGCCTGCCTGTAGTCCCAGCTACTCAGGAGGCTGAGACAGGAGAATGGCTTGAGCTCAGGAGGCAGAGGTTGCAGTGAGCTGAGATTGAGCCACTGCACTCCAGCCTGGATGACAGAGTAAAACTCTGTCACAAAAAAAAAATAAAAAATAAAAAAAAACACAAGAAAACAAAAAAAAACCCAAATTGCTTGTAAGAGACCCCTGCCAGCATAGAAACATTTACCCATCTAATGATTATTCAAGACCTGGGAGGAAATGAAGGTGTTTTATTTGCATACCAAATTCAATTAACTAAATTGAATTGAGTCAAACTAAAGAAACTATTAATGAGTCGATTTCAGGAAGAAATTCTAGCCAGGAAGACTCATCAAGCACAAGAAGAAGGCCGGGCACCGTAGCTCACGCCTCTAATCCCAGCACTTTGGGAGGCTGAGGCTAAAGGATCACTTGAGCCCAGGAGGTTGAGACCAGCCTGGGCAACATACCAAAACCGTGTCTCTACCAAAAAAAAAAAAAATTAGGGGCATGGTGGCACGCATTTGTAGTCCCAGCTACTTGGGGGGCTGAGGTGGGAGGATCGCTTGAGCCCTGGAGTTCAAGGCTGCAGTGAGCCAAGATTGCACCAGTGGGTGACAGAATGAGACCCCATCTCAAAAAAAAAGGCACAAGAAGAAATGATGAGTTAAATAACTGGTTAACATTTATGTACAACTAAAAAAAATTAACTTAGAAATAATAAAACAAGCCATAGGGGTTTAAAAAAAAGTAGAAATAAAATACTCACCTATAATACCTAAGAATAGGAGAGAGAGATTAGAGTTTGAGGTTATAAGGACCTCACATTCCCAGAGAGGAGGAGGAGGAGGAGATTGACTGATTGACAGTAAACTTTTGAAAGAATGAATATTGTGTCTTTAAATGCAGTTTTTATTTTACGGACAGTGAACTTCACTTGTTTGTGCGTGTACAGGTCTGTGAGTTTTGATGAATACATACAGTTACATAACTTCCACTAAAACCAGGATCTAGAGCAATCCTGTCACCACAAAATTGTCCCTGAAGCTTCCTTTTTGTGGTCAACCCTCCCACCCTTCACTCCTGGCAGTCACTGACCCATTTTTGGTCCCTATAGTTTCTGTCATTTCCAGAATGTCACACAATTGGAATCGTGCAGCCTGTAGGTCTGGCCTTTCTCACTCAGCATGACGCATTTGAGAGCCATCCGCGTTGCCACCCGGACAGGCAATTGGTTCCTTTTTTTGCTTAGGAATATTCCGTGCACAGGTCTATCTCAGTACGTTTATCTGTTCGTACATTGAAGGGCTTTGGGGTTGTTTGTAACATCTCATGCTAATGAATAATGCTGTTTTAAACATGTGTGTACAGGTGCTTGTGTGAACATGAGCTTTTGTTTCACTCCAGATACCTTGGAGTTGATGGCAGATCACATCTGAGCACACCTTAGACTCTACAAGAAGCTGCCTGACCGCTTGCCAGCATGGCTGCCCCGTCTCACCTTTCCAGCAGCGACGGGCAAGGTTCTGGCCACTCCACATCCTCCTGGCATGCAGTGCTTCTCGTTTTTAAATTTTTATTTATTTATTTATTTATTTTGAGACAGGGTCTGGCTCTGTCACCCAGGCTGGTGTGCAGTGGCGCGATCTCACTCACTGCAGCGTCCACCTCCCAGGTTCAAACTGTCTTCCCACCTCAGCCTCCCGAGCAGCTGGGACTACAGGCGTGTGCCACCACACCCAGCTGATTTCTGTATTTTTGACAGAAATGGGGTTTACCATGTTGGCCAGGCTGGCCTCAAACTCCTGGCCTCAAGTGATCCTCCTGCCTCAGCCTCCCAAAGTGCTGGGATTACAAGCATGAGCCACCGCACCTGGCCTGTTATTTTCTTTTAACTTACTATTCTAATAAATATGTAGTGGTAACTCGTTGTGGATTTATTTTGAATTTTCTTAATACTGAAACCAACCCAACTGTCCCATAGAGGTGATGTCGATGGTTTCTTTTGAATAAACATAGAAATTGATCCTCCCAGTCTTAAAACTTGAGAGAGTTACATTTGTCTTATCTCTGAGTTCCCTTCTCCGGAAACCAGCCATCATGTCTCCCAGATAGTGTCAAGGAGCTGAAACTCACCAGATCTCTGCATTTGGAAAATGAGATGCTGGACCCCTCACCCGTTATGACTGCCTAACCCACCACCTGCTTACTGCTGACCAACTCTTTCTTAGGCCTCTCTATTTCCTGTTTCCCACAAGTGGTTTACATTTCTCCTCTGCCATATAAGCCCCTGATTTTAGCTGGTTGGGGAGATGGATTTGACACTGATTTCCCATCACCTCAGCTGCAGCACCCAATTAAAGCCTTCTTCCCTGGCAGTACTTGTCTCAGCGATTGGCTTTCTGTGCAATGCATGGCAGGACCTGGACTGAAGCCCTGGATTTTCAGTAACATACTCACGATGCTGAGCATTTTTTCATGTGCTCCGTTGACAGCCCCGTGTCTCTAGTAAAGCTCAAATCTTTTACCCTTTGCTTTATTGGGTTTTGGGGGTTTTTTATTGTTATGTTTTGAGAATTCTCTATTTATTTATTTATTTATTTATTTTTGAGATGGAGTCTCACTCTGTCACCCAGGCTGGAGTGGCACAATCTCAGCTCACTGCAACCTCCGCCTCTGGGGTTCAAGTGATTCTCCTCCCTCAGCCTCCCGAGTAGCTGGTGTTACAGGTACCCGCCACCATGCCCGGCTAATTTTTGCATTTTTAGTAGAGACTGTCTCACCATGTTGGCCAGGCTGGTCTCGAACTCCTGGCCTCAGATGATCTGCCCACCTCAGCCTTCCAAAGTGCTGGGATTACAGGTGTGAGGAACTGCGCCCGGCCTCTTTATGTATTTTTGATACAAATCCATTGCTGGACATCAGATTTGCACATATTTTCTCCAAGCTCATAGCTTATCTTTTCCTTTTCTTAACAGTGCCATTTGAAGACTGAAAGTTTTGTTTTGGTGAAGTCCAACTCATCAATCCTTCCACTGGCAAATCCTGTCTGAGAACTCTGCCTCACTCAGGCTCATGCAGATTTTTCTCCTATGCTGCTTCTTTTTAAGTTTTTTGGTGCTACGTTTTACAGTTAGGTCCGTGATCTACTTTGAATTCATTTTTGTGTGAGTATGAGGCATAGCTCGAGGTTTTTCATTTGCTTCGTTTGCAGTTAATGTCTAATTTTTCCAGCATCATTTAGTGAAAGACAATCCGCTCTCAATTGATTTACTTTGTATCTTTGTCAAAAATTAAGCTACTATGTTTGTGTGGGTGTCTCTCTGGACTTTCTATTCTGTCCCATTTACCTCTGAGTCTATCCTACCACCGACTGTACATGTTCTTGGTTACCGGAGCTTTATGGTAAATAATTTTTTTTTTTTTTTTGAGACAGAGTCTTGCTCTGTCACCCAGGCTGGAGTGCAGTGGCGCAATCTCAGCTCACTGCAAGCTCCGCCTCCCGGGTTCACGCCATTCTCCTGCCTCAGCCTCCCGAGTAGCTGGGACTACAGGCGCCCACCACCACGCCCGGCTAATTTTTTGTATTTTTAGTAGAGATGGGGTTTCACCGTGTTAGCCAGGATGGTCTCGATCTCCTCACCTCATCATCCGCCCGCCTCGGCCTCCCAAAGTGCTGGGATTACAGGCGTGAGCCACCGCACCCGGCCAATAAATTTTATCTGGAAATGGAGTAGTATGACCCTCCCAACTTTGTAAACATTAATTTGGCTCTTCTAGTTCCTTTGCCTTTCCACATATGTTTTGGAATCCTGATGGTATTTGATTTGGATTGTGTAAAATCTGTAGAGAAATCTGAAGATAGCTGCCACCTTAACACCCTCGAGTCTTCCGATTACTGGACGTGATGGTCTGTCTCTCCATTTGTGCAGGTTTTCCATTTCCTCCCTCCATGTGCCCTCCCACCCAGCTAACATATATCTCGCTCAGTTGCCCAGGTGCAGGCAGAGACTCCCGGAGAGCAAGCACTCGATTCCTCAAGCTCGTCAGGCAGCAGGAGCTTCGTGCTGGTCCCCAAGTCTCACGGGGGATGAGGAACAGCTCAGGCAGGTGCTTTGGATGTGGTAGTTCTGAGTCCCAGACGAGGAACCCCAAGTTTAGGAAGCCCCAATATTTCATAAAGACCTGCTATCAAACCTGCCCAGAGGGAGACATTATCTTTTTTTTTTTTTTAGACGGAGTCTCACTCTGGAGGGAGACATTATCTTTATTTGGCCCATAGGGGGACCCCATCTTTATTATCCAGGACAATCTGCCCTCCGCCCTGCAGGGAGACACTGCCTCTGCTAAGGTTCTGCAAACATCCCTGGAAAGATAGTAGAAGGTGGCAGAACTCCACCTCCATCCTCTTGGGGTCCTGGCATGGCCCGAGAATTAAATTGGCATGAAACAGATCGACAGGAGAAAGGCGCACACATTTATTCAAAAGAAGTTCTATGTGGCTCAGGAGCCTTCCTAAGGAAACGAAGAAACAAACTGTGAAGAAGCAAGCGAGTTAGGCGGGGAGGCTTAAGAGATAAGAGCTAGTCTAACAAGGGCTGTACAGAATTCTCTTAGATTTCTCGTTCTTGAAGATAAGGGTGTTGCAGATTTCACGTGGGAATTTCAGCTCCTGCTTTTAAGAAACGGCACAAAGGTCAAGGTGATCTTTCTGTACCTGCTGTTTTCCAAGTACTTTTAACTCATAGTTAATATGCCAGCCAGTGCAGCATTTTTAATTTTTATTTTTAATTTTTTTTTTGAGTCGGAGTCTCGCTCTGTCACCAGGCTGGAGTGCAGTGGTACCATCTCCACTCCCTGGGTTCAAGTGCTTCCCCTGCCTCAGCCTCCTGAGTAGCTGGGACTACAGGCGCGCGCCACCACACCAGGTTAATTTCATGTATTTAATAGAGACGGGGTTTCACCGTGTTGGCCAGGATGGTCTCGATCTCCTGACCTCGTGATCCGCCCGCCTCCGCCTCCCAAAGTGCTGGGATCACAGGCGTGAGCCACCGCGCCCGGCCCCAGTGAAGCATATTTTAATCTCCTTCCGTAGTCCAGGACGGAAGTGTGAGAGCTCGATGCAGAGAGATCTCCCAACATCCTCTCATTCCTGCTGTTGGTAAATTGTTTTTTCTGCCTTTTTAAACATTAGTTTTGCTAGGGTTTTTAATCAGTTTGTTAATTATCCCCTATTATTTTTACTATTATTTTTATTTTGATTTTGATTTCTGCACTGTCATTTCCTTTCTTCCACCGAAGTTGGTTTAATTTGCTCTTCTTTTTTGTTTTTAGTTGGAAGGTTAGACGAGTGATTTCAAATCTTTTTTTTTTTTTTACTAGTAAAATCATTTAAAGCTACCCATTCCTTGTAAGCACAGTGTAAACTGCACCTCACAAATTTTGATGCATTGTATTTTCATTTTTATTTGGGTCGGATGTTTTCTAATTTCCTATGTGATTTTTTTCTTTGTCAAATATTTGGGAAATTTTCTAGGTCTTTTTAAAATTGATTAATTTGGTTTCTAATTTCCATTGGGTTAAGATACGAGAGTCTATAAGACTTCTTTAAACTTTTGAATGTTTTGACATCACGCTAAGGCTGGTTTCATAAATAAGCTAGGAAATGCCTCCTCCTCTTCTGTTTCCTGGAAGAGATTGCATAGAATTTATCCTCATTCTTTTTATTTTTATTTATTTATTTATTATTTTGAGACAGAGTTTCACTCTTGTCACCCAGGCTAGAGTGCAATGGCATGATCTCTGCTCACTGCAACCTCCGCCTCCTGGATTCAAGTGATTCTCCTGCCTCAGCCTGCCAAGTAGCTGGGATTACAGGCGTGTGCCACCAGCCCTGGCTGATTTTTTGTATTTTTTAATAGAGACGGGGTTTTACCATGTTGGCCAGGCTGTTCTTGAACTCCTGACCTCAGGTGATCCACCTGCCTCAGCCTCCCAAAGTGTTGGGATTACAGGTGTGAGCCACCATGCCTGGCCTCATTCTGTTTCAATGTTGGATGGAAATCTCCAGGGAGACAAGCTGGGCCTCGAGATTTCTTATTTGGGAGATTTTAATTATAAATTCGAGTTCTTTAAGAGTTATCGGGATATCTAGATGTGTCTCGGGGGAACATCCTATCTTGGAGCTTACTCTGTGCCCCTAAGGAATGACCCTTGGGGTCTTGACAGATGTCCAAGGCAGCTATCACGCTTCCCTACACTGGTGTGACTCGAGGCTGAGCTCCGCGTGTCCTTGATGAGGGTGGTTATCACGCCTCCCTACACTGGTGTGACTCGGAGGCTGAGCTCCGCGTGTCCTTGATGAAGGTGGTGATCACGCTTCCCTACGCTGGTGTGACTCGGAGGCTGAGCTCCGCGTGTCCTTGATGAGGGTGGTTATCTTTTCAGCTGCCACTTTCACCAGGCTCCTTGAGTTCTCTCCGTGCAGATTTGGTTTTGGGGGTTAGAGGCCTAGGATTTGGAATCAGTTAGATGAAGATTTGGGTGTCCCCTCCCTGTAGCTCCCTCCTAGCTGAGATTTCTTTTCTCACCCCAACCCCCTCATCCTCTGACCCCCAACTCCAGTGAAATTCACCCTGGCTGCTTGAAGCCCCGCTGCCTGGCTCAGGGGGCTGGAGTGTGCCTTTGGGACAGAAACCCCAAAAATGTGACCTTGACCCAGCCTTTTCCCTCACATTGAACCCCATCAGTTTCTGCCTGGTTTCAATGGCTCACCAGTTCCTTTAAATAGTTTTTAAAAATAGGTTGTCCAGAATTTATCATTGTTTTCTGCAGAGAGTTAGTCTGACATCAGCCACTTGCAATTTCTGGAGCCCAAACTGATATGGATGATAATTTACCAGCCTGATCTAACAGACCAATGGAGCTGCCAGGATCCAACCATTAGAGAGTTCGAGTTCTGCCCAGGCTCAGCTTTGTAACAATTGACTACCTATTGGCCCATAAAGTAAGTCTCATAAATGTCAATCAATTTGTATCATATTGACCCCTGTCTCTGATCAGATTGCAAATAAATTAGAAAACCAAAACAACAACAACAAGATGATCTAACATGCATTTTTAACATGAAAAAGGGCATTCTAAAATAGCTGGAGGTCAAAGGATAAATCATCTTGGAAATTACATAAAATTCAGAACTAATGCATAATGAAAGCAGAAAATACTATCAGAGCTTGAGGATGCTGCTCAAACAGCACATTCGTCCCTCAGGATCAGTGGGGACAGGTTCTGGGACCTCCCACACATACCCCAATCCACAGGCGCTCAGGTTCCTGATGTGAAATGCTATTGTGTTTGCATATAATCTACACACATCCTTCTGTCTCCTTCAAATCATCTCTAGGTTACTTACCATACCTAATGTGATGTAAATGCCACATAAATAGTTGCTATACTGTATTGTTTAGGGAACAATAACAAGGAAAGAACATGGACATATTCAGTGCAGACACAGCCTTTGTCAAACTGTGTTTTCCACCTGGAGTTGGTAGAATCCGCAAGTGTGGAACAGGCACATATGGAGGGCTGACTGCGCTTCCAGGAAAACCAATAGCTTTAAGCTGGAAAGGAGGAGAGGTGGGAATTAATGAGCTAATCATCTCACTTATGAAGTTAGAAAAAGGAGGAAAGGCCCAGACCAAGTCCGCCCTGTGAGCACAGAGCCTTGCCCTGGCCCATTCCGCCACCCTCCACGCCTGCCGCCCGTCCACACCCGCCGCCCTCCACACCCGCCGCCCTCCACACCCGCCGCCCTCCACACCCGCCGCCCGTCCACACCCGCCGCCCGTCCACACCCGCCGCCCTCCACACCCGCCGCCCTCCACACCCGCCGCCCGTCCACACCCGCCGCCCGTCCACACCCGCCGCCCTCCACACCCGCCGCCCTCCACACCTGCCGTCTGTCCACACCCACCCAGCTCACCATGGATGATAATATCACCTTGCTTGTCATAGACAACACCTCTGGCATGTGCAAGGCCAGCTTCACCGACGACGATGCCCCCTGGGCCGTCTTCCCCTCCATCGTGGGGTGCCCCAGACACCAGGGCATGACGGTGGGCATGGGTCAGAAGGACTTCTATGTGGGTGGCGAGGCCCAGAGCGAGAGAGGCATCCTGACCCTGAAGTACCCCATCGAGCATGGCATCATCAGCAGCTGGGATGACATGGAGAAGATCTGGCACCACACCTTCTACAACGAGCTGCGGGAGCACCCGGTGCTGCTGACCGAGGCCTCCCGAGCCCCAAAGCCAATAGAAAGAAGATGACCCAGATCATGTTTGAGACCTTCAACACCTCGGCCATGTACGTGGCCATCCAGGCCGTGCTGTCCAAGTACACTCCTGGCCATACCACTGGCATCATGATGAACTCCAGCGACGGGGTCACCTGCACAGTGTCCATCTATGAGGGCTACACCCTCCCCCATGCCATCCTGTGTCTGGACCCGGCTGGCCGGGACCAGACTGACTACCTCACAAAGATCTCACTGCGCATGGCTACGGCTTCACCACCACGGCCGAGCGGGCGATCACGTGTGACATTAAGGAGAAGCTGTGCTATGTTGCCCTGGACTTCAAGCAGGAGGTGGCCACGGCGACCACCAGCTCCTCCCTGGAGAAGAGCTATGAGCTGCCTGACAGCCAGGTCATCCCCACTGGCAACGAACGGTTCCGCTGCCCCGAGGAGCCCTTCCCGCCTTCCTTCCGGGGTGAGTGGAGACCCCCTCCTGGCCCTGCCCACAGGAAGGTCACCCTCGGGGCCATGCTGTGGAAGCTGAGGCTGGCCCTCATTTCCCCCTCAGGCATGAAATCCTGTGGCATCCACGAAACTATCTTCAACTCCATCATGAAGTGTGACATGGACATCCTCGAAGACCAGTACACCAACACAGTGCTGTCTGGAGGGACCAGCATGCACCCCAGCATCACCCACAGGGTGCAGAAAGAGATCACCGCCCTGGCGCCTGGCACGATGAAGATCAACGTCATTGCTCCTCCCGAGCGCAAATACTCTGCGTGGATCAGCGGCTCCATCCCGGCCTCGCCATCCACCTTCCAGCAGATGTGGATCAGCAAGCAGGCGTATGACGAGCCTGGCCCCTCCATCCTCCACCGCAAATGCTTCTAGGCAGACTGGACTTAGCTGTGGTACACTCTTTCTTGACAAAACTTTGTGCAGAAAACAAGATGAGATGGGCGTGGCTTTTTTTTGTTTTTTGTTTGTTTTTGATTTTTTTGTTTTTTTTGGCTTGACTCAGGAATTAAAAACTGGAACGGTGAAGGTGACAGCGGTCGGTTGGAGGGAGCATCCCCCAAAGTTCACAATGTGGCCGAGGACTTTGATTATACATTGATCTTTTTTTTAAATAGTCATTCCAAATGTCGTGAGATGCAATGTCACAGGAAGTCTCTTGCCCTCCTAAAAGCCACCCCACTTCTCTCTAAGGAGAATGGTCCAGTCCTCTCCTGAGCCCATTAGCTAATTTTGGTACTGAAGTTATGCTAGCCTCCTAAAATGAATAGGGGGAGAAAAACAGCCTATTTTTATATTTACTCCAAGAGCTTGGCTGGAAGACGTCCATATATTTACATTAGGGGAGGTGATAGTATTGCTTTTGTGTAAATTATGTATTGCAATTTTTTTAAATTTTATTTATTTATTTTGAGACAGAGTCTCGTTCTGTCGCCCAGGCTGGAGTGCAGTGGCGCCATCTCGGCTCACTGCAGGCTCCGCCTCCCGGGTTCACGCCATTCTCCTGCCTCAGCCTCCCAAGTAGCTGGGACTACAGGGGTCTGTCTGCCACCAAGCCTGGCTAATTTTTTGTATTTTTAGTAGAGATGGGCTTTCACCGTATTAGCCAGGATGGTCTCGATCTCCTGACCTCGTGATCCAACCGTCTCGGCCCCCCAAAGTGCTGGGATTACAGGCATGAGCCACTGTGCCTGGTCTGCAACATTTTTTAAATCTTCACCTTAATACTTTTTTATTTTGTTTTATTTTGAATGATCAGCCTTTGTGGCCCCCCTTTCTTGTCCCCCAACTTGAGATGTAGGAAGGCTTTTGGTCTCCCTGGGAGTGGGTGGAGGTAGCCAGGGCCTACCCGTACACTGACTTAGACCAGTTGAATAAAAGTGCACACCTTAAAAAAAAAGAAAAGAGAAAGAAAAAAGAGAATAACCCACGGGCCCCCGTGGAATTAAAGGAAATCATTTTTTAAAAATACAATAAAAATTAATGAAATTCTAAACAAAGACCTTTTAGAAGTGCTTCCATGATTCACAAGTTAGTTCTGTGAAGAGGTTAATAAAGACAAACTGTTAAGACAAATCAAGACTGATCAAGGAGGGAGGCAGGGGAGAGAGAGGGTGAGAGAGAGAGAAGAGTGTAAAGGAGCTGCAAGTCCAAAGGCCGCCAAAGTTTTAAAAAGTCCTAAGAGGAGGCCATGAGCAACTATATGCCAAACAATTTGCAATTGTAGCTGAAATGAATAAATTCATGGAAAAAGATAACACACAAACCAACCAAAGAAGAAAAAGAAAACCTAAGTATAAATACCACCTTGAATAAATGAAGCCAGAGTGTGACCATAAGGAGGAAAAAGTCAAAGAACAGAAGGTCCAACCTTACACAACTCTTCAAGTCAGCATAAAAATAGGCTTAGGCTGTTGTGTTTTTTTTTTCCATTCATTTAGGAGGCTAGCATAACTTCAGTACAGAAATTAGATAAGGACAGCGTAAGAAAGGGAGGTCACAGACCGGTCTTATTTTGAAGGCAGAAATCCTAAATAAAATATTAGCTAATCACATCCTGAGACAGGCAGCATAGTTTTCTGATCAACTTAGACTGATATAAGGAGATATATTGATATCATAAGAATGACGTGATATTAGAAACTATGTTAAAAGTAAGGTCACATACTTGAGGAAATTTGGGGCAATGTCTTATTCAAGATGATGTTACCACGAACGTCTTCCAGCCAAGCTCTCGGAGACTCTGGGAATTCCGTGAACATTCAGGGAGCTTCCATTCCAGTGTGGAAAACAATCAAAAGTGAACAAGTCGCATGTTCTCACTCACAGGTCGGAATTGAACAATGAGAACACATGGACACAGGAAGGGGAACATCACACACCGGGGCCTGTTGTGGGTTGGGGGGAGGGGGAGGGATAGCATTAGGAGATATACCTAATGTTAAATGACGAGTTAATGGGTGCAGCACACCAACATGGCACATGGATACATATGTAACAAACCTGCACGTTGTGCACATGCACCCTAAAACTTAAAGTATAAGAAAAAAAAAGTGAACAAGTAGGAATGAAGATAGCATCTGGGGGTGGTGTGTGCCTTGAACCAACACAAAAGGCAGCTATTCTGTGACACAGTGACTGCTTCTGACAGGGACACAGGTTCTTGTGTTTTTTTTGTTTTTTTTTTTTTTTTGAGACAGAGTTACGCTCTTGTTGCCCAGGCTGGAGGGTGCAATGGTGCGATCTCGGCTCACCAAGACCTCTGCCTCCTGGGTTCAAGCGATTCTCCTGCCTCAGCCTCCTGAGTAGCTGGGACTACAGATGTGCACCACCATGCCCGGCTCATTTTTGTATTTTTAGTAGGGACAGGGTTTCACCATATTGGCCAGGCTGGTCTCGAACTCCTGACCTCATGATCCGCTCGCCTTGGCCTCCCAAAGTGCTGAAATTACAGGCATGAGCCGCCGCACCTGGCTTCCTGTTATATTCTTGATTTGAAAGGATACTTTTAATATTTCACCATTAAGTGTAACGTTTGCCATAGATTTTTGGTAGCTGTTACCAGGTTGGGGAAGTTCCCTGCGATGTCTAGTTGGCTATTACATTCATTTTTAAAAATAATGAATAGATACTGAATTTATCTGGAGAATTTCTATTGCCCATGAGATGATCATATGTTTTTTCTTCTTTGATCTATGAACGGATTTTCTCTAAACATGTTTAAAATTAAATGTATTGCTTTTGACAAGTAAGTCTGTTCACATGACCCTAAGCTGAGAAGGGTTGACAGTAGGAACTCCTTCACCCCCCGCGGAGAGGCCTGTGTCCCACGTTCATTTGTGTGCATCCTGAGATATCCTTTACATAAAAGAAAAATTAAAATACATTATTCAAATTCTTTTCTATGCATATTGTATCATAATATACAATTATTATTATTGTTATTATTATTATTTTGAGACAGAATTTCTGTCACCCAGGCTGGAGTGCAGTGGTGTGATCTCGGCTCACTGCAACCTCCGCCTCCCGGGCTCAAGCAATTCTCCTGCCTCAGCTTCCCAAGTAGCTGAGATTCCAGGCACTTGCCACCATGCCTGGCGAATTTTTTGTGTTGTTAGTAGAGACGGGGTTTCGCCTTGTTGTCCAGGCTGGTCTTGAACTCCTGACCTCAAGTGATCCTCCCAAAGTGTTGGCATTACAGGCATGAGCCACCGCACTCAGCCCATAATATACAATTATTCTGTGCCACACTTTTTTTTTTTCCTTAACAGTCTGTCTCGGCGGGGCGCAGGGGCTCACTCCTGTAATCCCAGCACTCTGGGAGGCCGAGGCGGGCAGATCATGAGGTCAGGAGTTGGAGACCAGCCTGGCCAACATAGTGAAACCCCGTCTCTACTAAAAAAAAAAAAAAAAAAAAATTAGCCAGGCGTGGTGGTGAGTGCCTATAGTCCCAGCTACCTGGGAGGCTGAGGCAGGAGAATCACTTGATCCCGGGAGGCAGAGGTTGCGGAGAGCTGAGATCGCGCCACTTCACTCCAGCCTGGGTGACAGAGTGAGACTCTGTCTCAAAAAATAAAAATAAATTTTAAAAATCCGTTTCCAGAGATCATTGTCTGTGAATACATAAAAGCCTTTTAACTTTATGTTTATGATAGCGATATGGTACTCAACTGCACGGGTCACCTGAGTGTATTTAACTAGTGCTTTAGGGTGCATGGTTAGGCCTTTCCAACCTCTTGCCATCCTATGCAGTGCTTCAATGAATAACACTTTACACACATCATTTTTCCCATGTACAAGTGCGTCTGCGCCCCGAAATCCTAGAGGTGCTGTGTCAAAAGTTATGTGTACCTGAGACTCAGTAAATTTCATCAAATTCTATCCATAGAGGTTGTTTCCTGGTATAATCTTCCAGCAATGCACCCATGATTTCTCCCCAGACTTTCACTCAACAAATGGATGTGTGTTAACAGCTTTGCTTCTTTGTTTGGAGTTTTGTTTGTTTGTTTCTCTGGCAGGCGGCGAATGCCCTCTCAGCGATCCCTCATCTTTCCTTTCATTCCCATCGAGTCTGAACGTCTCTTTGTACGTTTCAGGCCAGTTGTATTTCCTTTCTTCTGAATTTTGGCTGGTCTCTGTTGCCAATATTTCCTTTGGGTTTTTAGAGCTTTTTAAAATTATTCACAGGAGCTCCTCAAATATTAGGGAAATTAATTCCTTTTCTACGATTGTTGTATATTCTGTTTATCAGCAGTCTTTTGGCTTTGCCTGTTGTGGGTTTTTTTAATGCAGAATATATTTTTTAATTGTATGTAACCAAATTCATCAACTTTCCCAAGTTTTGGCTTTTGGGTTTGAGTGTCATATGTAGGTTTTCCCCACCCTGAGATGCCGAAACAACAGTAACTACAAAGCAAACTCACATCTAGTGAGCCACACGCACCAGGCCATTCGAAGAGCATAATACACAGCCGGGCGCTGTGGCACACAGCTGTAATCCCAGCACTTTGGGAGGCCGAGGCAGGCAGATCACTTGAGGTCAGGAGTTCGAAACCAGCCTGACCAACATGGTGAAACCCTGTCTCTATTAAAAATACAAAAATTGGCTGGGCGTAGTGGCAGGTGGGCACCTGTAATCTCAGCTACTCGGGAGGCTGACGCAGGAGAATCACTCGAACCCAGCAGGTGGAAGTTGCAGTGAGCCAAGATCATGCCATTGCACTCCAGCTTGGGCGACAGAGTAAGACTCTGTCTCAAAAAAAAAAAAAAATTTGCTTAACACACATGCATTATTCCCCCGACAGAGGAGGCCGACAAGGGGCTTGCACAAGGCACAGAGCTAGTGCACGCAGAGCCAAGGGTTGAGCCCAGTCTCTGGCTCCGGAGCCCCACTCTCAGCCACTCGGTTCTACTGCCACCACTATTGGCTGTATTCTTTTTATAGTTCTACTTGTTATTGTTAAATGTTTGATCTTTTGGGAATTTATTTTGGTGTGAGTTGCAAGATACAAACTGCTTTTCCCCCAGCTCTTAAAGAGTTGCCCCATTGCCGTTTTGTGAACCCCCATCTTCTTCCAGTTGGTGATGCCACCTTAACTGGCTCTTCTTTTAGCCTGTTCTCTGGTCCTGCTCTGTCCCTAGGGAACTGATTCATTCCCAGGACTTTAAATTCCATGTGTACACTGACTCCCAAATGTTTAATCCAGCCTGTACCTCCTTCCTGAACAAAACTTGGGAATCTCATTCTCTGTTTGACATTGCCACTTGGACAACTCCAGCAAAAACCCAACATGAGTGGGTGTGGTGGCTCACGCCTGTAATCCCAGCACTTTTGAGGCCAAGGCGGGCAAGATCACCGGAGGTCAGGAGTTCGAGACCAGCCTGGCCAACATGGTGAAACCTGTCTCTACTAAAAATACAAAAAATCAGCCGGGCGTGGTGGCGGGCGCCTGTAATTCCAGCTACTCGGGAGGCTGAGGCAGGAGAATCGCTTGAACCCGGGAGGCAGAGGTTGCAGTGAGTTGAGATCATGCCACTGCACACCAGCCTAGGCAACAGAGTGAGACACCATCTCAAAAAGAAAAAACAAAGAAAAGCGAAACAAAAAATCCAACATGCTCTCCACCACCCGACCTGCTTGTTTCTCAGGATTCCCCCCAGCTTAGCAAATGGAAGCTCCATTCTTCAGACACTCCGGTCATAGACTCTGACTCTGTTCCTTCCCACACACCCCAGGCCTCATCACCAACAAATCCAGTGAGCTCTCGTCTGAAAACAGATCTAGAGCATGGCCACTCCTCCTACTGGCAGCAATTGCTTCCGCGGTTCCCTTCCCTGCCTCCCTGAAACCTGGTGGACATTCTCATCGCTAGCACGTTGCAGGACAGGTTGAGCTTGACACCCTTCCTCTGTGTGTTCGAGCAGGCCCAGTGTCCCACCTGAGTGGCGCTGAAGGCTGATAGGATCTGGGTGACAGTGTCCCTCCTGAGTGACACTGAAAGCTGATAGGATCTGGGTGACACTGTCCCTCCTGAGTGGCGCTGAAGACTGATAGGATCTGGGTGACAGTGTCCCTCCTGAGTGACGCTGAAGGCTGATAGGATCTGGGTGACACGTGTTAGGTTTGCTTACATCTTCCAGTGTGGCTAAGTTGGGCTCAGATTCTCAAGCCCAGTCAAGTCACTGCCAGGAACAGAGCCCTTGAACTCTTGCTCTGGTTCTAAGGATTTCAAATTGATTCATATCTACCGCCCAAGGGCAGGGATGTAACTTCCTTGTGCTCAAACTCATCTTTTGTTAAGCTCGATGGTGTCTTAGATTGTATGTTGGAGGATGATCTATGCAGGATGTGTCAGGAGGTGAACTTAGGGCCTGAGCAGGCAACATGTTAGCCTGGAGCCGGTCGCTGGCAGATTAAAATCCTCCCTGAACACCAAGGGAAGTGATAGATTAATCTCTCTCCCGCTTCTCAGAAACATGTCAGCCAGGTGCAGTGGCTCACGCCTGTAATCCCAGCACTTTGGAAGGCTGAGGCAGGTGGATCGCCTGAGGTGACCAGCCTGCCCAACATGGAGAAACCCCATCTCTGCTAAAAATACAAAATTAGCCGGGCATGGTGGTGTGCGCCTGTAATCCCAGCTACTTGGGAGGCTGAGACAGGAGAATCGCTTGAACCCAGGAGATGGAGGTTGCAGTGAACCGAGATCGCACTACTGCACTCCAGCCTGGTGACAGAGTGAGATTCCGTCAAAACAAAACAAAACAAAAAAAAGGAACATGTTGTCTACCTGCTGGAAGCATTTTCCTTTGTACCTAATCTACAAAAACTCGTCTCTCTGAGTTCTTTCACTGTAAATCTCAATTAGATTCAGATTCAACCAAGCAAAGTCTGGCTTTCCCTGTTCCTGAGAGAGTTAGAACCTAAACTTGAAAACCTTCTAAGGAAACAAAAAATTGGGAAGAGAAACAAAACCATCTCATTTTCAAATTATAACTGTCTAGAAAATGACTGGTTCCTGCCAAGGTGAAGTAGAAGGGGCCGTATTTCGGATCACGAGGTCAGGAGATCGAGACCATCCTGACTAACACGGTGAAACCCCGTCTCTACTAAAAATACGAAAAATTAGCTGGGCGCGGTGGCGGGTGCCTGTAGTCCCACCTACTGGGGAGGCTGAGGCAGGAGAATGGCATGAACCCAGGAAGCGGAGTTCGCAGTGAGCCGAGATCGCGCCACTGCACTCCAGCCTGGGTGACAGAGGGAGACTCCGTCTCAAAAATAAATAAATAAATATAAAAATAAAAATAAAGAAGGGGCCATATTTACCCCCACCCTAAAGCAAGCAAACAAAGAAACAGAAGTTTAAAAAAAATACATGGGGAAAAAAGTGTTCTCCAGACATGGGACATCCAATGGTGCTTGGTAGTGAGAGAGGGGAGCGTGCAGGGTAGTGGTCCTCGAGAGAGGGGAGCGAATCAAGTGACGATTACAGTTGGAGCAGGTGGATCACTTGAGCTCAGGAGTTAGAGACCAGCCTGGCCAACATGGTGAAACCCTGTCTCTACTAAAAATACAAAAATTAGCCAGGCGTGGTGGCACGCACCTGTAATCCCAGCTACTCTGGAGCCTAAGGCAGGAGAATCGCTTGAACTTGAGGAGAATCGCAGTGAACCAAGGTCACACCACTGCACTCCAGCCTGGACCTGAGACTCCGTCTCAAAAAAAAAAAAAAAAAAAGACACCTGGGGTTGGCAGGGCAAGGTACCAAGGAGGAGAGCACAGGGATTGAGAATCCCGGAGACCTGGAGAAGTTCCCTTCAAACTTCCAGGTGTGATCAGTGCCGGCACTGGAGGAAACCACCCCAAACTGGGAAGGAACCTCCCAAAAGAGATACGGGAACACTCTTCAGAGCTCACTCACCACCAGAGGGGAAACACTGCACAATTCATAAGGTATTGAGCAGACTACGCAGAAAGGTTTTGCCTTAATAGAAGAAAGATTAGCTCTAGACTAGATGCTGCTTTTATTCTGCATGACAAGGCTTAAAAGTAAGACCCATACCATCGCAAAGAAGATGAGGGAAAAAAGAAAATAAAAATAGAAAAAAAGAAAAAAAAAGTAATACCTAGAAGGGCCAAACATAACTGCATCCCAGAACAAACGTTAAGAATAGTTACATGAATACAACAGTATCCAGCACCCAGCAAGGTAAAAGTTACAATGCCTGGCATCCAATCAGAAATAAACAGGAATTCAAAAAAGCACAAAAATATGATCCATCGTGAGGAGAAAAATCAATCTATAGAAGCAGATTCACAAATGATAAAATGAAAGAATTTGTAGATAAGATATTAAAACATTTATTATAATTGTATTTTATATGTCCAAGAAGTTAAAAGAAAGGATACTTATGTTAAAAAGAGACAAGGAAAATATTCTTAAAACACCCAAGGACTTCTAGAAATAAGAACTACAATGCCTGAGACAAAAATCACACTAGGTGAATTTGATGGCAGATTGGAAAACTAACTATCCAAATGAAACACAGATAGAAAGGCCGGGTGCAGTGGCTCATGCCTGTAATCCCAGCACTTTGGGAGGCTGAGGTGGGTGCATCCACAAGGTCAGGAGTTCGAGATCAGTATGGCCAATATGGTGAAACCCCATCTCTACCAAAAAAATACAAAAAAGAAAATTAGCCAGGTGTAGTGGTGCATGCCTGTAATCCCAGCTACTTGGGAGGCTGAGGCAGGAGAATCGCTTGAACCCAGGAGGCGGAGGTTGCAGTGAGCTGAGATCGTACCATTGTACTCTAACCTGGGTGACAGAGCAAGACTCTGTCTCAAAAAAAAAAAAAAAACTGGGCATGGTGGCTCACGCCTGTAATCCCAGCACTTTGGGAGGCCAAGGTGGGCAGATCACAAGGTCAAGAGATCGAAACCATCCTGGCTAATACGGTGAAATCCCGTCTCTACTAAAAATACAAAAATTAGCTGGGCGTGGTGGCGGGTGCCTGTAGTCCCAGCTACTTGGGAGGCTGAGGCAGGAGAATGGCTTGAACCCAGAAGGCAGAGCTTGCAATGAGCCAAGATCGCACCACTGCACTCCAGCCTGGGCAACAGAACGAGACCCCGTCTCAAAAAAAAAAAAAAAAAAAGAAAGAAAAAAAGAAACACAGAGAGAAAAAAGACTAAAAGAAAAACTCCATCAAATACAAATGAACAAAGCA
The DNA here is from genome assembly GCF_000001405.40 of Homo sapiens. Lineage (NCBI taxonomy): Eukaryota > Metazoa > Chordata > Mammalia > Primates > Hominidae > Homo > Homo sapiens. Next base: position 1,793,537 of record NC_000011.10, on the reverse strand, counting down.
TCAGTGAGCCGTGGGACCACTCCAAACAGGCTAACATGCATGTAATGGAAAGTCCCCAAAGGAGGGGTGCAGAAATTATTTGAAGAAATGCTAGCTGAAATGTTTTCAAACTTCATAAAATTTATAAACTCACAGATTCAAAAATTCCAATGAACCCCAAGCACAATAAACATGAATAAACGACAGGCGGGCACATCATGATTAAATTGCTTCAACCCAGCAATCAGTGCCAAAGGAAATATTTTGAAAGAAGCATCCGTAGAAAAAGGATACATCACATACAGAGAAACCAAATGAGAATGACAGCAGGCATCTCACCAGAAACACCACAATTTAGAATACAGTAAAGCAACAGCTTTAAAGTTCTGGAAGAAAATTAAAAAACTGTCAACTTGAGTTTTTATATCCAGAAAAAAATTCTTCAAAAATGAAAGTAAAATAAACATCTTTTTTTTTTTCAGCTAAAAGGTTTCATAACCAGCAGACACACACAAAAAAATTCTTAAAGGACATCCTTCAAGCAGAAGGAAAATTATACTAGATGGAAGTTGATCTATACAAAGCAAAGACAAATACCAGAAATGGTAGATTTTTCTTTTTTTTTTTTTTTTTTGAAGTGAACATAAACTCAGGATTTTATTGTCTTCATAATAAAAGATGGCACTTGGAACTGGATCATTTGGCCCTTTCTCTTCTTATCTCCTCCCAGTTCAAAATGCTTGCATCTTTCGGTAGCCAGCATTCTCTTGGATCTGCAGTTGGGCTGAATGCACTCAAGCCCCAGCACAATCTTCTTTGTAGTTTTAGCCTTTTTCCGGAAAATCGGCTTAGTCTGCCCACCATAGCCACTCTGCTTCCTGTCATAACGCCACTTCCCCTGGGCGTACAGAGAATCCTTGCCGTCCTTGTACTGTCTCACTTTGTGAGGTTGGTGCTTGTCACACTTCTTACAGAATGTCCGACGGGTTTTCGGGACTTTCACCATGTTTGCGTGAGCACTATCGGCACGGAAAAGAGATTTTTCAAATCTTTTTCAAAGATAACTGACTGTTTAAAACAAAATAATAAGAATGTAATTTGAAGCTTTTTTTTTTTTTTTTGAGTCAGAGTCTCACTCTGTTGCCCAGGCTGGAGTGCGGTGGCAGGATCTCCACTCACTGCAACCTCCACCTCCCAGGTTCAGGTGGTTCTCCTGCCTCAGCCTCCCAAGTAGCTGGGATTACAGGCAGGCGCCCCCATGGCCAGCTAATTTTTGTACTTTTAGTAGAGACGGGGTTTCACCATGTTGACCAGGCTTGTCTTGAACTCCTGGCCTCAAGTAATCCGCCCGCCTTGGCCTTCCAAAGTGCTGGTATTACAGGTGTGAGCCACTGCGCCTGGTCATAATTTGAAGCTTATAATATGAAGTAAATAAAATGTATGGCAACAAGAACACAGAGTCTGGGGAGGGGCAGGTAGAAGTACACGGTTGTAAAGGTCTTATGCAATACATAAAGTAGACTACTATTACTTGAAAGTGGAGAGTGATAAGGTAAATACACATATACACTATAAGCCCTGAGTCAACTAGTAAAATAACAAAGCACAAAGGTGTAGCTAAGAAACCATCAAAGAAAATAAAATGGAATCATAAAATACACTGAATATTTTTAAAAGGCAGAAGAGAACAAAGAACAGATGGGGCAAATGGAAAACGAAAACAAGGTGGTATATTTCAATTCAACCTATCAATAATGGTTTCATGGTCTAAAAACCCTGATTAAAAGAAAGAAATAGTCAAATTAGATTTTAAGTAAGAAAAGTATGACCTAACTATATGCTGCTTATAAGAAACTTGCTTAAAACATAAAGACACAAATAGATTAAAAGTAAATGAAACAGACTGGGCATGGTGGCTCATGCCTATAATCCCAGCAATTTGGGAGACTGAGGCAGGTGGATCACCTGAGGTCAGGAGTTTGAGACCAGCCTGACCAACATGGTGAAACCCTGTCTCCACTAAAAATACAAAAATTAGCTAGGCGTGGTGGCACACACCTGTAATTCCAGCTACTTGGGAGGCTGAGACAGGAGAATCGCTTGAACCTGGGAGGCAGAGGTTGCAGTGAGCCAAGATCACGCCACTGCACTCCAGCTTGGGCAACAGAGCGAGACTCCACCTCCAAAAAAAGAAAAAAAAAGTAAATTAAACAGCAATAAGCAATTGGAATTTAAAATTACAAACACATTACCACCTTCAGTAGCACCTCAAGATGAAATACTTAGGTATACATCTAACAAAAAAAGTACAAGATCCATATGAGAAAAACTGCAAAACTCTGAGGAAAGAAATCAAAGGAGATCTAAATAAATACAGAGAGAGTTCATGTTCATGAATAGGAAGCCTAATATCGTCAGTACATCAGTTCTTCCCAACTTCATCTGTAGATTCGATGCATCCCAATAAAAATCCCAGCAAGTTATTTTGTGATTAAAAAAACAGATTCTGTTTTTTCCTTTTCCTTTTTTTAAATTTAATTTTTGTAGAGATAGAGTCTTACTATGTTGCTCAGCTGGTCTCAAACTCCTGGCCTTAAGCAATTCTCCCACCGCAGCCTCTGAAAGTGCTGAGGTTACAGGAATGAGCTACCATACCCAGCCAGATCCTAAAGTTTATATAAAAAGGCAAAAGATCCAGACTATCCAACACAATATTGAAGAAGAACAAAGTTGGAGGACTGAGCCTACACCTCAAGATGTACTACAAAGCTGCAGTAACGAAGACAAAAGAATAGACAGACCAACAGGCAGAATAGAAAGCACAGAGGTAATAGGCTCATAGAAATAGAATAATCAACTGATCTTTGACACAGAAGTAAAGGCAATTCGATGGAGAAAAGAAAATCATCTCAACAAATGGTGCTGGAACACCTGGACATATGAAGGGGAAAAAAGAATCTAGGCATAGACCTTCCTCCCTTCACAAAAATTAACTCAAAATGGATCATGGACCTATAAGCAAAGCAAAACTATAAAGCTCCTAGAAGATAACGTAGGATAAAGTTTGATTGACTCTGGGTTTGGTGATGACTTTTTTTGTTTCATTTTAAGATCCAGTCTCGCCCTGTTGCCCAGGCAGGAATGCAGTGGTGTGATGGTAGCTCACTGTAGCCTCAACCTCCTGAGCTTAAGTGATCCTCCCACCTCAGTCTCCCGAGCAGCTAGGACCACAGGCATGCACCACCATGCCCAGCTGATGAGGAACTTTTTAGATACAGGACCAAAAATATGGCCCATGAAAAAAGATGTGATAAGTTGGACTTATTAAAATTATAAACTTCTGCGGTGTAAAAGACACTGCTGAGAGAATGGAGTCACAAGGCACAGACTGGGAGAACATTTTGGTCAAACACATGTCTGATAACGACCTTGAATCCAAAATACATGAAGAACCCTTAAAATTCAGTAACTTAAAAAAGTCCGTGTAAGACGGTGCAAAAGGTACAAGCAGATGTCCTCCACCCCCAGAGAGGATCGACAGATGGGAAATAGGCATATGTTTAGCAAATCAAACCCCAAAATCTATAAAAAGGATAATACTCATGACCAAGTGAGATTTATCCTGGGAATGCCAGGTTATTTTATGATGTTTTAAAACTCAACGAGGGCCGGGCGCGGTGGCTCACACCTGTAATCCCAGCACTTTGGGAGGCCGAGGCGGGTGGATCACGAGGTCAGGAGATCGAGACCATCCTGGCTAACACGGTGAAACCCCGTCTCTGCTAAAAGCAAAAAAATACAAAAAATTAGCCGGTTATGGTGGCGGGCACCTGTGATCCCAGCTACTCGGGAGGCTGAGGCAGGAGAATGGCGTGAACCCGGGAGGTGGAGCTTGCAGTGAGCCGAGACTGTGCCACTGCACTCCAGCCTGGGCAACAGAGTGAGACTCTGCCTCAAAAAATATATAAATAAATAAAAATAAAAAAAATAAAAAACCTCAATGAATTTAATTCACCATATTAACAGACTGAAAAAGAAAATGCCTGTGAACATCTCCACAGGTTCAGAAAAAGCTTTTCACAAAATCCAGTATCCATTCCTGATCAAAACTCCCAGCAAACAGAGAAGAAAAGGAAATGTCCTCATCCTGATTTTAAAAAATAAAACTATAGAAAAACCTACAGCGAGCATCATCCTGAATGGTGAAAAAGGAATGTTCTTCTCCTACGGTCGGGAACAAGACAAGAATGTCTGCTCTCACGACTTCCATTCAACATTCACTGGGGTTTAGCCAGTGCAAAGAAAACAAAATTTATCCAGATTGAAAAGGAAACACAAACGTCTTTATTTTCCAAAGACATGATCATTGTTGAAGAAAAACCTACAAAATCTATGAGAAAGTTACTAAAACTGATAACTTAGTTTAGCAGGGTTGTAGGATAGGTCAATGGACAAATATCAATTGTATTTCTATATAACAGCGACGAACATTCGAAGTTGATTTTATATTTTTTATTTTTTTTTTGAGAAGGAGTCTTGCCATGTCACCCAGGCTGCAGTGCAGTGGTACAATCTCAGCTCACTGCGACCTCCACCACCCGGGCTCCAGCAACTCTCCTGCCTCAGCCTTCTTAGTAGCTGGGATTACGGGTGTGCACTACCACGCCCAGCTAATTTTTGTATTTTTAGTAGGGAGGGGTTTCACCATATTGGCCAGGCTGGTCTTGAACTCTTGACCTCAGGTGCTCTGCCTGCCTTAGCCTCCCAAAGTGCTGGGATTACAGGCATGAGCCACTGTGCCTAGCCCAAAATTGATGTTTAAAACGGCCATTTAGAAGAAAATTGAAAATAGATATTTCAGGATAAATTTGACAAATATGTCCAAGACTTGTACTCTGACATTCTAAATACACTAAGCAAAAGTAAAATACTAAGCAAATGGAGAGAGATATACAGTGTTCATGGATAGAATCAATATTGTCAACATGTCAGTTGTTCCCAAAGTGATCTGTAGAATCAACCCAATCCAAATCAAAATCTCAAGACAGTTTTTTTTTGTTTTTTTTTTTTAGAAATGGGCAAGCTGATTTTTTTTTTTTTTTTTTTTTGAGACTGAGTCTCACTCTGTCGCCCAGGCTGGAGTGCAGTGGTGCGATCTCAGCTCACTGCAAGCTCTGCCTCCCAGGTTCATGCCAGTCTCCTGCCTCAGCCTCCCAAGTAGCTGGGACTACAGGCGCCTGCCACCATGCCCGGCTAAGTTTTTTGTATTTTTAGTAGAGACGGGGTTTCACCATGTTAGCCAAGATGGTCTCAATCTCCTGACCTTGTGATCCGCCTGCCTCGGCCTCCCAAAGTGCTGGGATTACAGGTGTGAGCCACCACACCAGGCATGGACAAGCTGATTTTAAAATGTGTATCAAAATACAAAATATCTAAAATAACTAAAATCAGGCCAGGCATGGTGGCTCACGCCTGTAATCCCAGCACTTTGGGAGGCTGAGGCGGGTGGATCACCTGAGGTCAGGAGCTCAAGACAAGCCTGGCCAACATAGTGGAACCCTGTCTCTACTAAAAATACAAAAATTAGCCTGGTGTGGTGGCGTGCACCTGTAATCCCTGCTACTCAGGAGGCTGAGGCAGGAGAATCACTTAAAACTGGGAGGCGGAGGTTGTAGTGAGCCGAGATGGGGCCACTGCACTCCAGCCTGGGTGACAGAGGGAGACTTTGTCTCAAAAAATAATAATAATAATAATAGTTAAGGCTGTACAGTGCTGGTATAAAGACACACAAATAGATAAATGGGTCAGAATAGAGTGCCCAGAAATAGATCCACATGCGTATGGACAACTGAATTCAACCAAATTGCCAAGGCAATTAAATGAAGAAAAGGCTTTTCAACAAATGATGTTGGAACAACTGGATAGTCATAACAATGAACTCCAACCCTTACCTCACGTGATACACAAAAACTAACTCAAAATGGATGATAGGCCTTATTGGAAGAGATAAAGCTATAACACTTCTAACAGAAAACATAGGTGAAAATCTTACTGATCTTGAGTGTAGCAAAGATTTATTAAACACAACAAACACTGTTAAAGGAAAAAAAAAGAAAAGGAAAGGCTGGGTGCGGTTGCTCATGCCTGTAATCCCAGCACTTTGGGAGGCCAAGGCAGGCGGATCATGTGAGGTCAGGAGTTCAAGACCAGCCTGGCCAACATGGAGAAACCCCATCTCTACTAAAATACAAAAATTAGCCGTGCATGGTGGTGGGCGCCTGTAGTCCCAGCTACTTGGGAGGCTGAGGCAGGAGAATCGCTTGAACCCAGGAGGCGTCGGTTGCAGTGAGCCGAGATCGTGCCATTGCACTCTAGCCTGGGCAACAGAATGAGACTCCATCTCAAAAAAAAAAAAAAAATTGCCCACATATCTTCCATGCAACCCAGCAAACCCACTCCTAGATATTTACACAAGAGAAGCAAAAGCAGGTGTCAACACAGACTTGTATGTGAGTGTTCCTAGCAGCTTCACTTGTAATAGCCAAAAACTGGAATCCTCCCAAAATGCCATGAACAGTTAGATGGAGAAACAGATTGTGCCTGTGATGGAACACTATTCTGCAATCATAATGAAGGAGGTATTGATTGCGATAGGCAGAACAATGGTCCCCCAAAAGATGCTCATGCCCTAATCCCTGGAAGCTGGGAATATATTAGGTTTATGCTGAAGGGGAATTAAGGTTGCAGAGGGAATTAAGGTTGCTAAGCAGCTGACCTTAAATAGAGAGATTATCCTGGATGATCTGAATAAGCAATGTGATCACAAGGTGCTTAAAAATGGAAGGAGGCAGAAGAGGAGGTCAGAGTGCCGGGATGTGGGAAGGACCAGCCCGGCCAATGCTGGCTTTGAAGATGGAGGTGGGCCGCCAGCCAAGGAATGCAGGCAGCCTTGGGAGCTGGAGGATCAGGGACATGGATTTTCCATCTGAGCCTCCAGAGAAAGCACAGTCATTCCTGTTGACACCTTGATTTTGGCCTAGGGAGACCCACTTCTTCAGAATTCCGGCCTCCAGAATTGTAAGGTTAATAGATTTGTGTTGTTTTAAGCCACTCACTGTGTGGCAATTTGTGACAGCAGCCGAGAGAAAGTGAACACATAGACACATGCATGACACAAATACATCTCAAAATAATCATGCTGAACACACTGATATATGCAGTGACATGGTTACATCTTAAAATAATTACGCCGAGTGAAACAAACCAGAAAAAAAATAAGCACGTGCCGTCTGACTTCATCTATATAACGTTCTAGAAATGGAAACTCATCTACAGAAAGCAGAACAGTAGTTTTCTAGGAACCGGCAGGGTTGGGGGTGGGGAAGAGGGGGGAACAGGGAGGGATGGTCAACGTGTCACAGCGGAGGCTGTGGAGGGAAGCTCATGATCTCGACCGCGGAGATGCGTTCAACAGTGTGCACAGGTCTCAAAATCGGTCAAGTGGCACACTTTAGGCAAATGCAGTTGATTGTCCATCTGTTATCCAGTCATTCGCCGGGTAACCACGGGGGAACGTGTCCTAAGGCAATTTCATGGTTGTGAGAACATTGCAGAGTGCACTTACACAAACCCAGATGGTGTGGCCTGCCACACACGCAGGCTGCACGGTACAGCCTACTGCTCCTAGGGGGCAGGCCTGCAGGGCTGGGCACTGTGCTGAATCCTGCAGGCAACACAATGGTAAGCATTTGTGTATCTAAACACAGAGAAGGCAGCTCATTGTGCTACAGCCTTAGGAGGCCTACGACGGCACTAGGCGACGGAAACTTTTCAACCCCGTTATAGTCAGACGGAACCGCCAGGGTCTAAGTAGCCCATTATACTTCAAATAAAATGATAAAAAGGCTGAGTGCTGTGACTTACACCTATAATCTTAGCACTCTGGGAGGCCGAGGAAGGAGGACTGCTTGAGACCAGGAGTTTGAGACCAACATGGACAACATAGTGAGACCCCGTCTGTACAAAAAATTAAATTAAAAAATTAGCCAAGCGTGGTGGTGCATGTCTGTGATCCCAGCTACTCAGGAGGCTGAGATGGGAGGATCACTTGAGCTCAGGAGGTTAAGGCTGCAGTGAACTATGATCACAGCACTGCACTCCACTCTGGGCGATAGAGGGAGACCTTGTCTCCAAAAAAAAAAAAAAAAAAAAGGTAAAAAACAGTTTTAACCACTTAAGCTGGCAACAGTAAAAATGGGGTCAGATGGTTCAAAAGAAGTGCACCAGAGGTTGATTTGGGCTACGGGGAGACCCAGCCTCATTGAGGGACTGGGGAGGCTCCTCTGGGAGCAGCATCTGGGGCCGGATCTGTGGGACAGTAGCAGTCAGTGCACTGGGAGGAGGCGTCCGCAGACAGCGAGCTGGGCAGAGGGTCAGCGCTCGCTGGGCAGAGGCCACGTGGGGAAGAGTTCCTGGGGTGAGCGGGCGCCACCAAGGTCAGCAGGGGACCAAGACCACAAGGGACCTTGGGCCCCAGAACTCTGTTCCCGTAGCCAAGTGCGCTGGAAATCACAGAGAGTCCCGGGGCAGAGCAATGGGATCAGACAAGCCTTTAAACGAGTACCTCTGCCGACTGCACCATGGTGAGCAAACCGTAAGGGCCCCAGCTCTGCAGAGGAGAGAGGATGGGTGGGCCCAGGTGGGCACCTGCCAGGAGAAGGGGTCTGGGAGAAGCGGGGTTGGGAAGGTGCGGTGTTTGTGGTGAGAAGGGAGTTAAATCACTGTCTGAGACGGAAACAACACAGAGGGGGTGCCAGTCCGCCTGCCAGGGTGCCGGTGAGTGCAGGGAGAATCTGCTGCAAGGCCTGGCTACCTCGGGATGTGGGCATGAAAGCCAGGCAGAGGGTACTGGGGCCCTGTTAGGGGTTCAGTCACGTCCCCCAAAATTCATGTGTTGAAGCCCTGATCCCCAGGACCTCAGAATGCAGCTGTATTTGGAGATGGGTCTTTACAGAGGTGAACAAGTTAAAACGAGGTCTTCAGGGTGGGCCCTAATCCCATAGGCCTGGTGTCCTTGTAAAAAGTGGAAATTAGGACACAGATGCACACAGAGGTGTGGCCCTGTGGGGACACAGGGAGAAGGAGGCCCCAGGAGAAGCCAGCCCTGCCCACACCTTGATCTCAGACTCCAGCCTCCAGAATGTGAAAAAATCGATGTCTGTTGTTTAACCTGCGCAGTCTGTGGTCTCTGTTCGGGCAGCTCTAAGCAAATTCACCCGCTGCTTTTCCGAACGAACCTCCGAGAGCTAGCTGAGTCCATCGCTAAGTCCATGTATAACTCTGCGGTGGGCCCATCGGAGCTGGGGACCAGGAGGACCCTGCTGATCCTGGGCGGCCGATGGTGATGCGGCAAAGGTGGCAGGAACGGATGTGGGTGGGGAGGAGGGACAGCGTCCTGAGCACGGCAGACAGCCAGGGTCAGCTGGGAGAATTGGGGTTCATTTGGGGTGGAGCGTGGGTGGGGCCAGCAAGAGCCTGCAGCACAGGACGCAGGGCCACCCTCAGGCCCTTGTGGATGCTGCTTGTGTCTCTGGGCCCAGGGACGAGGCCGCTGAGGCTGCCTCTGGCGGTGCTGCCCACCTCAGACTGGGATGTGCCAGGCAGCCTGAGTGTGGGGTGCTGTGGGGGAGCCACCAGAGTCATCAGCCCCAGCTCTGCTCTCACCAGCGGCTGGGAAGGGAGAGACGGCCACTCTCATCTCCTCCCCCAGTGAGGGAGTGGGTGGAACCTCTGTGGAGATGCCTGCTGGGCATCTTGGTTCCCTCCTCTGCCTGGAGGGCAGGTGCGGCTGGGCCCCGGGCCAAGGACTCCTGAGTCTGGACCTGGGGGCTCTGCTTAGTGACCAAGCTAGGGAGGATAAAAACAGGAGCCAGAGGGGCCTGGGAGAGCTGAGGAAGAGTGACCACCAGGGCCCAGCCAGGGATGGGGGCTGTGGGGGCCTAGGGCCAGAGCAGGCTGGGGGCCCTGGGCTGGGAGGGGAGACTCCTGCCCACCACGTCACTTGGGATGGGTGGGAGCTCCAGCTTGGGTGCCAGGCACAGGGTGAAAATCCTGACTCCGTGACTTCATGGCTGCTGGACCTGCCCTGCCTCTGTCTTCTTGCTGTGAAATGGGATCAAGTTTCTGTCTCTGTCAAAGGTGGAGCGGATGCCCCATCCTCAGCACTCTCCACACGACATTCTGCCAGGCGATGGGGTGGATACTTGGGGAGGTCCATGAGTCGGGGCTTAAGGCAGGAGAGGAACAAAGAGTGGAATACGTGGAGTGACTGCAGTCCCTGCGGTTGAGAGGTGCCCAGACGGCAGGACTTTCGGTTTTACAAAGGTCAGCTGGTCACCCGGCACAAGGTCTGTATTAGTCTCTGACTAATTAACTGCTGTGGCAGATTACACAAACACAGTGGCTTAAAGCAACGTAAATCTATCATCTTGCAGTTTGGGAGGTCACAAGTCCCACGTGGTTTTCAAGGAGCTAACATTAAGATGCCTGCAGGGCGGTTCCCTTCCGGAGCCTCTAAAAGCAAATCCATCTCTCCCTGTGTCTCCCATTCCCAGAGGCCGCCAGCATTCCCTGACTCACGGTCCCCTCCTCCGACTTCAAGTCCAGCAGTGGCATCTTCTAGTCTCCTGTGGCTCTGACCCTCCCCAGCTCCTATCCTGATGCTTGTGATTGCCCTGAGCCTGTCCGGATATTCCAGAACAATCTCCCATCCCATGTGCCTCGACTTAACCACATCTGGAGGCCCCTTTGTCACGTAGGTCCCGGTGATTAGAATGTAGACATCTTCGGGGACCCTTTTCAGCCCAGCAAAAGAACAAAGGATTGGGTAGCAGGAAGGGGCAGGGAAAGACGTGGAGGGGCCGTGGGCAGAGGCTGGGTACTATTGAGGGGTCCAGAGACAGGAGGATGGGGTGAAGGGGGACTCCTGCCCTGCTCCCTGGTGAGATGAGGGGCCTGGCTCCACTCGCCGCAGGCCGGACCCACAGAGGTCGGGAGATAATCCTGCTTTGCTGGGCATTGCGGCAAGCGCCTTCTCTTTCAGGGCAGGCAGTGGTGTGTGGCTGGCACCCCTGGGGCACTGGGGTTTTCCCAGATGAGGATACAGAGGAGGGGCATCCCTGGCCCAAGTATGAGCCACTGTGGGGAGGGGGCTGCTAGCTAGAACGGCATCCTGCCCATGGGGGAGTGTGGGGCGGGGACCAGAGCCCTCTGTCCACTAGGGCTGTGTCCAGGGCACAGGGGAGGAGGACCCACAACGACTGTAGGGGGACAGCAGGGACACCGCCCGTCACCCCAACAGGGATGTGACTTTTGCAAAACTGCACAGGCAGCAAAAAAGCAAGATTGGGAGGTGTTGCACTGTCCTTTTGCAACTTCCTCTGTGAGCATCAGGATTTTCTCATCTGGGGCAAGGGATCAAGGCCCTGCCTGCTCCCTGGGGCCTGGGGGGATGAGACGAGGCAGCGAGTAAGAAAGGACTTGGGGGCATGAAGCCGACTGCACCGGTGAGGGGCTGGTGGCCACCATCTGCTGGTGACCCTTAGGGGCCACCGCCTTCCCAGCATCTCCCTCCTTGCTGCTGGGACCGCACTGGAACCTCGCCTTGGTCTCCACATGGACCCTCTGGGCCCTGTGATGTCACCCTCCCAGCTCCTATGCCCCAGCCCCCTGAGTCCTCAGCCACAGTCTCACACCCTCGGGACCTGGGCAGCTGACAGCCCCCTGGGAGGTAACAGCTCCCAGCGGTGAAACAGCTGTGACGTGGCTCCCATATGTTGTCTGCACCCTGGGATGGGAGGTCCGTCCTGGCTGAGGGTGGACGCCCCTTGTCATGGTCTCAGCAGTGGAAGGACGGGCTCAGCCAGGCCCAAGAGGCAGGAGGGCACTGCCTGTGTGGGCAGAACCTGCAACAGAGGCCAGGCAGTTGCACAGATGGGTGGAGCCTCTGCCAAAGGGCATGGAAGAGCCGCCGTCCAGCTGAGAGGCACAGGCTGTGTGTGCAGGCTGCACGGCTGAGGCTGACAAGAGGGGCTGCCTGGACCAGGGTGAGAGGCCGCAGAGCTGGGGACGTGGCATGGTGCTGTGGCCTCAGGGCCTGGAAGCCTAGGCCAGCCTCACATGACAACCCTAGCACATGGCTGCGGGAGCCACCTCCAGAAGGGGAAGGAAGTCACTGGCTGGCCTGCAGACCACAGGAAGGGCCCCTCACATCATATGCTCAGAGGTCACCTGGACTTGGGCTTCAGCGGTCGCTGGTGCATGACATTCAGGGAGGGAGTGAACTTTCCACTACCGGGGGGTTTCTCTTGCAGGCCAAGGGCCTGAGGTCTGGGCCCAGGGATGCTGCAGACGCCCTCAGTGGTCTCCACGGCCTCGCCTCTGCCTCCCGGTGCTGACTGCCGCACCCCACTGGATTAGGGAACATCTTTCCCAGCATCACAGCTGCCACCCTCACACCTGCAGGGATTACTCCTCCCGCTGCCAGATCCTTCCAGCAGCTTTAAGAGCATCCTGGCCACCACGTCGCTCCCCTGCCCCTTCCCAGCCACACTCCCCGAGACAGTCAGCCTCAGACACCAGCTCCTGGCACCTCCTCTCCACCTCCTTCAAACCTGAGCCACTCGGAGCTGCCCCAGCAAGGTCCTGAGGGCTGCATGTGGCCGTGTCAGGGGCATCAGAGTGCGGACGAGCTCCCCGGTCGCTTCTGGGAGCCCTTCCTGTGCTTGGCCCCAGGACTCCACACACATCCTCCTTTCCCCGATGGCTGCTCTGTCTCCAGCTTTGTCCCCTCCCCAGCTTTTCCTTGCCACCTCTGTGTCCACCCTGACCCCTTGTGATTTCCTGCTGACCCCGGAAATCCTCCAGGCTGGAAATCCTCTTGGGCTAAGGGGTCCCACGCGCATCTCAGCCAGGGCGCTCCTTCCATCCTCAGACCTGCGTCCGGCTGCCCGTCGGCCATGCGCTGGGGTCCTAGCAGCAAGTCGCCCCTGGCAGTTCTGACCATCCCCTTCAGACAGGCTCTTCCTCACCCTCCCCCGATCACCACCACCTCCGCCCATCCAGCCCACCAGCAAAATCTGCCACCTCACCCTGCCTTGTCAGCCACCACACCCCACCCAGCCACCCCATATTCTTTCTCTGCGTCTCCCGCGCCCCATCACACCCTTCTCTCAACGAGTGCCAGTGGCCCCGACAACCTGCTGAGGTTGTCCTCACCCTCCTGTTCTCAGCCCTGCAGACTCCCCATGGGACACTCAAGGCGCAGCCTGCAGGGTGCAGCTCCCTCCTCTGTGCGCTCCGGCACCTGCCCGCCTGTACCCCTGGCCTGGGGCATTTGTGCCCGCCGGGCAGGAGGCTGGCTTCCTCCCTGCCTCCGCATCCTTACCCGGACCCCAGGCATCCCCAGAAGTGGTCCCGCCCTTCCCCTTTGCTGCTCTTCCAGTCACCACCCCTGTGTTTGGTACTACGTCCCCCATGTCTCCCACCCCCTACTATTCGCTCCTGGAGGGCAGGGATTTCTGTCTGTCCTGTTCATCACAGCATCCACATCACATCTGGCCACAGAACGTGCAGCACAAACCCTTGGCAAACAGCAGCGAAGGCCCGGGCAGGTGAGGGCCTGCACTCTGCAGACAGGACCCTGCTGGGTGCTCTCGGTGGAGACTTTGGGAGCACGGTACAGAGCCACGAGCAGGGCTGCCTCCTGCCTGGCAGTGGTCCTCCCAAGAGGACCCAGCCTAGGCGCACAAGGAGCAGGGGGAGCCACGGACCCCGAGAACCCCCTTTCCGTCTGCCCAGCTTGCACTCTCCCGTGTTAGGTGTCGCCCAGAGAGGGGCGCAGTCCCTGCAAACTCAGTGGGGTGAGCGAGTGAGGGGCTATAGCATGTCCCACGTGGGACCCAGAGAGAGCAGCCTGCTTGCCAACACTCCCAGCACCACCCACCTGATGGCCTGTGAACAGACTCAGATGCCCTCACCGTGGCATTCAAGGCTCTTCCAGCCTCCCTCGACCTTCCTGTCCAGCCTCCAGGGCTGCAGCTCACCTCCACCTGTACACCCTCGGTCTGGCCAAGCCAGCAGGATGGCGTGCTGGCCTCCCTGCCCCTGCTTGTGTTGGGGGCCCCTGCCCGGGCACTCTTCCCCTGGGGCCCTGCCTTCCCCAGCAGGCTCCCCACCCTCTGGCTGGCCTCCTCTTGGAAGTCATCTTCCCTGCCTTGAATGAGCTCCCTAGCCTGGTTGCCAGGCTTCTCCCACGACCTGTGTGTCCTCCATGGCCCAAGGGGCAAAGAGTCCTGGGCTTCCTTGTGTGGCTGCCAAGCGGTCCAGAGCCAACAGAGAGAGGCAGGTTACACCGGGAACACCTGCCACTGTGCCCCCACCCTGCCTATGAGGATGGAAGTCACCATCCCATTTTACAGATTGGAGACTAAGGGATGAAGAGGGGATGGAGAAGGGGATGGAGAGGGGCAGGTAACATGGGGAACACCAGCCACCATGCTCCCGCCCTGCCCATGAGGATGGACACTACCATCCCATTTTACAGATTGGAGACTAAGGCTCAGACAGGTGAGTAACCCACGTGAAGCCACACACCTGGGGTCCTCTGTCTGTCACAGAGCAGTGCTTCCTGCTAGCATGATGCAGAGAGGTGTGTGGTATAATGCCGGGTAACTCGAGGGACGAGGGCTCTGCATCCGCAGCACTCACTGTGAGGCTTGGGGTCCCTCCAGGACTGGAAGTGGAGGCCTCAGCATCTGCCTCTGGGCAGGGCCCTGCCCCCAGCTCAGCACCCCCATGCAGGCTGGAAGAATCAGGGCATTGTTCACAGGACAGAGGGGCCACCTGTCCCCACCCACCACTCCCTGCCCTTATGAGTCACTGCTCCAAAGAGAGGGGGTGTCACAGCCCCAGACCCGTTTGTCCAGCTGCCTGGGAGAGGCAGGGTACCACAGAGGAGCTGGCATCCCGAGAAAGGGTGAGTGTTGACTGCCACCACCGTCCCACCCTGGGGAACAGGCCTTTTGGCTGTGGGTGGGAGGTAGGCGAGGGCTGCAGGAGGGTGATAAGGCCTTTTCCTCGAGTGGGACCAGATCAGCCCACAGCAGAACAGGTTCTCCCAGAAGAGAAGGGAGAGCACATGCCCAGGCTCCATGGACTTCCGGTTCTCCCCTCCCTTCGCACCCCCACAATGAGGTCACGACGGGGTCAGTGTGGCCCTACCCTGGTGGCTGCACCAAGACATGGGGCAAGGATGTGGTGGCCCTTCCCGCTCCCTGTGGCTCTGCTGCAAGGACTTCTTGGGGTGGACTGAGGAGGCTTGGAGGCCAGATGGCCTGGGCCCCTTCTGGGTGGGGAAGTCAGGGCCCCTTTAGAATGGCTGGCCCAGTGTGAGGCTAGAGGGTGGTCACTGGCCACGTCTGGGGGTGGAGGTGAGTGCAGATGTTTGGACAGTGCCTGAGGCCCCTGGGGCCAGGGGAGGGCCCCTTGCTCCAACACCCTCCAGCTACTGAGGCACAAGTCATGCCTCTGTTCTGTGGGACATTCAGATGTCCCAAGAGCCCCTAGGGGAAAGCCACAGGCATTGCCCAACTCTTCCTGACACTCACAAGCCCAACATCAGAAACAAGCATCTCAGGCCAACCCAGCCTGTCTGAACTGGGGCAGAACCATCAACCACCAGGACCGCCCTAGCTAAACCAAGCAGCCCATTCCACCCAACCCAACACCAGAGGCCCCATCCCCACCACATCACCCTGATGGCTCCATCCCCCCAACTCAGCCCCCATGATCCAATCCCACCCAGCTCAGTCCCTGATGGCCCCATCTCACCCAACTCAGCCCCAATGGCCCCATCCCACCAGCTCAGATCCCATGATCCAATGCCACCCAGCTCAGCCCTCAATGATCCCATCCCACCAGCTCAGCCCCTGATGGCCCCATCCCACCAGCTCAGCCTCCCGTGGTCCCATCCCACCAGCTCAGCCTTCCATGGTCCCATCCCACCAGCACAGCCCCCTGTGGTGTCATCCCACCAGCTCAGCCCCCGATGGCCCCCTCCCAACAGCTCAGCCCCTGATGGCCCCCTCCCAACAGCTCAGCCCCCTGTGGTCCCATCCTACCTAACTCAGCCCTGATGGTCCCATCCTACCAGCTCAGCCCTGATCACTCATCCCACCCAGCCCAGCCCCAGCTCCTCAGCTCAGCCTTTCTCAGTGTATCCCTCTCCACCGCAAGCTTCAACACTCCAGTTCTGGAGCAGGGGGCTTCAGGATTCAGGCCCCTCCCCTTGCCCTTACTCCTCTGGCTTGCCCTTGTTTTCACACAGATGCCACCACCAGCTGGTCCCTTCCAGAGCTCTGTCTGAACTCCACCAGCCTTGCTTCTGGCCTCATCCTGCAGACCCAGGGGACACCTCCACTTGCAAGTTCAGTCCATGGGCACTGCACACTCTCTCGGCCCCAAGTTGAACCCCTTTTCCTCACCCAACATCCTCCATTTCAACAAATGGCAGCGTTGTGGGTAAAATAACACCTCCTTCAGAGACATTGACATCCTCATCCCTGACTTCGGTAAGATGTGGCCTTAGCAGGTCAAGGGGACCTTGACGATGTGACTCAACAGATCTTGAGATGGGAGGCTATCCTAGATTATTGGGGTGGGCCTCAGGTCATCACAGGGGTCCTTTGGAGGGAAAGGCAGGGGAGGAGGCAGAGAAGGCGATGAGAAGATGGAAGCAGGTTAGAGTGCTGGCTTTGAAGATGTGGGTAGGGCCCAGCCAAGGCCCAGCCAAGGCAACCTCTAGAAACGGGCAAGGCCAAGGAACAGGTTCACCCCTGGAGCCTCCAGAAGGAACCAGCCCTGCTGACACCTCGATTTCAGCCCAGCGACACTGAGTCTGGACTTCCGGCCTCCAGAATCGTGAGAGAATGACTATGTGTCGTTTTAGCCACCCACTGTGTGGGCAGCTCTGCTCCTATGGGACTCGCGCTGGAACCTGTCTGCCATCCTTATTTCTAGGAGAACCAGAGGGGAAGAAGTAAACGCTGCCGTCCCCCTCTCCATCCACCTCTCCATCCACCTCTCCATTCCCTCTCCATCCACCTCTCCATTCCCTCTCCATCCACCTCTCCATTCCCTCTCCATCCACCTCTCCATTCCCTCTCCATCCATCCACCTCTGCATCCCCCTCTCCATCCCCTCTCCATCCCCTCTCCATCTCCTCTCCATCCCCCTCTCCATCCCCTCTCCATCCCCTCTCCATCTCCTCTCCATCCCCCTCTCCATCCCCTCTCCATCCCCTCTCCATCTCCTCTCCATCCCCCTCTCCATCCCCTCTCCATCTCCTCTCCATCCCCCTCTCCATCCCCTCTCCATCCCCTCTCCATCTCCTCTCCATCCCCTCTCCATCCCCTCTCCATCCCCTCTCCATCCCCTCTCCATCTCCTCTCCATCCCCCTCTCCATCCCCTCTCCATCCCCTCTCCATCTCCTCTCCATCCCCTCTCCATCCCCTCTCCATCCCCTCTCCATCCCCTCTCCATCCCCCTCTCCATCCCCTCTCCATCTCCTCTCCATCCCCTCTCCATCCCCTCTCCATCCCCTCTCCATCTCCTCTCCATCCCCTCTCCATCCCCTCTCTATCCCCCTCTCCATCCCCTCTCCATCCCCTCTCCATCCCCTCTCCATCCCCCTCTCCATCCCCTCTCCATCCCCTCTCCATCCCCTCTCCATCCCCTCTCCATCCCCCCTCCATCCCCTCTCCATCCCCCTCTCCATCCCCTCTCCATCTCCTCTCCATCCCCTCTCCATCCCCCTCTCCATCCCCTCTCCATCTCCTCTCCATCCCCTCTCCATCTCCTCTCCATCCCCTCTCCATCCCCTCTCCATCTCCTCTCCATCCCCTCTCCATCCCCTCTCCATCCCCTCTCTATCCCCCTCTCCATCTCCTCTCCATCCCCTCTCCATCCCCTCTCCATCTCCTCTCCATCCCCTCTCCATCCCCTCTCCATCCCCTCTCCATCCCCTCTCCATCCCCCTCTCCATCCCCTCTCCATCTCCTCTCCATCCCCTCTCCATCTCCTCTCCATCCCCTCTCCATCCCCTCTCCATCTCCTCTCCATCCCCTCTCCATCCCCTCTCCATCCCCTCTCTATCCCCCTCTCCATCTCCTCTCCATCCCCCCTCCATCCCCTCTCCTTAGTATCTGTCGTCTGCCCTCTGTCCCATTCTTAATGCCGCTCTCTTAGTTCATCCCCTCGAACCCAGAGGACCCGGAGCCCCTGGCCACGCTGCAGGTGAATGACCACCCTACGCTCAGGCCAATCACTTCTCTGTCCTCTGTCCTTTCCTAGTCGACCATTGCTTGGGCTCAACCCTCACCTGCCCTCCCTCCAAAGCCTGCAGACCAGATGCTTCAGCCGCCCCCCTGCCGGAGGCCCTCCCCTTCACACCCCTGGCTAGGCCAGCACCGTGGGCCTGTCCGGCATGGCTGCCCGGCTTTCAAACCCCTGCAGGGCAGGACCCTCCCCTTGGGGATGCCTTCCCTGAGCCCATCTGTACTGGTCATGGTCCTCCAAAGAGACAGAACCAATGGGGTGTGATAGGTATATATGCGGAGAGAGAGGGATTTATTGTTTAAAGTTGGCCTGTGTAATTATGGAGGCAGCAAGTCTAAAACCTCAGGGCAGGTTGGAGACCCAGGGAAGAGTTGATGCCTCATTGTGAGTCCCGAGTCTGTCGCTGGCAGAATTCCTTCCTCCTCAGGGATCTCAGTCTTCTTTCTGTTAAGGCCTTCAGCTGATTGGCTGAGGCCCACCATACACTGGCACATCATCGGCTTTACTCAAAGTCTACGGATTTAAATGGGAATGAGAATCACCTCTGAAAAACACCTTCACGGAAACATCTAGACTAGCGTTTGCAAATATCTGGATACTGTGGCCCAGCCAAGTTGACACAGAACATTTCACCATAAGCATTTGCACGGGTAGTCCATGTACATTCGCATCCCTTCCTGGGCGCCGGGCTTGTCTCCCCAGTAAGCCAGGGCAGGGAAGCTCCCTCCCTGGGCCTCCCTGCAGCCTGGCTAAGCCACTCCTGTGCCAGATGCATCCCCTGGCTGGCGGGCCCCCATCACCCCTTTGACCTCACCTCATCACATCCTTTCCCACCTTCCTAGCCATGGAGGCCTCTCGGTCCCTCCAGCTCATTCCATTCTCAGGCTGGCTCCTGTCCGTCATTGAGGAAGGCCTTCAGTCATCCCTATAGACACCCCAACCTCCTCACTGTCTCTGAGGCAGCCCGGCCCCAGCTGTTCCCCTCAGCACACACCACAGTCTGGAACTACATCTCTTATTGGTTGAGCACTTGCTTTGGCTCCTATTTGCCCCATGAAGGCAGGTCTGCATCTGTCTTGTTTGTCCCCAGTGTGCAGCAGCCGCCGGCATCCCAGAGGTGCCGTGGATTTTGTTAAAATATGAAGGAAGAGTCCCCAACCAAGCTTGGGGGACAGTGAGCTGCGTATTCAGTTATTCCAGCTGCAGAGCCCAGTGGGCTCTGTGGCCGCCTGCCACGGTGCACCCATACCTGTGGGCTCCTGGGGTCTCCCGAGGCCTCCATGTGCCTGCCAGGCCCTCCCAGGGAAGCCATGATGGAGGAAGGCCATGGCTCAGGGCTCAGTCCTTGGAGCTGAAGCCCCTAATCCAGAGGGTTTGTGGGCCACTGGGACCCTGGTCTTTTCATCAGTGCCCTGAGACTGCAGCCCTCAGAGACTGCTGAACCCTAAAGCTTTTGGGTTTTTTCCTATTACACATTTGTGATCCTGGAAGGTCAGGTGCCCGAACAGGGTGTATGCAGAGGGTGGGGAGCAGGAGGTTAGCTTAAAAGGTCATCCAGTTCAACCCCAACTGATGACTGGCATCCGGCTCTCCTCCACAGCACCCAGGCCTGTCCAGCCCTGGGGGATGCCCAGAAACGCACACCCCGGCAGCCAGTGCAGAACTGGGCCCCACAGTAAGCTCAGGACTCGGGGGTGCTCATTTCTGGAGGCAGGTAGAGGTTGAGGCTCCTGGAAGAGGACACAGCAGAGGCCTCCAGCAACTGTGAGCCCTGCATGCCACTCCTCTTCCTTGCACAGAGAGACAGACTGAAGGTCAGGGGCAGCGGCCAGGGTGGGTGAGCTGGATAACCTCAGGGTGGAGGACTGGGGGGATGCTAAAGGCACAGTGCACCTTCAGCCAAGCTGGGTCCCTTCCCAGCAGGACACCCAGAGATGCCATGTCCTGGACCTGGAGGGAAGCCAGACAGCTGTGCCTGGGCACCCCCCTCCCCCTCCCCCTCCCCCACCTGTGCCCAGCACCCCTTTCCCCTCCCTGACCTGTGCCTGGGCGCCCCTCCCCCTCCCCCACCTGTGCCTGGACACCCTCTCCCCCAAACCTCGCCTGTGCCTGGGCACCACCTTCCCCTCCCCGACCCGTGCCTGGGCACTCCCTTCCCTTCCCCCACCTGTGCCCAGCATCCCTTCCCCTCCCCCACCTGTGCCTGGGCAGCCCCTCCCCCTGCCCTAACTGTGCCAGCCATTCACAGCCTCCACCTTTCCCCCCACCAGCCCCAGTCCTGTCCAAAGTCAGCTGACAAAAAGCTAATTCCCTCCCTGGCCTCCTCAACTGCTCTTGCAGAACTAAAGCTGCCTGTGGCTGGAGCCCCAGGGTGCCGCAGCCCCCTTTCTCTTGAGGGTCATGGTGGCCCCAGCTCTGAGAGTGCAGTGACTCAGCCCTAAGAGGAGGGAGGGGCAGGACTGGAGCAGGGGTGACTCAGCATCTCAGCCGCTCCCTCTCCTACCTCCTGGGGTTGGCGGGGGACTTGGGGAAGAAACCACTTCCCTGCTCCACACCCAGCGCCTGACCCCATCCAGGGAATCTGACCTTCAAGCCGTCCCTTAAGCCGTAGGGCTGCAGAAGGACCCCTTGCCCCCTTCCTTCCCCCGCCGAGGAACAGAAGTTATACACATACACGCACCCACACACACACACACACACACACACACACTGCCACCATGATCAACATCTTGCATTTGTGCAGCACATTTGTTATAAGTGATGATCACTGATGCAAGGATGCATTACTGTTAACTAACGTTCATAGTTTACAGCAGGGTTCGCTCTTTGAGTTGTACATCCTGTGGGTTTTGACAAATGCATAATGTCCTGTTCTACCATTACAGTATCATACACGGCAGTCTTGCTGCCCTAAAAATGTTCTGTGCTTCACCTATTCATCTGCCCTCCCCAAACCCTGGCAACCACTGATCCTTTCACTGTCTCCATAATTTTTCCTTTTCTAGAATGTCATAGAGATGGAATCAGACAGTATGTAGCCTTTACTGGTTGGCTTCTTTCACTTACGTTCCTCTATGGATTTTCATGGCTTGTAGCTTTTTTTTTTTTTTTTTTTAACACTGGGTCTCTCTCTGTTGCCCAGGCTGCAGCTCAGTGGTGCAATCTCAGCTCATTGCAACTTCCACCTCCCAGGATGAAGCAATCCTCCCACCTCAGCCTCTCCAGTAGCTGAGACTTCAAGCTCCCTCCAGCAGCCGAGCTGATTTTTGTATTTTTTTATAGAGATGGGGTTTCACCATGTTGCCCAGGCTGGTGTCAAATCCCTGGGCTCAAGTAATCTGCCCACCTCGACCTCCCAAAGTGCTGGGATTGCCTGCGTGAGCCCCATCCCCGGCCTGCTCATTTCCTTCTAGTGCTGAAGAATATTCCGATGTCTGGATAGACCACAGTTTGTCTGTCCACTCACCTCTAGGCAGACATCTTGGTTGCTTCCAGTTTTTAGTGACGGTGAATAAAACTGCTCTAAACATTCGTGTGCAGGTGTTGGTGTGAACATAAGTTTTCAACTCATTTATCGAGGTAAATATCGAGGCGGGCAGTTGCTGGATGGTATGATGAAAGTACATTTAAGCCTTGTAACAAACTGCCAAACTGTCTCCCAAAGTGGCTGCACCGTTTTGCAGTTCCGCCAGCAACGCATGAGACTTCCTGTTGCCGCACGCCCACCCCGGCATTTGGCGTTGTCAGTGTTTTGGATTTTGGCCATTCTTACAGGTATGTGGTGGTGTCTCACTGTTGTTTTAACCTGCAATTCCCTAACGACGTACGATGTTGAGCATCTTTTCGTGCGCTTATTTGCCAGCTGCATTTTTTCCTTGGTGAGGCGTCTGAGCAGACGATTTGCTCACTTTTTAAATTGGGTTATTTTCTTTTGTTAAGCTTTGAGAGTTCTTTGCCTATTTTGGATACAAGTCTTGTATCAAATATGTGTTTTGCAAATCTTTTCTCCCAGCGTGTGGCTTTTCTTTCCATTCTCTTTGGCAAGATCATGAAGGTGGCCCTCTTTGCCTTTTTCCTCCCTAAAGGATTTACCATTTACATCACATCCCTAACTGATCTAAAATTGAATGTTGTGTATGGTATGAGGGAGGGATCGAGACCCTTCCATTCCATTGCCTGAAAAGATCAGCCTTTCCTCCACTGCATTTCCATGTCACCTTGACACTGTATACCTGAGATTCCTCCTTCCTGTCCACCCATCTATCTTTGTGTCAATACCACACTGTCTTGATGATTGAATATGACAGTCATTCTCTCTTAAACTTCACCACCACCACATCACTAAAACAGGTCTTGTCAAGGTCAAATTGTGAAACGTTGTGGTGAATGCTCATCTTCCACAGGCCATCAGCAGAGCCACTCAACACAGCAGCCACTCCCTCCTTGAACCACTTTCTTCGGCCGGCTCTACGGGCCCCACCCTCCTGGCCTCTCCTGTCTCCAGATGGTTCCTCACCTCCTTTGCTGGTGCCTGCTCAATCCTCTAACCTCTTCTTCTTCTTCCTTTTTTTTTTTTTGAGATGGAGTCTTGCTCTGTTGCCCGGTGTGCTGTGGCACAATCTCAGCTCACTGCAACCTCCACCTCCCAGGCTCAAGCGATTCTCCTGCCTCAGCATCTCGAGTAGGTGGGATTACAGGCATCTGCCACCACACCCAGCTATTTTTGTACTTTTAGTAGAGACAGGGTTTCACCATGTTGGCCAGGCTGGGCACGAACTCCTGACCTCAAGTGATCTGCCCGCCTTGGCCTCCAAAAGTGCTGGGATTACAGGCGTAAGCCACCGCACCCAGCCTCAATCCGCTAACCTCTTAAAGTTGGGAGACCCCTGGGCTCAGTCCCTAGACCTCTTCTATTCTCTAGCTACACTCAGCCTGGTGCCATCCAATCTTATCACCACAACACATGGCACTGATGACTATCTCATGTCCGTCTCAGCCCCGACCTCTCCCTGGACTCACAACTCAAATCACTGCTGCCATGCAGCAGAATCACCTGGTTGCCCCACATGCTTTGTCTCAATCTGAAGCATCCAAAACTGAGCTCCTGGCCTTCCTCCCCAAGACTCTTACTCCTGCATCTGTTCCCATCTCAGCCAATAAAAGGCCATCCTTCTAGGGTTTTGGGTAGGCCGTGGAATGTCAGTATTGGCCCCTCCATCACACACCGTCAGTCCAATCTGTAACCGCCCAAGGGGTTCACCTTGCCTGCTGCCTGGACAGAGCCCATTCATCAAGACAGGGGAATTGCAATAGATTAATTCACGCAGAGCCAGCTGTGCAGGAGAGTGGAGTTTTATTATTACTCAAATCAGTCTCCCCAAGCATTCATGGAGCAGAGTTGTTGTTGTTTTTATTTATTTATTTATTTATTTATTTATTTATTTATTTCTATTATACTTTAAGTTCTAGGGTACAGGTGCACAACGTGCAGGTTTGTTACATATGTATACATGTGCCACATTGGTGTGCTGCGGAGCAGAGTTCTTAAGGACAACTTGGCGGTACGGGGAAGCCAGTGAGGCAGGAGTGCTGATTGGCCAGGGATGAAATCACAGAGGGTTGGAGCTGTCTTCTTGCGGTGAGTCAGTTCCTGGATGGGGGCCACAAGATCAGATGAGCCAGTTTATTGATCTGGGTGGTGCCAGCTGATCCGTCAAGTGCAAGGTCTGCAAAATATCTTAGGCGCTGATCTTAGGAGCAGTTGAGAGAGGGTCAGAATCTTGTAGCCTCCAGCTGCATGACTCCTAAACCATAATTTCTAACCCTGTGGCTAATGTTAGTCCTACAAAGGCCATCTAGTCCCCAGGCAAGAAGGAGTTCTGCTTGGGGAAAGGGCTGTTAACATCTTTGTTTAAACTATAAACTAAATTCCTCTCAAAGACAGTTCAGCCGACACCCAGGAATGAACAAGGATGGCTTGAGATTAGAAGCAAGATGGAGTTGATTCAGTTAGAGCTCTTCCGCTATCTCAGCCATAATTTTGCAAAGGTGGTTTCGAATAATCCACCTGGAAATTCTCTGGCCCTACCTCAAAAGTGCATCCAGAGTCTCACCCCTTCTCACTGCCTCTCTCTGACCTCGGACTGCTTCCTTTCCTCCCCACCTCCAGGCCGGCTCCCTTTGCCTCATGGCCTCTGCTCTCCTGTTCTCATGTCAGCGGCTCCTGACCAGGCCTTTGGTTTATTACCTCCTTCAAGTCTGATTAGAGCGCCTGGCGGGGTGGCTGACGCCTGTAATCCCAGCACTTTGGGAGGCCAAGGTGGGCGGATCACCTGAGGTCAGGAGTTCAAGATCAGCCTGGCCAACATGGCAAAACCCCATCTCTACTTAAAATACAAAAATTAGCCAGGCGTGGTGGTGGGCAACTGTAATCCCAGCTACTCCGGATGCTGAGGCTGGAAAACCGATTGAACCTGGGAGGGAGAGGTTGCAGTGAGTGGAGATCACGCCACTGCACTCCAGCCAGGGCAACAGAATGAAATTCCACCTCAAAAAAAAAAGGTCGATTAGAAGAGGCTTCTCTTCCCGCAGGGCCCTCCCCTGCCCCTCTCTGTGCCCTGCAGCAGCCTCCTCTTTGGTACGTTCCACTCCCCAAGCCCTGCGTGGGCGTCCCACCCACCCCCCAGCTTCATTTTAATCTCTGCCCCTCCACACACCTCCCCACCCCCACCCCTGTCTATATATGAACGGCACTGGGTGGGAATTTCCCTATTGTTTTCTCGATTTCCTAGAGCAGCGTCTACTCGTGGTAGGTGCCCGACACTCACATGTTGAGTGAATGAGCAGATTCTCAAGGCTCCCAAGGGACTGACCCATCCAGGCAGACCCTTTCCAGTCTGGGATTCAGCACTCCCCATGGAGAGGCAGGGTTGGGCTGACAGCCTCCAGCCCTTGCTTGCCCCTGTTAGGTGTCAGCATGCAGCGGGCACCCAGCAGGTCCGACTCCCTTCTCTGCCCCTTTCCTCTCGGGCACTTTGCCATCCTCTGATTCCCTGACTCTCCACACAGCCAGGAGGGAGCCGGAGAAGCCACGACCCCCGTCCTGTGGCTGGCTTCCCAGAGAGAAGCTTGGGGCCCCTCCGTGGTGGGAAGCTCAGTGGGCTGCGATGGCAAAGGCTGAGATGGAGCCTGGGCCTGGCCCCCACCTCCTGCCTCCTCTCCCCAGGTGGGCCGAGCACCCCACAGATGGAGCCCATGTCCCTGCATGCGGTCAGCCGAAGGGTGTGAAAGGTGAAAAAGGGCCCTGTCCCCTGCACTCTGCCAGAGGCGGGGCCTGGACACGCTGCAGCACCCACTGGCCCAGGAGCCCTGAAGGCAGCCCTGGTGGGAAGAGGGTCTCCTGAATCGGCCTGGCAGGTGCAGGAGTCTGGGGAATCTGAGCCAGACAAGGAGGCCAGGGGTCGCTTCTGTACCCTCAGCTCCTAGCAGGGGCAGGCAAGGGCTCCAGAGACCGTTAGCCCAACCTCAACTCTCCAGGGACAGAGGTGAGGCCCAGATTGAGAGGGTCTGCCCGGGTGAGCCAGAGGCAAGGGGATTAGAAGCCACTCCCTTGACCTTCACCCAATATGCCAGCAGGGTCCCACCCTGCCTGGTGGGTCAGTCCCTCGGGGACCCTGAACACCCAGGCATTCATCCCACACATAATTACTGGGCACCTACCACGTGCCGGGCTCTGCTCCAGGAGCTGGGAAGCTGAGCGGGCCCAGGCAGAATGCCCCCTCTGTAATAAACAGAATAACAGATGGTATCTGCGGTGGGGTGGGGCCTCTTCACCCTTGGGGCCCCGAGAGGGTCCTTGCTCAACAGTGCCCCGTTGTCTCAGGGGATGGTCCAAGGCTCTTAGCCTGGCTAGCACCGGCCCACACACCCCACAGCTCGCTGCCACGTTGTGCTTCTGGCCCCACTGGCCATCCGCACTACCCACTGGCTCGCAGCCTCACCGGCTCACCGGGACCTCTGGGTGGAGTGTCGGCCACGCTCTGTGGGCATGCGTCCTCACAGGTGCGTATCTCAGTATCCTGGACACCAAATGCTTCGTCCACCACTGGACCTGGGGACCGAGCAGGGTGGCTCAGGGGACACTAGCTGGGACCATCTTTCACCCCTTGCTGGAGTCCAGTCCCCCAGGGTCGGCTGACATCTCCAAGATCCCAGCCCACTGGAAAGCACGTGATAACCCCAGGTGCCAGGTCCAGGCTGGCCGTGGGCCCCCAACAGCTGGGCGGATTCTGAGGGCAAGGTGTGGACCCCCAGCAGCTGGGCAGATTCTGAGGGCAAGGGTGTCTGTCTGCTCGGGCTTCTGTGTTCAGGCTTAGAACCCCCTCAGATGAAGGGCTCTAAATGGGCGGGAAGGTGGGGCTGAGGGGGCAGCCACTCATTTGTGGCCATCAGGCAGATCCAGCTTCGGGGAGGTTCCGCAAGGGCCAAGGTCCTGATATATTTGGTTACAGAAAAGGTGGGAATTCCAATCCCGCCCGCCGAGAACCACAGAACCTCACTGCCTCTGTAAAGCGGGGTTGGGCCCATCTACCTCGCAGGGAGCTGGGAGGAGAAAACGCACCCTGGGTGAGAGCATGGGGAAGCATCCTTCATTTGGGTCCAAGCTCAGATGCCACCTTCTTGGAGGGACCTTCCTGCGGAGGTCGCTGTTGAGCACATCCCCTGGCTCCATTTCCTGTGTGACTTGGACCTGCCTTAAATGATTTGTCCCAATATCCCTTTCCTACTTACAGCGACCGCACCTCCCGCCTGGCTGTGTGCTCCAGAGCATCTGGGGAATGACCGGGCCCTCCCCTCCAACAGGCCTAATTCAGTCCCCCATGCCAGGCAGGACCAGGGCACACGAGAATGGTGAAGTCCTGGGGCAACTGTCACCATGGCCTCTGCAGGCTCAGTGTCGGGAGACCCAGTTTCTGACCTGGATACACTGCTCACCTTTGAGGTCGGGGCCTAGAGGGACGGTGCCACGTTGGAGACAGGCCTCCAGGGACAGTGCCACGTTGAAGACGGGGTTCCAGGGACGGTGCCACGTTAGAGATGGGGTTCCAGGGACAGTGCCACGTTGAAGACGGGGTTCCAGGGACGGTGCCACGTTGGAGATGGGGTTCCAGGGATGGTGCCACATTGGAGATGGGCAAGTCTGGGCTAAGGGAGGAGGGCCCAGGGTGGCCAGGGCAGGGCCCAGTGAGGTGCTGCTCTGAGGAGGTGGAGAGTGGGCGCTTGGGCAGGGGACACTTGGAGAGTAAGGATGAGGTCCATCTGGGTACCCTGGGTATAGGGAGTGTTGTTGAAAAAAAGCCAAACACTATAAAATATTTGAAGATATTTATTCTGAGCAAATGTGAGGACTATGACCTGTGAAACCACCTCAGCAGGTCCTGAGAATATGTGAGCAAGGTGGCTGGGTAACAGCTTGGCTTTATACTTTTTTTTAAAATTTTCAGGTCTTTTCTGTAGAGACAGGGTCTCACCATGTTGCCCAGGCTGATCTCAAGCTCTTCAGCTCAAGCAATGCTCCCACCTTGGCCTCCGAGTATGCTGGGATTATAGGCAACAGTCACCATGCCCGGCCTGGTTTTACGGATTTTACAGAGACAGATGTTACAGGCCAAAACCATAAATCAACATATGTAAGATATACATTGGTTCAGCCTAGAAACAGGGTTGGCAGGGGCAGCTTCCAGGTCATAGGGGATTCAAAGATTTCCTGATTGGCAAGTGGTTGAAAGAGTTATGTTTTGCCTAAAGAGTTAAAGTGGGATTACTCACGCCTGTAATCCCAGCACTTTGGAAGGCTGAGGCAGGCAGATCACCTGAGGTCAGGAGTTCGAGACCAGCCTGGCCAACATGGTGAAACACCATCTCTACTAAAAATACAAAACATATATACACATATACATGTATATATATATACACATATACATGTATATATATACACATATACATGTATATATATACACATATACATGTATATATATACACATATACATGTATATATATACACATATACATGTATATATATACACATATATACACATATACATGTATATATACACATATATACACATATACATATATGTATATACATATATAGTGTATATATATACGTATATATATGTGTATATATACACTATATATGTGTGTGTGTGTATATATATATATACATACGTGTGTGTATATATACATATTAGCCAGGCGTGGTAGCACGCGCCTGTAATCCCAGCTACTTAGGAGGCTGAGGCAGGAGAATCGCTTGAACCCAGGAGGTAGAGGTTGCAGTGAGCCGAGATCATGCCACTGCACTCCAGCCTGGGCCACAGAGCGAGATTCTGTCTCAAAAAAAAAAAAAAAAAAAAAAGAGTTGACGTGAGTGGACAAAAGGTGCCCGACCTCCTAAGGGAAGGAGCTTCTCTAGAAAACGCGAATTTCGCCCCCTCAAGAGACAGCTGTGCAGTGCCATATCAAAACATGTGAAAGGAATGTATTTTAGGGTGGAATACTTTGCCTGCCTTCGGGCCTGCTGTCTGCCACGTGAGGCTGTGCCAGTGTGAGGCTGGAATTTGGGATCTGGAGGCTAGAGCCATCGGTGAGGCCTGAGTCTCTAAGCACAGCGCCCAGAGGGAGAGGGCGGAGCGGGTCCGACCCCCTTTGCGGCAGGGCCTGAGCTGGTTTTCCAGGTTTCTCTGGAAGCCCTGTAGAGGAGCGGAGGGTCCATTCGGTGGGCTGGGGACTTTGAATTTAACCTTGGTTTGCAAGAGGCTTCCAGAGAGGATGTCTGGGAGCGTCTCGGAGGGGGACGAGGGGGCGCCGGGAGGAGCAGGTGCAGGAGCCCACGGCGCAGCGCCCCGCGCAGGCCTGGACGCGGGGACGGCCGCGGCGGCCGGGACAGGGGTCACCCCGCGGGGCCCTCCAGGGTGGGCCGCCCCACGACCCCAGGCCAGGCCGAAACGGGAATCCTCCAGACCCCAGAAGCTGGGCCGGGCTGACCCCGCGGGCGCGAGCGGCGGGAACTGTAGGCGCGGCAGGCGCACCACCACCCCGCCCCCCGCCCGGGCGCTGTGCGCGTGCGCCGAGGTTGCCCCGCCCAGGCCAGGCCCCGCTCCGCCCCGCCCCGCGCACGCCGGCCGCGCCCACGTGACCGGTCCGGGTGCAAACACGCGGGTCAGCTGATCCGGCCCAACTGCGGCGTCATCCCGGCTATAAGCGCACGGCCTCGGCGACCCTCTCCGACCCGGCCGCCGCCGCCATGCAGCCCTCCAGCCTTCTGCCGCTCGCCCTCTGCCTGCTGGCTGCACCCGCCTCCGCGCTCGTCAGGTGAAGCCTCAGGGGCCGGGGCTCAGGGACGGGCAGGGGTCGCGGCGCCGAGGTCCCGGGGCCTGTGGTGACTTTCGCGCTCCCCTGTGGCCCCCACGAGCCCCTTGCGCCCCCCGCGCTGGAATGCACCTGTGCCGCCCTGCGCGGCCTCCTGCACGGACCACCCGCCTACGGGGCGCCGGGCTCCGGAGGTGCAGGGGACCCGGGGCAGAGGCGCCAGATGCCTCTCCCCCATATGCCACCCTGGGTTGTACCTTGAGGACTGCAGACTGACCGCAGCCTCCCTGGAGACGGGGCGGGGCGGGGGGAGGTAGTGCTCATTCGGGGCAGGTGGAATTGGGGTCTGTACTGAGCGCCCTTGTTGCTGGAGACCTAGGTCAGGCCTCAGAGCCCCCGAGTCTGGGCGAGTCCATTTCCTTAGGGACCCCTTTACCACCTGTGAACTGGGGGCTTTAAAAGTTTGCTCCAGCGGCTCTTATCACAGGCCCTGGGCTGGGAGACCCCTCGAGACCCTAGGAGTTCCCATGTCCCTGAGAGAGGAGGAGGCATGGGGAGTGGGTCGGCTCACCCACCCCGGGCCTGGGGTTGTGCTGTAGTGAGGCCCACACGCTCCTCAGGCCGATCCCCTGTGCCAGGTGAGGCCACCGATTGGGCCTGGATGGGATGGGGCCCGGCCATGCCTGACCAGCTGGGCAGAGGAGGGCCATGCTGCAGTCTGCTTTCTTGACCCCCTCCCCAGCCCTTGCAAGGCAGCCCGCATTCCCAGGAGGGGTATGCTGACCCATCCCATTGGGCACCTGCCCCACCCTTGCTCTGGGCCTTTGTGGGAGACCTGGGATCTGCGATGGGTCCACTGCCTTTTGGCAGGTGGGTGAGGTCAGAAGGCTGCAGGGGCTGGAGCTGGCTGGGCCAGCTGGGTAGG
Source organism: Homo sapiens (assembly GCF_000001405.40). NCBI lineage: Eukaryota > Metazoa > Chordata > Mammalia > Primates > Hominidae > Homo > Homo sapiens. The sequence goes on along the minus strand of NC_000011.10, from coordinate 1,762,869 downwards.
ACTGAGCCTCACCAAAGGCTGTGGGGAATGGCCCGGGGGCGGGTAGCCCCAATTAAAGTCGTTGTGGGGGAGTAGCCACAAGCCTGAGCCTGCCTTGACCTTGCCAGCCTATCCACAGGCCTCCCCTCTCCAAGGAGGACAGACACAGCAGAGGGGAAACGATCCTGGGGCTTCTTGGAGGGAAGGGTAGCTGAATCCAAGCCCTCACCCGATTCCAGCTCTTGTGCGACTGATACTATTACACCTGCTTCCTGGTCCCTGGAGGGCGTGTCCCTCCCCCAGGACAAAACCTGGAGCTCTTCCAGCCCACCAGCTCTTAGGCAATAATCTCATCTTCCGGGATCACGCCCCTGACAAGCCAGGAAAAGCCAGCTATGACCTTGTACTCTCAAGTCCCTGGGGCAGGGAAGAGGTTTTATTTAAGTGATTAAAAGCCCAGGGGAGCTTCCTTGGAACAAGGAGTGGGTTCACACCAAGGGGAAGGCCAGTGGCCCTGGGGGAGGAGCAGGGACCCCTCTCTCTCTTACTCGCTTCCTGGGTTTAGAACTCAGGACCCCGATCTCAGTCTGGAGCTCCCTCCTGCACCCTGGCTGGCGGTGTGCTGGGTGACAGGACTCTGGAGGGGTACCCTGAGTGCAGCTGTCGGAGGAGGCAGGGCGGTGGGGGGGGCAGCACAGAAGCCTCTAAGGCCCCAGGTGCAGTCCTGGACCTCGTGGAGCCGCATGGAGTGAGGAGAGGTGCGGATGCCCAGAAACAGATGTGGGATGAGGGCACTGGGCAGCCACAGGGTCCATGTGGAGGAGGACAGGTAGTCAAGGAGGGCTTCTGGAGGTGGTGTGGAGGGCCCATCTGATGGCCAGAGGAGGCCAGGCAGAGCTGCCAGTGCCAGCCTGGAGGTGGGGCCACCTTCGTGCAGGTGTCTGGGGGTGGAGAGCAGGTGTGATGGGGGCTGGGTACAGTGGGCTGCCTCAGAGCACTTTGGGCAGGAGTGACAGGTACCCGCCAGCACCCTGAGCAGCCATGCTGGCCACCATCCTGGAAGAGACCAGCGCAGGTGCAGAGGGAGGACGGGAGACCCTTGGGGGCTTTGGAGCCTCCAGAATGGCTGAGGAGAGGAGGGTTGGGCACACTGGCCCCCAGGTTGGGTGTGTGGGGCTGAGGTGGGTGGCGGGTGACCACTTCTTAGGACTGTGGCCTGTGCAACCTGGCGGGGGGCAATGGGTTGCCATTCACTGACTTGGGGGAGCTGGGCCAGCAGTTTCCAGGTGACAGGCAGGAGTTTGGTTTTGGCTGTGGCGACTCTGAGATTCCCCAGGGGCCTCCAGGTGGATGTGCAGCATTGGCAGCGTCGGCCGGCAGGCGGGAGGGCCTCCCTGATATGCCCCGACCCGTGGTTGACAGGATCCCGCTGCACAAGTTCACGTCCATCCGCCGGACCATGTCGGAGGTTGGGGGCTCTGTGGAGGACCTGATTGCCAAAGGCCCCGTCTCAAAGTACTCCCAGGCGGTGCCAGCCGTGACCGAGGGGCCCATTCCCGAGGTGCTCAAGAACTACATGGACGTGAGTATGAGGTCTTAGCCCTGCTGCAAGCGGAGCCACTGTCAGGAGAGCTCCGTGGCAGTATGGGGAACATTCCCACCTCCTGTTCTCAGCAGCGCAGTTTGAGTGGCTCACCTGGCCACGGTGGCGTCCCGGCTCAGCCACACTCCTTTCTTCCCCATTCTGGAACCTCCTGCCACTGGCCCCTGTCATTGCAGGGTCTTGGTCCTGCTAGGGCCTGGGAGGGTGATTGGGAGTGGCCTCGGGCCTTGGTGCCAGCTCGCCTGAGGGGGCGGTCCTTGGGCCTGCCTGAGTGTGGCCGGCTGACCTGGAGCCTTTCACTGCTGTCCTGCTGGGAGGCCTGTGGTGACTCGTGGCCTCCCCAGCCCCTCCCCATCTTCTTCCTCTCGCAACAGCCCCTCCTGTGCCCACTACTCCTTCAGGGGGAAGCAGGATCCAAGGTGGAGCACTCTGGAAGCCACCTAGCAAGCTGGGGCTTGGTCAGCCTGGTCCCAGCTCTATGGGGTCAGTTCGAGGCCAGGGCCTACTGTCCAGCCTCGGGGCTCTGGCCCACTGTGGGGGAGCCTTGCCCTCTGTCCTGCTTGGCCCGAGTCCTGGCTGTGACAGGAAGCCCAAGACTCACAGGCATGTGACTGGGCCAGGGGGGCCCTGGGGGGAACCAGGCGCCGTGTGCCTGGTCCCGACTGGCCAGTTCCTGATTGTCCTAGCGCGCGAGCAAGCAGATGCACGCATGCGCACACATGCACACACACACATGGAAATTTGCTGAGTGTCCCCCTGCCAGTGGTCACTTCTGTGGGGCCATGAGTCAGCAGCTGCTGCTGCTCCGTGAAGCCAGGCGGTTGGAGAAACATTGGGCTGGGCTGGTGCCAGGAATCTGGTGGCTGACGGTGGCCCAGGCTCCAATCCTGGGGGAAGCGGGCGCCCAGGCGACCCCAAACTCCAGGACCCTCTTACTCTCTGCCTCCTGAGAGGCTCGGCGGCATGGGACCCCTTGTACTTGCCTGATCCCTGAGTCAGCACCCCCACCTGCGCCTGCTATCCCTGTGTACACACGGGGAAACTGAGGCCCTGGGCCATTAAGGCAGGGTTGCTGGGCAGGCAGTGATTGTAAGGCTTACCTTCTCCCCTTGACCAGCTGAACCCCTCTGCCTGGAAGCCCTCCAAGCCTGGGGTTCACCCTGGAGGGCAGGGCAGGCACTGAGACACCCAGAATCAGACCTTGACATGGCCCCAACCTGGGGAGGAAGTCACTTCCTTTCTCAGACCTTGGACTGCGGGCCACCAGGGGAGTCTTCCAGGCCGGGCTTTCCTGCACCCGGGGCTCAGGCTGAGGGCCACGTCTGTCCCCACCCTGGCTTGACCTCTGGCCTTGTCTTTTCCGTGGGGAAGTCCTCAGCCTCACCATGTATTGAGCAGGGGTAGGTGACAGAAGCCAGGGGTCTAGAGACCCCAAGTACCCGTGGGCATTAGGACCGAGGGCTGGGGACCTGGCCCATCTTCCCTGCAGGCTGAGCAGGTGGGAGTGGGTGGCTGTTGGCAGCTGTGGGCCCCGTGATGCCCCTCCCTCCAGTATGGGCCTTGGCTCTGGGGACAGCCGGGCCTTCTGAGGCCCAGTGGGGAGATGGGGCCCCCTCTCCCATCCCTGACGGACCCTGTCCCCTGCCAGGCCCAGTACTACGGGGAGATTGGCATCGGGACGCCCCCCCAGTGCTTCACAGTCGTCTTCGACACGGGCTCCTCCAACCTGTGGGTCCCCTCCATCCACTGCAAACTGCTGGACATCGCTTGCTGTGAGTCACGAACCCTGGCCCCGTCGCCCAGGTCCTGCCCTTCCGGGATGTCGCTGCAGGGCTGCCTCAGGAATCACTTGGGCAACGCAATTCTCCTGCCTCTTGGCCCCGTGAGCCAGGCCAGCCCTCCACCCTGCTCCAGCCACTGACTTTCTGGGTGAACCACCAGCTGTGGTCTTGCTCTCAGCAGGGCTGGGGCTGGGGTGGCCACAGAGGGAGCCGGCTGTGGCTGGGAGGGAGGCCCGGGGTCACAGCCCACAGTCCCGGGGCTCTGGCATGATGGTGGGCCTCAGATCCCCTCCAAATCCCACCCTGGGGAGGCAGCTTGGGGGGTGCGGGCTCCATGGTAGATTGTAGGGGGATGGGAGGGCTAAGGCCGTGGCGTGGGCTGCGGGATGACCGGCGGGCCCCCTTGTCGCCCGGGGCAGGGATCCACCACAAGTACAACAGCGACAAGTCCAGCACCTACGTGAAGAATGGTACCTCGTTTGACATCCACTATGGCTCGGGCAGCCTCTCCGGGTACCTGAGCCAGGACACTGTGTCGGTGAGTCCCTCTGGGGCCTTTCCCAGGACTCGAGGGTGCCAGGGTGTGGGGTTCACCCACCGTGGGTATGTGGTTGAAAGGGAGGGCTCGGTGATCCCAGCCCAACCCCAGCCCTCAGGTGGCCGGGGCAGTCAGCAGGGTGAGGAGGGGTCTGGGAATGGGCCTGGTTGTGTGCAGGCTGGAGGGACAGCCTCAAACCCAGGGGGTACAGGGGCAGGGGTCCCCGGAGTCAGGCCACAATGAGTGGGAGGGAGGACAGGGCAGATCGATCGGGCTCTTTTTGGCACATTGGGTTTGAGGTGCCAGCAGGTGTTGAGGGCTGGACCTGGGGCTGCACAGGGTCCCTGCAGCAGGCCGAGGGCTTGGGGAGGCTTGGGGTTGGGAGGATGTACCAGGAACCCGCTGTGGGGGCTGCTGGCGGAGAGTCACCGGCAGGAGCCTGGGAGGGCAAGGGAGGGGGAGCAGCAGTGGCTGTTGGGGGCCCCGCCTGCATCCACCATCCTCAGGGCCCTGTGCAGAGCAACTCCCTGCCCTAGGAGAGGGTGAGCTGGCCCTTGTCACCCTGCCTGGGCCTCAGTGAGTTCTCACCTCGGAGCTGTCTGCTGGGGGTGGACCAGGCCACAAGGGGTTCAGGAGTTACGGGATGGTGACACAGCCCCCAGCTCTGGAGCGGGCCAGGAGGGCAGCAGAGCCCCCCTGCAGGCCCAGGGACCCGGGAAGAGGGCCCCTTCCTCCAGCTGAAGCTGCTCCTAACAGTTCCCTGCTGGGCTGGAGTCCAGTCTGTACTGGGGGCTCCTCAGAGCCCTCCTGTCTGGACCCTGCTCAGCCTGAACAGGAAATTGCCCCGTCTGCCCTCTTCCGCCCTCTTCTGCCCCCTCCGCCCCGTGTCAGCCTCAAGCTGTCGTTCCCTTCCCACATCCTGCTCTGGCCGTGTTCTCTCTCTGCAGCCTCATCCAGGGCTGGGGGAGGGGACAGGCAGAGAAGGGGAAGGGGGCAGTATGGCTGTGAGCTTGGGATGGGGTCGGCAGGTTCCCCATCTCTCGGGCTCCTGGCCCAGGCTGTGTCTTGTTCCCAGCGCTGAGGGCAGGAGCAGGACCTGCCTGTCATTGGTGGTGGGAGTAAGAGGTCGGAGCAGGGAGCGGAGCAAGGGGCCTGCCCGTCTGTGCTCCTGCCTGGTTCCCATCTCGTGTAAACCGAGCCCTGATGACTTCCACGAAGAGGGCCCCGCCATACCCCGTGTCCCCATCCCCAGCGGTGTTCAGCTCAGGGTTTCCAGCCCTTTCTTCTGGGCCCTCTGGGCCCCATCGTGTGTGGGATGGGCATCCATTGAACTGGGTTTTGTAGCCTCATGCTCAGGGAGTGGTGTAGGGCTCAGCCTGTCTGCTGCCCACTGACTCTGCCCTGGCCTGCAGGTGCCCTGCCAGTCAGCGTCGTCAGCCTCTGCCCTGGGCGGTGTCAAAGTGGAGAGGCAGGTCTTTGGGGAGGCCACCAAGCAGCCAGGCATCACCTTCATCGCAGCCAAGTTCGATGGCATCCTGGGCATGGCCTACCCCCGCATCTCCGTCAACAACGTGCTGCCCGTCTTCGACAACCTGATGCAGCAGAAGCTGGTGGACCAGAACATCTTCTCCTTCTACCTGAGCAGGTGGGCGTGTGGGTTCCCTCTCGCTCCGCGTTGCTGGGAGGCAGGGCGGGGCTGGACGGGGAGCCTTCTAGGCACCCCCTCTCAGTGCTGCCCCCTCCCTGCTGCTGTGCCAGAGCTCCTGACCTCTGACCTCAGGGCATCCGGGAGGCGGGGGTTGGCCGCCCTTCTGCAGAGGAGTAAGCGGCAGCACAGAGAAAGCTGTTTGGCCGGGGTCTCCCAGTGGGAGGGGCTCGGGCCAGGCTGTGGGTCCTGGGACCTTGGCAGCTGGGCCTCCCTCCTATGAGAATGGACCCAGGTCAGGGGTCGTGGCAGTTCCTCTTGGTTCAGTCGGCCCGTCGGTCCCCAGACCTGGTGATGGGCACATGTGGTCCTGGTCCCGGGGTTGCTGATGGTGGAGAGGGTCATGGTGCCCAGGGGACCGGGGATCCCCGGGGAGGTGACCTTGGGTGCGTATGGGTCCCCGGCACCACGCTGCGAGCAGCTCTGTGGGCGTCCCCAGCAGGTGCCGGCTGCCCTCGAGGAGGAACATAGGGGGCCCTTCCTTCTGGGAAAAGGGTTCTCCCCCAGGGCCCCCACCTGCAGCCGCTGCTCCAGCTTGGGTGACCCATGGTCAGGTGACCTTGGGAAGGGGACGTCGGACTCAGTTAGTTTCCTCTTCTCGGGGCAGACCTGAGTGGAGGGTTCCACATAAGAGGGGTGACTGGGGGTTGGGGGCTTTTGTTTTGGGGGTGGGCAGCGTGTCAGCCGGCGGCCTCCTGCCCTGAGCTGCGCCTGGTCACTGCCCCACACTCTCCAGGGCTGACAGGGGCAGGTTTACCTCACGTGGCTCACTTGGCACTTGGAGTCTCTGGGCCTGACCCCTAACCTTGGATCGCTTCCGGCAGAATTCCGGCTGTAGGGCTGGCTGGGCCTCTTTGCTCTGCCCCTTGCCTGGGCAGTGAATACTCCTTAGCAACACCCAGGGCTAAGCTGCTCACTAGAGGCCAGGACACAGGTGAACCGGCTGGGCCATTTCCCCAGGAGCCTTGGGGCACAGGGGAGGCAGCCAGGTGAAAAGGGGTCCCCTGAGGGCAAGAGGGCATGCAGGCATGAGTGCCCACATGGGGAGGGGGCACACAGCCTGAGTACCCAGGTCAGGGAGGGGGACACAGGCATGAATGCCCATGTGGGGGAGGGGCACACAGCATGAGTGCCCATGTGGGGGAGGGGCACACGGTATGAGTACCCAGGTCGGGGGAGGCATACACAGGCATGAGTGCCAGGTGGAAGGAGGGGCACACAGAGTGAGTGCCCAGGTGGGGGAGGTGCACATGGTTGTGAGTGCCCAGGTGTAGTCTCAAGGCAGCAGCTTGGGCAGGAAGTGGAGCCAGGCAGGAGGGAGGGTCTGAGGGCTTCTGAAAGCATGTTTGGTGAGGAGAGGAGGGGTGGGAGGCGCTGATCAGGTTTCTACACTTGGGATTGCAGAGGTGTTGACAAGAGGCAAAGGCGGAGGAGGCTGGAGGAGGGCGGAGGCCCCAATCGGTGTTGGGAGGACTGGGTCAGGCCTGGCACTGCCTCGAGTGACAGGCAGTGGGATGGTGGCCAGCTTAGCTGCAGACGCTCTGGCGGGATGGCAGAACCGCCCCAGACACAGAGAGCTTCTCTACCAGGACCGGCAGGATTTGCTGCGTTGAAAGCTGTACTTGAGCAATGTTTAGAAACAAACCCGGGCGACATGGGTTGCAGGTCCTAGGAAGTGCAGTGCGCTCCTGCCCAGGAGCACCTTGGCTGGCCATCAGTGGTCTGGATGAGGGGGAGATGAGCGGACGTGGCTCGGGGATGCAGGTGGAGGGTGTTCCCAGGAGCAGCCAGTGCAGAGGCCCTGCGGCCAGAACCAGCCATCCCAACTTCCCAGATTGTGCCATCACTCCCTCCTGGAAGCCTTCTTTGGTTTTTTCTTCCAGACAGACAGACAGGGTCCTCCCCAGTGGAGCTCCTGGCACTCACTTCCTTGTCTGCCGCTAGCCTTGACCCTGATGTCTGGCTGAACCTTGGCTCCTGAGCAGACCAGGAGAACCTGAGGGTTGAGGAAAACCTCTTCTGGGCCAGGCTGGGCCCACGCAGAGCAGCCCTACCCCGGGAAGAAGGGAGTCTGTCCCTCCTCCTGCCTTCTGGGCCTTTCCATCCCTGCAGTTTCAGAAAGGCCCCTCCTTCAGGAAGCTCTCCCTGATTGCCACATTCACCCTCTTACTCCTGACCTGGCACTCTTGTGCTTGGGGGGTGGCGTGGCAGCTGACTCCTCCCTTTTCCTCCTAGGGACCCAGATGCGCAGCCTGGGGGTGAGCTGATGCTGGGTGGCACAGACTCCAAGTATTACAAGGGTTCTCTGTCCTACCTGAATGTCACCCGCAAGGCCTACTGGCAGGTCCACCTGGACCAGTGAGTAGTGGCTGCAGTCGGCTCCCCTGGGTTCTGTGGGCGGGGGCGGTGTGCGGAGACCCTGGAGGACCCCGGTTCTGCAGGTGGGGGTTGCATGTGGGGAGTAGTGGGAGCTGGGCAAGAAAGAGATGGGGTCAGACCAGCCCTCCATGCCCCTCCTTGCCCCTCCATGCTCCCCATCACCTCCATCCCCTCTATTCCCTCTATCCCTCCATCCCTCCATTTCCTCCATGCCTCTGTGACTCTCCATGACCCACCATCCCTTCTGTCCATCCCTCCATGCCCTCCATCCCCTCCATCCCCTCATCCCTCTGTGACTCTTCATGACCCTCCATCTCCTCCATCCCTCCATCCCCTCCATCCCTCCATCCCTCCATCCCCTCCATCCCTCCATCCCTCCATCCCCACATCCCTCTGTGACTCTCCATGACCCTCCATCCCCTCCATCTGTCTATCCCTCCATCCCTCCATCCCTCCATGCCCCTCCATCCCTTCATCCCCTCCATCCCCTCCATCCCTCTATGCCCCTCCATCCCCTCCATCCCTCCATGCCCCTCACCACCACCTGAGGGTCTCCCACCCCCTCTACCACTCTGTGTCTCCTCTCCCACCCTCTTCCCTGGAGGGCTTACAGCCGGCTGTGCTTCCAGGAGCCCTGAGGGGAGGAGAGTGCAGCCCAGCCAGGGGAGGGGCTCCCAGGGAGGGGCACTGGGCCCCCAGGGCACACTCCAGTCCCGGCAGGGGCTTCACGCCCTGACTCCCCGCAGGGTGGAGGTGGCCAGCGGGCTGACCCTGTGCAAGGAGGGCTGTGAGGCCATTGTGGACACAGGCACTTCCCTCATGGTGGGCCCGGTGGATGAGGTGCGCGAGCTGCAGAAGGCCATCGGGGCCGTGCCGCTGATTCAGGGCGAGGTGAGCGCCGGGGGCTGGGGCTGGGGCTGGGGCTGGCAGGGGGAGCCCCAAGGCCACCACTACCACCCTGACACTGCTGTGACCCCTCTTAGTACATGATCCCCTGTGAGAAGGTGTCCACCCTGCCCGCGATCACACTGAAGCTGGGAGGCAAAGGCTACAAGCTGTCCCCAGAGGACTACACGCTCAAGGTGAGCGGGCAATGGGGTGCCGCACGCCCCAGGTGAGCGGGCGGTGAGGGGGCGCACGCTCCAGGTGAGCGGGCAACAGGTGGGGGGGCGGGTGGTGCTAGGCCTGGGTACTGACCACCAGGGCCGTCCCAGGTGTCGCAGGCCGGGAAGACCCTCTGCCTGAGCGGCTTCATGGGCATGGACATCCCGCCACCCAGCGGGCCACTCTGGATCCTGGGCGACGTCTTCATCGGCCGCTACTACACTGTGTTTGACCGTGACAACAACAGGGTGGGCTTCGCCGAGGCTGCCCGCCTCTAGTTCCCAAGGCGTCCGCGCGCCAGCACAGAAACAGAGGAGAGTCCCAGAGCAGGAGGCCCCTGGCCCAGCGGCCCCTCCCACACACACCCACACACTCGCCCGCCCACTGTCCTGGGCGCCCTGGAAGCCGGCGGCCCAAGCCCGACTTGCTGTTTTGTTCTGTGGTTTTCCCCTCCCTGGGTTCAGAAATGCTGCCTGCCTGTCTGTCTCTCCATCTGTTTGGTGGGGGTAGAGCTGATCCAGAGCACAGATCTGTTTCGTGCATTGGAAGACCCCACCCAAGCTTGGCAGCCGAGCTCGTGTATCCTGGGGCTCCCTTCATCTCCAGGGAGTCCCCTCCCCGGCCCTACCAGCGCCCGCTGGGCTGAGCCCCTACCCCACACCAGGCCGTCCTCCCGGGCCCTCCCTTGGAAACCTGCCCTGCCTGAGGGCCCCTCTGCCCAGCTTGGGCCCAGCTGGGCTCTGCCACCCTACCTGTTCAGTGTCCCGGGCCCGTTGAGGATGAGGCCGCTAGAGGCCTGAGGATGAGCTGGAAGGAGTGAGAGGGGACAAAACCCACCTTGTTGGAGCCTGCAGGGTGGTGCTGGGACTGAGCCAGTCCCAGGGGCATGTATTGGCCTGGAGGTGGGGTTGGGATTGGGGGCTGGTGCCAGCCTTCCTCTGCAGCTGACCTCTGTTGTCCTCCCCTTGGGCGGCTGAGAGCCCCAGCTGACATGGAAATACAGTTGTTGGCCTCCGGCCTCCCCTCTGTGCTGGTGTGCTCTTGTGCCTGGTCAGGGGTGGCTCCAACTTGGGATGGGGAAGGAGGGTGGGTAGTGCGAAGCCAGCACGGCAGCTGACTCGGCAGCACCGGGACAAGCATTTGGGGTGCCCCGGGCCTATGGCCCCCTGCCCTGCCCTGCCCAGCCCATGGGCTCCAGCCTGGTCGGCCAGCGGGGACTGACTTGTTCCCAGGTCTGGAGCAGTAGCCGGCAGGATGTGGCCTTGGCTGGGGTTTCAGGGTGTCTAGTGTGAGTGCCAGCCTTGAGGAGTGATTTCAGGGAGGTGGCCCAGCCAGGCAGCCACGGCACTCGAACAGAGGCTATTTCTGCTCTCGGGGACCCTCAGAGCAGGCCTACCAGTCACCCTCCTCAGCCCTCTTGTCCCGGGAAATAAATGGCCCCAGGTGGCGTGGGGGGGCTGGCCTAGCTGGGCCTTCTTGCCTCCCAGGCCCTAGAAGCGGTTTTGTGTGCAGTGAGCTGAGCTGGCACCAAGCAAGCCTGCCCAGGGTCCCTGGTTGCAGGGATTGGACTCAGAAGTCCCCTCCAGCCACAGCTGCCACAGTCACGGATCCCCGGGCTGATAACGCGGTGCGCTTGTTCCGCTGGGAGGGGAGGGGTTGGGAGCGTGTGCCCGGATGCAGTGGTAGCAGCCCCTGGGGTTCTAATAGGTAAGTAGGAGTTTGTGGGCATGTGGTGGTGGGAGCAGAGTTCCTTTTGGGATCAGTAGCTCTGGAGTCACTTAGAGCCCCCTCGAGCCCCACCCCAACAGGTTAGAAGATGAGGCAGATGTGACATTTGCCATTATCTTGATGCCTCTGCCTGAGGGTGGTGGCTGCCTTGGCCTTCCTCCCAAGGGGCTGCAGGGCTTTCACCCCAGAGCCATGCTACGGCAGACACCTGGAGCAAGAACATTTACCCAGGGTGGCACGGAGGCTTGGAAACACATGCCTGGCGTTTGGCATGCCTGAAATCTGAGCAGAGCTGGGCAGAACTCTGCAGGGCCTGGCAGGGCTTCTGGGGAGACAAATGTCCTGTCATCAGATGCTTTGTGCACTGAGGCCTGGGAGGGCAGAGAGGTACAAGGAGGCAGCCATACCCTGTTGTCCCTGCCCTGTCCCACTCTCCCCATCTCCCTCCTTCTGCAGCTTGTCAGCTCCGTCCAGCTCCCATCTTCATGGCTGCTGCCCTGGGGTTGCTCCGAGGGCTCCCTCCAGCCCGGCAGGATTCTCGGGGCCCTGGAGTCTGACCCCGGGTTCCTCCGTGGTTTTCTAGCTGGTGACTGGACCCTGAGCCTGGAGTCCCCCCCTGTCTAGACTGTGGGTTGTAACCAGAAACCCCTAGCAAAGGGGAAGCTGGAGCCCAGGCCCTTGGGGAGCCCACCAACAGTCACATGAATGCTGGCTGTGCCAAGTTTGGCTCGGCCCTGGCTCTGCCCTGCGACCCCTGGCTCCCTCTCAGTGGTGTTTCCTGGCCTCAGAGGCAGCCCCAAGGTGGCCTGAGGCCGGGAGCAGGCCCTGGCTCCCCTGTCACCTACCCAGTGACCCTGGGCAGGCCCTGGACCCTCGGGCCCAGGCAACCCTCTCCTGCTATGGAGGCCTCCTCACTGCCTGAGGCCTTCAGGGCAAACTGGGGTGGGGCAGCACTGGGCAGAGGCTGTGTGGCAGGCCAGGGTCTCCCAGAAGGTGGTGGCTGGCCGGGTAAGCCCAGCTCAGATGCTGGGGAGACATGGGGGCATGGCACACAGGCCACACTCAGCCTGGGATCAGGCCCCGTCTGAGGACACCGGGTCCAGTTTTCCCTGGGCCAGGCCCTTGGAAAGGAGGAGGGAGTTGGGGAGGGAGAACGGAACCCTGGTTCTCCGACAGGCCCCATCCACCCACGGCCTGTGGGCTCCAGGGAGAGCATGGCCAGGGTGCCCAAGGAGACGAGGAGGAGGCTCCTCATGCTTCATGACCCCTCCTGCTCGTTAGGGTTTATCAACATCATTTAAGATCAGCCTTGTGCTGTGGGTTCCTGGCGTGCTGTGGATAACACTGTGCCCGGGTCAGCCCAGGCATGAGGGGCGGGGACTAGGCTGGAAAGAGGAGGGGCTTGCAGAGGGCTGGGCTTTTCCAGGGGATTAGGGTTCAGAACAGAGGTTTGGGGAGAGAAAGGGTTCAGAGTCAGGCACAGGCAGGCAGACAGGACCCCAAGCAGGACTGGCCTTCCAGACAGGAAAGAGGGTTGCGGAGACACAGGAGGCCAGTTGAGAGTGGCAGAGGAGAAAGGAGTTTCATGGGAGGATGGGGCTTGGAGAGAGATGAGGGAGGGAAAACGGGGGCCGCCATGCATCCTCAGCTTCCGGGGGACTTTGGAGAGGGTCGAGGCTCAGTGGGAGCTGGAGGTTGGTGAAGAGGACCCAGCTCAGGGAACCTGCGTGGTGAAGTGGGGGACTTGGAGGGAGGGAGGGAAGGCTGGAGTTTTCTCCATGGGGAGGAACTCATGGGGACTGTTATGGGGATGGAAGATCAGCTGGCGTCAAGCATACCGTGAGAGTGAGGATGTGGTGGGGTAGCGGAGGCGGCTGAGGCTGGGAGGACAGGCATTGGTCAGGAAAAATGATTCACAGGGAACAAAGTATCCTCAGGGGACCAGGCTCAGAAGGGCTGGTAGGGATCACAGAGAGGCTGTGGGCAGGTGAGTAAACCAGCCTCCAGGGAGACAAGTGTCCTTAGCAGCCAGGACCTCAGCACAGGACCAGAGCTCGGAACGGGACACTTTGCCCTGCGAGCAGATGGAGCATGACCTGGGGTCTGCGCAGGAGAGGCCACATTCTCCCAGACTCTGGGAGTGAACTGGAGTGGGGCCCCGGCTGGGTGAAGTCAGACTCCAGGAAAGGGGGCAGGAGCTCCGATGGGCAGGAGTGGGCTCAGCCAGGAAGGAACAGAGTAGGGGGTGCTGAAACTTACCGGAAGGCCTGGACTTGGTGGGCTAAGGAGGGAAGGGACTGGAGGGTGGTCTTGGGGGCCTTGTGGACTTGGTTAGGGACAGGATGGGGCAGAGACGGGCAGTCAGGTAGGGGGCCTGCTGGGGCTCAGGGGACTGGAGCTTCGTCAGGAGGGGACTGAGCTGCTGGAACTGAGAGTCAACAGGCCAGAAGGGCAGGACCCAGGGGCGGGGGTCCCTGGAGGCAGCAGGGCCCAGGCGCTGGGGTGGAGCGCCATGGGGAGAGTGGGAAGAGGAAGAGGGTCTCTCTTGGGGAGGCAGATGGGGAGGGTTCCGGGAGCGTCCAGTCTTCCACGGGGCTGGGGGCTCCGCGAGAGGGATGGGGCCGGGTGGGGTGGGGAGGAAGACGCAGTGGGTCCGGGGAGATGGAGGTGGCGCGGACACCCTGGTCGGGGGCTGTAGGGGTCCCATCCCTGCGGGACCTTGCAACTCCCCAGGGTCGCGGCTTCCGAGGCCCCCACCCTCCTGGCAGGAGGAGGCGGAGGCGGGGAGGTGGCTGTGCCCGCTGCCGCCGTGAGTCAGGCTCTGGGCTGCAGCCGCGCGGCCGGTCTGGCGCTGCGGAGGGAGCGCAGGCGGCGGGGGAGGCAGCGGCGCCGCCGCCGAGCCCCGCGCGCTCCCCACCCCCTCAAGGTTGGGCCGCTGGGAGGCGGATCAGTGGACAGACAGCGGCCCGCGGGACGGCGGAAGGACGCGCGCACCGAGGCTCAGGGGGTCCGGCCGCGCGCCGAGGAGTCGCTTGTAGGTGAGGAGGCGCCGTCCGGGGGGCTGCGGCAGACCCGGATGGGGCTGGGGGCTGCAGAGCCTCGGCCGCAGACCCCCCGGCGAGCGCCGCACGGGAGCTGGGAACGCGGGGTGGCGCAGAGCGCGAGCGACTTGGTGCCTCGTTGGAGAAGTGTTCATTTCACAGCCTGTTATTGTGCGTCTATGTATGGCCCGGGGGTGCGTGGCTCCGGGCAAGTGTGCGCGCTTGGGGTCCCCAGGTTGGAGGTGGGGGGCGGTGCGCACGAGTTGGAGACCCCGCACCTGTGCCGGTTCTTGGTGCTCGTGGCTGAGCCTGCATCGCCTTGTGTGGGGAGTTGTTTACTCGTCAATGGCTCTGAGCGCGCCCGCGGGTGCGCCCCGGGGTCTGGAGAGCCCGCGGTGCAGCCCGCGGTGGAGCCCGTGGCGGTGCCCGTGGCGGTATCGGGTGTCCGCGGGCGCCGTGGGCAGGTGCTTTGGCCGCTCTGCTAGCTCTGCCGGTTGGCGGCTGAGGCAGCGTCGCTGTGGGTCCGGCGCCCCGTGTGTGCGGGGTTGTTTGGGGTGCTGGGGCACTCTGTGTTTTGCAACAGTGTCAGTCTCAGCGTTGGTGTGCTTCGGGGCGGGGGGTGCTGTTGTGTGTGTCAGTGGGTGAGTGTTTATGCGCAGATGGCGAAGTGATGAAAGCCCCAGGTCCCTGCCAAGGCTGCTGCGAAGGGCTTTGGCATCGTCCGTGGCCGCCGAGGCCCGGGGCGGGTGGGGGAGGCAGGTGGCAGGCTGGCAGCTGGCGGCCCCCGCAGGGATTTCCGTCTCCACTGGGGCTGTTCTCGGAGCTGCTGGGCGTGAGGGTGGGTGCTGGCCGGTAGGCCGGGCCCAGCTTGCTCTCACTTTCTCCTCTCCAGGCCCAGGGCCCCGGCCAGTGCCCAGCCCCGCTGGGAGACCCGGCCAGCACCACGGACGGCGCCCAGGAAGCCCGAGTCCCCCTGGACGGGGCCTTCTGGATTCCGAGGCCCCCGGCAGGTTCGCCCAAGGGCTGCTTCGCTTGCGTGTCCAAGCCCCCTGCCCTGCAGGCTCCGGCGGCCCCTGCCCCTGAGCCCTCGGCCTCTCCCCCGATGGCGCCCACACTGTTCCCCATGGAGTCCAAGAGCAGCAAGACCGACAGCGTGCGGGCTGCCGGCGCGCCCCCTGCCTGCAAGCACCTAGCCGAGAAGAAGACGATGACCAACCCCACGACCGTCATCGAGGTCTACCCGGACACCACCGAGGTGAACGACTATTACCTGTGGTCCATCTTCAACTTCGTCTACCTCAACTTCTGCTGCCTGGGCTTCATCGCCTTGGCCTACTCCCTCAAAGTGAGCCCGGGCGGTGGCAGGGGGCAAGGGCGGGCTAGAGAGGTGGTGCCGGCAGGACAGTCCCTGGCTGTGGGCGCTCGGCCCCTCTCCCTCTCAGGGGAGCACACGGGTAGAACAGGTGCAGTTGAGGGGCCAAGGGATCAAAGGACAGTGAGGGGTCCTGATGGTGGGTCCCAGAGAGGTCGGGGTACTGGCTAGGTCTGGGCGGGCAGGGGTCTGCCCTTCCCTCTCCTGAGCCATCAGGGCCTGGCTTTCTGCTCAGCCAGCTCAGCGGAACCTGCAGGAGGGGCTGGGAGCGGGGGTTGAGGGGGGCGGGGTTGCTCAGGCTCAGGGGACATGGGACGTAGACCTGGGCAGCAGCCACTTCTCCGTGTGCAGGGATGGGGCCAGCGTGGGGCTGAAGAGGGCTTGGAATCCTACCCCTATGGAAAGGAAGAGGGGCCACCTTCTTATCCAGCTCCTCACCCGGAGCCCAAGGGCAGGTGCTTACACAGCTCTGCCAAGCCCTGCGTGGAGACCAGACCTGGGTGGCCAGGGCAGCCCAGGGAAGAGGGGTGTAAACAGGTCCTGCACCTCCCCAGCTCAGGGCTGCGAGAAGAGCTGGCTGGTAGCAGAGCAGGTGCTGGGCAGACATGACCCTGTCCCCCTGAGGGCAAGGTGGAGCAGCAGGGACTGAGATGGTGGGAGGGAGGCTGTGATGGGCTCACAGTGAGAGGGGCAGCCGTGTGTCAATGTGTCTGGTGCTGGAGCCCTTCCTGGGGAAGGGAGCGTGAGGGCGAGGGCAGGCCCCGGTGCCCTCCTCCCCACCCCGACGCACCGGAAGGAAGGGCTTGGCTCACGTTTAGCCTCATCATCACATTTCCCCAGCCCAGACTTGAGTGGCCAAGGCCAGATGTACTCCACCAATGCAGCTGCCCTGCCGGGTGGGGGAGAAGACAGGGGATGCAGGGAGAGAAGAGGCTGGGCAGAGGCTGGCTGGGAGGAAGGACGCCTGGCCAGCTTCGCCTCTGCTCCATCCTTGAGCTCGAGCCCCACCCCGCCCGGCATCGCAACTGCGGTCGGCGTTCCCCTCCTGCTCCTGACTCATCATGATTGCCAACCCCGGCGTTGCCCACTGGCACGGGCACCTTCAACCTCGGGCCTGCGGATCCATCCCTGGGCTCTGACACAGGGGCCTGTGTGTGAGCCAGCACGTGTCAGTGTATGTGTGTACTCACGTGTAATTGCATAAGTGGGCATGTACTGTGAGTGTAACTATGTGTGCATGTGAATGCATTGTGTGCATGAGTGTGTACATATATTTTTGTGTGTGCATGTGTGTGCATGTGTATGACTGTGTGTAGGCAGGAGTGTATTTGCATGTGTGTACATGTGAATGCATATGTGTGCATGTGTGTAATTACGTGGGTGGGCATGGTGTGTGTAAATGTGTGTGCACAAGTGTGTGAGGGCGTGTGTGCATGTGTGGTGTGTGTACCTGTGTGCATGTGTGTGTAATTGCATGTGTGCATGGTGTGTGTAAATGTGTGTGCACAATGTGTGAGGGTATGTGCATGTGCGCTGTATGTACCTGTGTGCACGTGTGTAATCACACGTGAGTGTGCATGGCACATGTAAATGTGTGTGCACAAGTGTGTGGGGTGTGCCTGTGTACTGTCTGTATGTACCTGAGTGTGCACGTGTGTGTAATCACACATGAGTGTGCATGGCACGTATAAATGTGTGTGCACAAGTGTGTGTGGGGTGTGCCTGTGTACTGTCTGTATGTACCTGAGTGTGCACGTGTGTGTAATCACACGTGAGTGTGCATAGCACGTATAAATGTGTGTGCACGGGTGTGTGAGGGTGTGTGCATGTGTGCTGTGTGTATGTACCTGAGTGTGTGCATGTGTGTGTAATCGCACGAGTGTGCATGGCACGTGTAAATGTGTGTACACAAGTGTGTGAGGGTGTGTGCCTGTGTGTTGTCTGTACCTGCATGTGCATGTGTGTAATCACACGTGTGTGGTTCATGTAAATGTGTGTGCACAAGTGTGTGTGAGTGTGTGCATGTGTGATGTATGTACCTGACTGTGCATGCGTGTGTAATCATACGTGAGTGTGCATGGTACGTGTAAATGTGTGTGCACAAGTGTGTGAGAGCATGTGTGTGTGGTGGTGAGTATTCCTGCGTGTGTGTGTGTGTGTAGAAGCAACAAAGGAAAAGGGCCCCTGGAATTGGAGGTCATGCTTCCGACCAGCTCCAGCTGTGGCTCCCCAGACCAATCCTGAGCAGAAAGCTCCAGTGTTGGGGGGCTGAAGCTGCAGCTGGTGGAGCTCTGCCTCCCCTCTCTCTGTGCCCTGCCAACAGCCTGCGGACATGGGTCTGGCTGCCTGGGCTCCCGTCCGGAAGCTGTCCCTCCTCCCGCTTGGCTCAGGCTGTGGCTGGCCGGCTGGCATGGGGCAGGCCCATCTGGCTCGGGTTGTAGGTAGGTCAGGGATTTCTGGATGGTGCCGGGTTTCTGCAGGGGTTGGGGGTGGTGTGAGGTTGACCCTTCTGAGGGTCAGGGACGGCTCATTACACCTCCTCCCAAGCCTGCTCCTCCTGTGTCCTTCCTGCGGTGGGCGGGGGCAGCCAGGGCAGAGAGGCTTTGGGGCATACCTGGGAGTGGGTGCAAGGTGACCTGTCTCCATCCTGGGCAGAAGGGAGGACGGAACTGGCTGGCTGTGGACCCCACGCCTGGGAATGCATCCATCTGGTCACCCAGCTGCAGGTCTCCTGACCTGCACCCTACACCAAGGACGCGGGGTGGCCCTAGGTTCAGAAGGTCTTGGCTAAAATCCGAGCTCTTGGGACAGACAAGCCATCTTGCCTCACTGAGCCCCTGTTCCCTCATCTGTTCACAAAACAAATAGAAACAAAACAACATTCAAGCCAGCACACGTGAGCAGGGCGGAGGCCCGCATGCAGTGGTATGAACTAGACAGTGTGTCCTTGCCTGCCCCCACGTGTCCATCCACCCGTCCAGCCATCCATCCACCCCCCCCACCCACATGGGCCAATTCGGCTCAACGCAGGCTGGATCTGCAGCGCAGAGATTGAAGCCTTATTTTGCACAGCCTGGTGTCCGGGGAAGGCAGAGATACAAAAAGTCAATTCTCCATTCATGCCGCCTCCACACACTGTCTCCTGATGACCACTGGCTCCCGCGGTCAGCTGGATGATGGCCAAACGTCTCATCTCAGCATCCAAGCTGCCTTTTTAACCCTTCTGGCCTCAGCGGTTCCCCGCCCCGGTCACTCGGCAAATGTGATGTGAGCGATGTGCACATCCTCGGCCTGGAGAGCTTTTGTGAGATCTGGGTCTCTCTTCTGCAAAGCCTCCAGAGACAGTCCTGCCCCAGCCACATCTGCTCACCCCAGCCAATCTGTGCCCAAGGCAGAGCTGGCCAACAGATGGGTCAGGACATGTGGGTCTAATGGGTGGGTGGACAGAGGACACATGGTGAGACGGAAGAAGCACCACAGTGTTTCAGAAAAGGAATACTTCATTCCCAGTTTGGGGTGAGGCTGGAAAACTTCTAGAAGGAGGCAGCAATTTCACTGGGCCTTGAAGCTTGGTGAGGGGAAAGGTGTTTCAGGCGGGGAAAATGGCATAAACTAAGACACGTAGGTGGGGCAGTCTAGGGGGTCGGCAAGGCCCCTGTCCTCAATGGGAGATGGAAGACATTCCTGGAAGAGTGCCTGAGGCAGTGCGGTGAACGGGTTTGAAAACCTCGTGAGGGGCTGGGCTCTCATCTGTAGGAGCCATGGAAAGAGAAGGATATGATCAGGGCCATGAAATCTGCAACCAGTGTAGGGGAAGGAGACAAGACAAGCCTCGAGGCAGAAGGTTCAAGTCCCAGTGTGGTGGTCCAGGTGGGAGAGCTTGCGAGCTGGGGATGGGGGTGGGAGAGGAGGAACAGGTGTGGCTAGGACACAGCAGCTGCTAGATGTGAGCCCAGGAGGCTGTGAGACCTTCCAGTGACAGGGCGGTCAGAAAGAACAGGTTAGGTGGGTGGGTTCTGCGTTGGGTTTTGGATGTACACACTCACCCACTCACTCCTTTCTGAATATCAGCATCACACATTTATCTTTCCCATCCTCCATCCATCTATCATTCATCCATCTTCCATCCATCCATTCTCCATCTGTCCATCCATCCATATGCATCCATCCATCCATCCTCCATTCAGCCATCCTCCATCTGTCCTTCATCTATCCATCCACCCTCCATCCATCCGTCTATCCATCTTCCATCCATTCATCCATCCATCCTCCATCTGTCCATCCTCCATCCATCCATCCATCCATCCATCTTCCGTTTGTCCATTCTTCATCTGTCCATCCATCCATCCTCCATCTGTCCATCCATCCATATCCATTCATCTATTCATCCTCCATCCATCCATCTTCCATTTGTCCATTCTTCATCTGTCCATCCATCCATCTTCCATTTGTCCATTCTTCATCTGTCCATCCATCCATCCTCCATCTGTCCATCCATCCATATCCATCCATCTATTCATCCTCCATCCATCTATCCATCCATCCTCCATCCATCCTCCATCCATCCATCCATCCGCCCTCCATCCATCCTTCATCCATCCATCCATCCACCCTCAATCCATCCATCCATTTATCTTTCATCCATCCATATGTCCATCCATCCATCCATCCTCCATCTGTCCATCCTCCATCCATCTATCCATCCATCCTCCATCCATCTATCCATCCTCCATCTGTCCATCCATCCATCCATCATCTGTTCATCCTCCCTCCGTCCATCCACCCAAACTTATATTCAATCCATCCTCCCACATTTCCTTCAACCCCTCCAAATAGCCACCCAACCTTCCATCCACCTGTGTTCACACATGATCATTCAGGCTCCCCTCCCTGCCCTGCTCTCCCATCCTGTCCCCACCAACCTTATGCATCAACCCACTAAACTATTCATCTAGTCTCACTTTCTCAGTAATTGCCCACTTTCCTTCCAAGCCCTACCTGTCAATAGACCCAATCATCCCTCCATCCTGTGACCTCATGTGGCAACACATCTATTCACCCTTCAAGACATCCACCCGCCCTTCCTCCTGCTGCTCCCCTAGCTGAGTCACACTCACCCATTCACTGAGTGCCTCCTTCATACTCAGCGTGCCTCAGCTCACCCCAACTGTCAGCTCAATCCAGCCACTGTCACTTTCTCTATTCCCTCCTTCCTCATCCACCTTGTCTCTAACCGCTCATGCATAAATTTCTCACGTTCTTCTTTTCCCTCTCATTTTTTTCTTTTCCTTTCTTTTGCCCCACTTTTCGGCCATGCATTCTCCCCTTCTATCCCCTTCATTCTTTCTACCATCCGCCTACGTGCTTTACTAATATAGCTAATCATTCAGCTGTAAAATGTCCATTCTCTCTTGTTTCCTCTCAGGCATGTGTCCACCCACCCCACCACTCATCTCGTTGACCATCTGACCTTCCAGGCACATCCATCCCATCTTTCCTTCCTTGGCTTTATTCAGGTATCCCATTCACCTGCCTCCAAGTTGAGTGGCATGAGCCTGTCCAGCCTGCTCTAATGAATTATCATAGATTAGTTGGTTTATAAACACTGGGTATTTACTTCTCACTGTTCCGGAGGCTCGAAGTCTGAGATCAGGGTGCCAGCATAGTCAGGTTCTGATCAGGACCCTCTTCTGGGTTGCAGGCTGTCAACTTCTGTGTCCTCATTTGCCAGTAGGGCCGAGGGCCTCCCTGGGGCCCCTTTTATAAGGGTGCCAATCCCACGCATGACCTAATCCTCTCAAGAGCCCCACCTCCTACCATCACTTTAGGGGTTAGGATTTCCATACAGGAATTTGGGGGACATGAACAGTCAAACCATAACATTGCCCTTTCATCCACTTATATGTCATCCCTTCCTTGTGTTTCCTCTCCCCTGTTCCTCCAGTGACCTGTTCCATCCATCTCTATAGCCAGAGCCAGTTCCTCTCTGTACCCACATCTGCCCACCCCTGCTCTTTTTCCTTCACACATTCACCCATCTGTCATCCATCAATATTCACAGTCATAGAAGAACTGCCTGGCCACCTAGCCCTCAATTCATCATCAGAATGTCCTTCCATTTTCCTTCCTTGCTTGCTTCGATGGACTCACCCAACTCCCAGCCATCAGCCTGTTCTCTCTCCCGCTCTCCTCCTCCCTCTCCTCTACCCACCCAGCACCATCCATCTCCCCTGCCCCCACATGGCTGCCTCATCCTCTATGTCCCACCTCTGCTTGTACTTTTCAGCCCATTCCGCCACCTAGCACCCTGGTGCCCCTTTGCCTTCCCTGCTTCTTGGCCCACTCTTCTCGGGCCCGTTTCCTAATTGCTTTTGACTCCCTAACCTTCTGACACTGCAGGGCTCCAGGGCTCAGCTCTCCATCCTCTCCTTCCTTCATGTTCACTCCCTTGGTGCCCCATCCAGTCCCATGGTTTTAGTATTAGGCCGTTCTTGCACAGCTGTAAAGAAATACCTGAGAGAGAGTAATTTATAAGAAAAGAGGTTTAATTGGCTCATGGTTCGGCAGGCTGTACAGGCAGCATGGTGCTGGTATCTGCTTCTGGGGAAGCCTCAGGAGGCTTCCAGTCATGGTGGAGGGCAAAGTGGGAGCAGGCATCTCACATGGCAAGAGTGGGAGCAAGGGAGAGATAAAGGGGAGGCACCTCACAAGGGAGGGATAAGGGGGAGGCACCTCACACTTTAAAGCAACCAGCTCTCAGGAATTCACTCACTATGGTGAGGACAGCATCAAGCCATGAGATCTACACGCATGAGCCAAACACCTCCCACCAGGCCCTCTCCACCACTGGGGATCGCTGCAACATAGATTTGGCAGGGACATGTGTTCAAACTATATCAGTTTTAAATACCATCTTTTTGCCGATGCTTCTCAAATTTATATCTCTGCCCTAGACCTCATCTCTGAACTCCAGACTCACACAAATTGCTATGCCAAATATCTGCTATATATCTAAAGGGCATTCCTACCTTGACATGTCAGAAATTGAACTGCTAAACGAGTCTTCCTTTTGCAGCCTTCTACAACTCCCTGTTCAGTTGATCAAACCCCAAAAACCTTGAGATCATGTCAAGTTCCATGCTTTTTATCACATTCTACACCTGATCCCAGCAAACACCATCAGCTTCACCTTCCACGCCTGTCCAGGAGCTGGTCAGGTCTCACTACCTTCACCACTGCTGCCCTGGTCCAAGCCACCCTCACCCTCCCCTGGACCATTCAATCCACCTCTCTCTGCCTGTTCAACTATCTGTTCTTTTTTTTTTTTTTTTTTTTTTTTTGAGATGGAGTCTTGCTCTGTTGCCCAGGCTGGAGTGCAGTGGCACAATGTTGGCTCACTGCAACCTACGCCTCCTGAGTTCAAGCGATTCTCCTGCCTCAGCCTCTTGAGTAGCTGGGATTACAGGTACACACTACCACACCTGGATAATTTTTGTATTTTTAGTAGAGACAGGGTTTCACCATGTTGGTCAGGCTGATCTCAAACTTCTGACCTCATGATCTGCCTGCCTTGGCCTCCCAAAGTGCTGGGATTACAGGCGTGAGCCACCATGCCTGGCCCCTGCCATCTGTTCTTACACAGCGGCCAGCACTGCCTCGTTCACATATGTCATATCACGTTCATCTTTCCGGCTCTAAATGACTAAAAAGCACCCACAGAGCCTGCACCGTGCTCCTGGATGGTCTCCTCTGACCGTATGTCCTCCCCTTCTCTCTCTGTGATCTGCTGCCCCTACTCTGCACCTAGTCCTCAGAAGCACCGGGCCCTGCACAGACAGCTCTATGCTCCCAGGACATGCCTCCCTGCAGATGAACACATGGCCGAGTCTGTCACATTCTTCCGATCTTTCCTCAAATACCTCCCACCCCACAAGGTCTTCCCTGGCCACCGAGCTAGACTTGCACCTCCTACAGCACTCTCTGTTCCCCTGAGCCTGGCCACCAAGCTAGACTTGCACCTCCCACAGCACTCTCTGTTCCCCTGAGCCTCTTCAGGTTTCTTTTTAGCACACTGAGCACATTACATATTTGACTTATTTATCGTGTTTATTTTCTGTATCTTCTCCCTACAATGTAAGCTGCGTGAGGACAGAGACTCTGTTTTATTCCTTGTGATATACGCAGGACCTAGAACAGCAACTACTCAGAGCAGACACTAAGTAAATATTGATTGATGATTGATTGATTAAGGAATCTGTCTACCCATCTACCATCCAGTGGTCTACACTACACCAACAACCCTCCTTCCTTTCTCTTATCCACCAATCTTAGCCATCCAAAACACATCATAAATTCATTGATCTACCTGTTCCACCCATTCAGCATATGGATCTGTCCCAGCCATCCAGCATCCGTTACTATATCCAGCCATGGACCTGCTCCAGCCATCCAGCGTGCATTCAGAAACCCATCTGTGCACCTGCCCTTCCAGTCTGGCATCCGTTCCTATATTCCTGTAACCACCTGTCCATTCATTCAAACCACGTGGAGTTCCATTCTTTTTTTTTTTTTTTTTTTTTTTTTTTTGAGACGGAGTCTCACTCTGTCACCCAGGCTGGAGTGCAGTGGCACGATCTCAGCTCACTGCAACCTCTGCCCTCCGAGTTCAAGCGATTCTCCTGCCTCAGCCTCCCAAGTAGCTGGAATTACAGGTGCCTGCCCCTGCTAATTTTTTTGTATTTTTAGTAGAGACGGGGTTTCACCATCTTGGCCAGGCTGGTCTTGAACTCCTGACCTCATGATCCACCCGCCTCGGCCTCCCAAAGTGCTGGGATTACAGGCGTGAGCCACCATGCCTGGCCTCCATTCTTTTTATCACACTGCAAGCCTGATCCCAGCAAACACTGTCAGCTCCACCTTCAACACATGTCCAGAAGTTGGCTCTGTCTCATCACCTTCTCTGCCGCTGCCCTGGTCCAAGCCATCATGGACACATGAGCACACATTCTCGTGTATTCACCTATTTGCCTGTCCTGCCCACCGAACATGCTCTTACATATCCACACATCACCTCCCATCCAGCAGCCGTTCACTTACCCGCTTACCCAGATGCCCCACCCATGTGGCATACACTTGCATATCCATCTGTCCACTTGGACATATATTCATATGTTCGTCTATGCACCTGTTACCCCACCCAGCATATACAGACGGTCCCCATCTTATGACGGTTCGACGTATGCTTTTTCAACTTCACAATGGCAGGAAAGCCATAGGCACCCAGTACACTCCTCAGCTTACCAGGCTTGTGAAAAACACATCATACGAAAATGCGTATGAAACTTTTACCTTATGACACTTTAAACTTATGATGGGTTTGTTGGACTGTAGCCCCATTGTACATCAAGAAGCATTGTATTCATAAATTCAGCTCTCTCCCTGTCCCACTCATCCAACGTACATTTTATATCCGTCCAGCCCTCCTCCCCACCCAGCACAAGTTTCTACATCCATTTCTCTGTCCCATACACCCAGTCTCCATCCGTATAACCCCTCAGCTTCATCCACCCACCTTCCCGATCATTAGATCACTCCCCCACCCTCCTCTTCCCTATCTTCTTTAGCTGTGGCCGCCATTTTCTATGCACCCAATACCCCAGCTGCCTCAGCCTCCTGCCCTCCGCTCCATCCGCTTTTGACACCCAGTGTTTCATCCTCCCTCTGCCACGTTATTCCTCACTCCAAGTATCCAACAAAGAAATCAAGACCAAAAGTTTTTTTAGGAATTCAGAGTTGTCTTGATATAAGAAAATCAATAAATATAATCTACCATATTAATGAATTAGAGAAGGAAACAATAGTTTATCTTGTGGAAATTCTAACGCAATCATAGACCTCTAATGATAAGATGAGCATTATCCTTCCTGGTACCTTGAGGTCAAGAATGAGACTCAGCTGCTTGTCCTCATTGCTGCTGTCTGGAAACGCTCTGGAATCTTCTTTGCCTCCATGAGAGGAGCTTACTTTGGCCCAGGCACTGTGGTGGAGTTTCACATCCATCAATTCATTAAGCCTTTCCCACAACCCTGGGAGGCAGCGCTGTCGTCATCTTCATGTTACAGATGAGGAAATGAGGAGCAGAAGAGTAAGTTGTTAGCTGGCCTAAGGCTGTACAGTCTACGACCCGCAGAATCAGGATTGAAATCCAGTCAGTGTTTCTGCATCTGTGCTTTAACCTCTATGCTGTGCTGTCTAGGAGTAGACTGCAAGGAGGAAATAGAAATACTAGTATTTGCTGTAGATATGATTTATTATTAAGAACACGTGGTCAGTTAGTACAATATGATAGTTTAGCTGGATACAAAATCAGTTAGACATGCAATTTTAAAATATACTTTTACATTATAATAAAAACAATAAATAGACTAAGACTAAGTCTAACAAAAGATGTAATAGCTCTTTCTGGAGAAAGTTATACAACTTTATTTTAGCAAAGGCATCAAATAAGACCTCAATAAGTGGGTGACACATTCAGTCCTTATAAAGGAATACAAATTTCATTGCAGATGTCAGTTTCCTCCAAAACCACTAGCATAAGAACCCGATAAGAGCATAGACTTTCTTCCTGCCTCCTTCCTTACCCTGAATCCTCAATACCTGCTTCTTCCCATCTTCAATCTCTCCATTTTGATAGCACGTTCTGTACAATTTATCTTCCAAGTCACCTACTTGCCCATTTGCCCTTGTTCCCTCCCTTCCCTTCCCTCTCCAACTTTTTTCCAGCTCCACTCCATTGACTCCACTCCATCCATTCCATCCATCCACTCTATCCGTTCCATTCACTCCACTCCATCCACTCTATCCATTCCATTGACTCCACTCCATCCATTCCATCCACTCCACTCCATCCATTCCACCCA
The DNA here is from genome assembly GCF_000001405.40 of Homo sapiens. Taxonomy (NCBI): domain Eukaryota; kingdom Metazoa; phylum Chordata; class Mammalia; order Primates; family Hominidae; genus Homo; species Homo sapiens. The sequence continues at coordinate 1,736,720 of NC_000011.10, read as the reverse complement.
CTCCACTCCATCCATTCCACCCACTGCACTCCATCCATTCCACCCACTTCACTCCATCCATTCCACCCACTTCACTCCATCCATTCCATCCACTTCACTGCATTCACTCCATCCATTCCATCCACTCCACTCCATCCACTCCACTCTATTTCACTTCACTGCATTTGCTCCACTTCATTCCATTCCATTCCACTCCACTGAATTGCGTTCTAGCTTTCCCTTCCCCACTCCCTCTATCTTCTTTTTTCTCTCCTCTCCCTTTGTTCTTTCCAGTATTCTGCCTCCTCCATCCATCCACCCACAGGCCAATCCATTTATGCTTCCATTCTCCCACTCAATTACACATCCATCACCCTGACCACACATCTATCCTCTGTCCATCCAGTCTTCCGACCTAGGTCTCCTGTCCATCTGCCTAACCTGCACACTGAGGGATCCAGGCATTAGTCAGCCCCAGTATCTATCTGCCCACCTTCCTTCTTTCAGCCCAGCTCCAATCTACTAAGGCAAAGACTTTTTGCCCCTTCCTGTCTTCCTCTCTTTCCATTCTCCTTCCCTTCCTCATCCTAGAACTTGGTTTCTTCTTACAGCAAACACGCACATATTTGTGGATGTGATAGAAGGAAAGAGTGCTGAGGAGGGGAGGGCCCTATAATTCATTCTGAATGAAGGTTGCCTCTTGGAAATGAGTCCAGCTCAGTCCACTGCCTCCCCAAGACTTCCTGAGTGCCAGCCCACTCCTTTCGCCTTAATATTCCTCCCCAAAGGCCCTGTGGACTGCTGTCTCTCCTGCCAATGCACAACGCTCATCCTCAAGGCATCCCAGTTAATTTTAAACGAGGCAGAACCAATCAAATTAGGAGACAGTTGTGTCGCCCCATCCTCCAATTATATCCTCTCTGAGGCCAACTTCTTTTATTTTAATCATTTAAAACTTGCAAAAAGAAAAAACAAGGAATTTCTTTATATCCTTCACCCAGTTGCCCCAATTTTTTAACATTTTACCATATTTGCTTTTCTCTATATATATAAATACATCTCACCTACTTTATAAACCAGTTGAGGGCTGAGAGGTTTCAGACATGACGCCCCCGTGCCCCAAGTTCATCCGTGTACAGTGCCCCAGGGCAGAGACATGTTCCTCTAGAACCATCGTTCATTCGTCAGCTCTCGGAAACAAAGCACTGGTACTGTGCTGAGCACTGTGGCACCGGCTCTGCTGGGCTCCTGGATGCTCCAAGGCCCTGCTCCCTGGCTGACTGCCCATTTCCTGTCCTCCTCCCGGCTTCAGGTGCGAGACAAGAAGCTTCTCAATGACCTGAATGGAGCCGTGGAGGATGCAAAGACGGCCCGGCTGTTCAACATCACCAGTTCTGCCCTGGCAGCCTCCTGCATCATCCTCGTCTTCATCTTCCTGCGGTACCCCCTCACCGACTACTAAGGCCCGCCAGGCACGGCTGCTGGCGGAGACAAGCACTGAGACATGTTTATTCTCATGGTCCCTGAAACGCAGGATCCCATGAGGTTGGGGCAGGGCAGGGCTTCTTGTCCTGGGGCCCCCTTGAGCTGTGAACTGGGCAGCAAGGCCATCAGAAGCTGAGTACAGCAAGGGGGCAGTGAGCTTGGCCCTCAGTCCACCCCCTCCGCCTCCTGGCCTCCACCCTGCCTGTGTCTGGGGCCTGGGGGCTTCTCCCCTCGCTGCTGCACCCTGGCTTCCAGCGTCTGTGTCCCTGCCCTCACGTGCCCCTTCCCAGGCTCCTGGGGCCCCTTGGACCTGACACCTAGCAGGAAGGGCTTATGCAAAATTGTCCCAGGTTGGGAGGACTCACTCTGTGCTCCCCGACCCTGCCTCCTCCACGATGTGACCCCGCTCAGAGCCCTTGTGTCTGTGAACTTTCAATGAAATACCCATGCAGCTCCAGCCCAGCCTTCTACTTTGTGTCCCTGGCAGGGCCTGGAGAAGTCTGGAGGCTTTGCAATCCTCCCTCAGGAACTGCCTGGCGGTCAGGGCCCCGGGTGCTGTGTCCCAACAGACTGCAGGGGACGGTCTGCTCCATCACAGCTGTGCCAGACAGTGAATGGGAAGGGGGGGCATTTGGTGGAGGTACCCCAAACTCGAGTCACTTAGAGGGTCAGGCAGCCTCCTGGGGGGACGGAAGGGGGTGGGGCACAGCCTCAGCTGCCTGCATTGGCCAAATCAGAGCAAAGGAAACCACAAATTCACTCGGAAGGAAGCAGCAGGCAGAGACGATAGACGCCTGGCTAACCCCTGTCCCTCCTGGAGGGCTCTGGGACCTGGACAGGCCCCTTTACCTCTCTCGTGCCCATCTCCTTAGCTGTAAAATAGGAAAATGGCCTTTCACTTCTATAATCACTGTGAAAATGAACGGAAGATGCCTTTCAAAGGCCGAGGCCAGCGCCCTGACGGCCCATGGCATGTGCAGTCCACAATGTGGGAGGCAGGATGCAGGGATGGGCTCTGTCCCCTTGGAACTCAGGCACAGTCATGGGGGTGCCGGTCAGCCCTGAAGACAAGCTGATGAGGGTGCACTAGGAAAAGTGCAGGGCATCGGCGAGGCACACGAAGGAGGTGGGGAGGTGAAGATGGAGAAGAAGCCGAGGCAGTGGCCATGGGTGTGGAGCTTCGCGCTGTGGGTGCCCAGCTGGTCTGGGAAACCGCAGGAAATCCCGCAGCTCAGGTGCGCAGTGGGAAGGACTTGCTATTCCGTGGGAAGGCAGGCAAACCTTCCCAGGGAAGGGGCATGGCCGTGCGCCTCATGTTTTGGGAAGCTCGTGCCCTCTGGGGTAGCGAGGCCAGCTTGGAGGGGAGTCCAGTGGACAGAGGTGGATGCAAGTGGAGGGAGCTGAGCCTGGGCTGGGGCTGGCAGCAGAGGGCTGGACAGCAGGGCGCCTGCGTGGCAGCTGTGCAGTCAGTGGGGTTGACTGGTTTGGAAGGTAAGGTGGGGGAGAAGCCCGGAGGATTCCTGTCCCTTGACTTGGACAGCCCAGTGGAGAGGGCTGTGTACCAAGGGCAGGAAACCAGGGAGAAGAAGATGTTGACTTTAAGATACCAAGCAGAGAAGGGAAGAGCCTTCTGGGCTGGAGACGTGGGGTGCCTCAGAAGGGAGGACCTTGAGCTAGCAGCAGATGGGACAAACGCAGGGGACAGGGCACAGCCGTGGCAGGAGTGCAGCGAGCAAGATTCTGGTCACAGTCCTGACCCAGAAACCTGCAGAGGAAGGGAGGGTGGCCAGCACCTGCCCGTGGGCCTGGGGTGCAGCCCAGGCAGAGGTGGATGGAGGGGGTGCTCAGGGAAGAGGGGAGGGGAGTGTGTGACCTCAAAATGGGAGGGCTTGGGGGTCAGAGTCGAGAGAGGGGACAGGGTGGGGACCATGTGGGACTCTTGAGCACTGACCCTTGAACCCAGGCAGTGGTGGGATGGGAGGGCAGGAGGCGGCGGGCTGCGAGGCTGATGCGGGGCTGCACGGAGCTGTCATTGAGCCTCTTGGAGGATGGTGGGAGAAGTGCCAGGGGCGGCTGAAAGCCTTGCCGAGACTGTGGGCAGCCTGGTTGTGGGCACTTCGGATGCTTGCACCATTAGACCCAGAGGCTTCCTGGACAAGCCTGGGCTGGAAGAGGATGGCAGAGGCTGCTGGGCCTTGGAAGAGAGAGGGTCCTGGCTTCTAGTTCCTGGGGCAGCTAAGGCCAACCCCAGTGTCCAGGTGTCTTCCATGTTATGCCTGGGAGGGAAGAAAGTAGAGGGGCAAATGCTTTCTTTGCCTATTTTCCTTAAACATTTGGTGGCAGTGCTGGTGGCTGCCTGGGACAGGGGCCAGGAGGAAACACCCCTGCATTAGGGAAGCCCTCAGCCAGCTTTTCCCTGGGATGTTCCTGCGCCTGGCTGAAGCTTTCTGAGTTCATGTTGGGGAAATGGAACGGTCACCTTCCAGCCAGTAAAGGCACCCCTAGCTCTTGGGATGTTTGTATCCAACTCCGGGCAATGTGGGGCTACAAAGGCCCCTGGCTTCCATACCCTGGGGACCGGGGGAGGGCTGGTGCTCCCGCGGTGGGTGTCCACGGTGAGGTCAGGCCCCCACAGCAGGTGCATTCTCGCCCTCAGCAGGCAGGCAAGCAGGCATCAGCTCCGGCGCTGGTCTCTGGCTTCGAAGTCTGTGTCTTTGCCTGTCTGTACTCATGCCTGACCTGCTGGCGCTCCCTGTCCACTGCACTCCTCCCACCTCATTTTTATGTGATTTTGCACAGTGCCTGGCAGACATTTGACATTCAATAAACATTGTACGAACGAAAGAATCAATCCCCCTCTCACTCTCTCTGTCCTTCTCCCTGTGTGCCTCCATATATTTGTGCATCTTTGGGGAGTCAGGTGACTTTCCCTACCCTCCCCTCTCCCCATGCTGCCCTGGTCACTGCCCTTGGGACCCCAGCCCAACAGGCCAGTTTAAAAGGATTGGGGCTTGGCTCAGTGGCTCATGCTTATAATCCCAGTGCTTTGGGAGACTGAGGCAGGAGGATTGCTTGTGCCCAGGAGCTCAAGGCTGCAGTGAGCCGTGATTGCACCACTGCACTCCAGCCTGGGTGACAGAGTGAGACCCTGTCTCAATAAATAAATAAATAAAGGATCAAGACTGAGGGGACTGTAAAGGCTGAGCCTCACTGTGCATCTGTGTGTGTGTGTGTGTGTGTGTGAGACTGTGTGCATATGTGTTCGTGTGTGTGTGTAGTGTGTGTGCCTGTGTGCTTTTGTCTGTGTATGTGGTGCATGTGTGTGTGACTGCTTCTGTGTGACTGTGTGCATGTATGTGTTGTGTGTGACTGCATGTGTGTGTGACTCTATGCATGCATGTATTATGTGCACATGTGTTTGAATGTATGTAACTGTGTGTGTGTTTGCATGTGTGTGACTGCACGTGATATTCACGTTATGTGTGCATGTGTGTGTGCCTGTGTGCATGTGTGTGTGTTGTGTGTACAAGGGTGTGCATGTATGACTGTGTGCATGTGTGTAAATGTGCTTTGTGTGAGTGTGTGTGACTGCATGCATGTGGATGTGTTGTGTATACATGTGTATGCATGCATGTGGATGTGTTGTGTGTACATGTGTATGCATGCATGTGGATGTGTTGTATGTGCATGTTTGTGACTGTGTGCATGTGTGTGACTATGTATGTGTGTGTGTGTTGTGTGTACGTGTGTGGCCGTGCATAAGTGTATATGTGCTGTGTGTGGCTGTGTGCATGTGTGTGTGACTGTGTGCATGTGTGTATTATGTATATGTGCATGTGTGTGACTGCACATGTGTGTGTTGTGTGTACATGTGTGCATGTATGTGACTGTTCATGTGTGTATTGTGTATATGTGCTGTGTGTGGCTGTGTGCATGTGTAAGATGTGTGTGCGTGTGTATTGTGTATATGTGCTGCGTGTGGCTGTGTGCATGTGTGTGTTGTGTATGTCTGCATGTGTGTATTGTGTGTGTGTGCTGTGTGTGGCTGTGTGCATGTGTGTATTGTGTATGTGTGCTGTGTGTGGCTGTGTGCATGTGTAAGATGTGTGTGCATGTGTGTATTGTGTATATGCTGTGTGTGGCTGTGTGCATGTGTGTGTGACTGTGTGCATGTGTGTATTATGTATATGTGCATGTGTGTGTCTTCACATGTGTGTGTTTTGTGTACATGTGTGCATGTATGTGACTGTGCATGTGTGTATTGTGTATATGTGCTGCGTGTGGCTGTGTGCATGTGTGTGTTGTGTATGTCTGCATGTGTGTATTGTGTGTGTGTGCATGTGTAAGATGTGTGTGCATTGGGGAGGAGGTGCTATAGGGTCATCCCCCAGCCTCCCTTCCCCTGACCACAGTGGTCCAGAGCTCTCCAGGCTCCCCTGCCCTTGCCAAGCCACTGCCCATTCCTGCAGGTGGTGGAGCTTGATGCCTCTTCTCCAGACACTGGAAATCCGCATAACATTCTTTCCTAATTGCATGTGCTCAGCTGTCCCACGGGGGCTTTAGAGACCAGCAATATACGCTCCCTGGGGTCCTCCTCCCATAGCATGCAGCTGACTAGCTCAGATGGATGGGGGCACAAGGGGCCAGGGAAGTCTCTGACCCCACAAAACCACAGGGCCCACTGAACCTCAGGATGAGAGGAACTGTCCTTGACAGGGACTGGGCGGAGAGGGGAACTGTTCTGAGACAGAAAAGGGACAGGAATCTCCTCCCCACCCCGACTTCACATCCACCTGCTGAGCTGGAGGCTTTGCAGGGGTGGTCGGGGCCGCTCGCAGCCAGGACGGGAGATGTGCTCTTGGGAGACTGGCCAGAGAGGCTGTGATGGTGGAAGAAGCAGAAGTAGTCACTGGAAACAGCATCTGAAAATGGCCCACAGCTGATAAGCTCCATCAACCCACCAATTTGAGACCAGTGAAGCCCACACGATAGAACAGTAAATCCCCGGCTGAGTACATCACAGTGGAACTGCACAGCACCAGAGACACAGAGGAAAATGCCTTAAAAGCAGCCAGAGAAAACCGATTATTTTCAAAGCAGCAACGATGACTTTTAGCCAAAATTAATGGGCTGTTCATGACCTATGGGAAAGAAAGGATTTCTTTAAACAAAAACTTCTTAAATGTGAAATATAACGCACAGAATAGTGCCCAAAGTCAATTAAAAGTAAAATTTTTGAAAATGTACAGCTTGATGAATCTTCACAAAGCAATCACCCATCAATTTAACCATACAATATCAAGAAAGAGCACTTTGTCCAGACCCCTGGAAGCCCCCGGGGGCTCCTTCTGACCACCCCTTCGTTCCCAGCTGGGACCCACCACCCTGACTGATCAACACCCAGCAATCAATTCCAAGTCCTTGTGTACATTTTTACGACCTAAGAGTGCATCCCTCAGCGCCGTCATCTGTTAAACAGGCTCCTGACTTTTGGAACTTTTTATGAATGGAACCGGGCCATGCACTCTTTTGTGCTTGGTGTTTTGCGCTGAGTCACCCCCGGCGATTCACTGGGGTGCCTATGAATTTTCATTGCAGACTGACATCCATTGCATCATGTACCACAGCGTACATATCCATTTTACCACCGACAAACGCTTGGGCGGTTTCCGTCTTGGCATTTAGGGGTACCACTGCTGCAAGCATCCTTGTGTGTGCTGCTCGGGGCCCCCAGAACCCATGTCTCTCGGGCAGATCCTTAGTAGTGGGATTGCCGAATTATGAAGTCTGCTGATCCTCCACCTCAGCAGGCGACGCCCGCCCTCCAAGATGGCTGCGCCTCCCCCAGCAGTGTGTGTTCCCACCGTTTCATTTCCTCCCCAGTGCACCTGCTGTCAGTCTTTTTTTTTTTTTTTTTTTTTTAATTTTTGCCACTCAGGGGAACATGTGGTAGTATCTCGTGGTGGGTTTGGTTTGTGTTTCCCAGATGGGTGAGGAAGTCGAGCGTCTTTTCTGCGCACAGACTGGCCATTTGGTTTTCCTGTTTGTGAAATGACTATTTCAGTGTCTTGACCATTTCTTTCCTACCAGGCTGTCAGTTTCTCCGTGATTCTAGGGGTTCTCTCAGGACAGCGTGTCCACGTCCTCTGATGGTTCTACGCAGTGCAGATAATTTCTTCCGCTCGGAGGCTTTCCTCTTCGCTCTCCTAGTGGCATCTTTTTATAGACAGAAGTTTCCAATTTTAATATAGTCACAATTACCAACATCTTCCATTTGGTTACTGCTTTTCTCGGCAAGACACAAATAGAGTGATCATAATGAAAAACGTTGATGCATTTGACAAATCTGAGCACAGGTGGGGCAACTTCTGGGTTGCTGGGAAGGTTCCGTTTTCTGATGCTGGTGGTGGTTGCATGACTATTTGCTTTATAAAAGTCATTAAGTTGTACATTTATGCTTGATGTAGTTTTCTGTATAATATTTATGTCTTTTATATATTGCAGTGTTATGTATAAATGCCATCAATGGGAAATAACTCAAATGTCTACTGACATATTTTCATATGCATATGAAAATAAAATAAATAACTATGAACATCTTTGGGTTCAAGTAATATCTCTGAGAGAAATTAGCCTTATATTTATTCATAAGTAATTCCAATGCATAGAAAGAATATCTCCAGAAGAAAAGTGGCTCTGGGAATGGAAAGTGAGCAGTGGTGATTAGTAATTTTTATTGTGAACTAAGCTGCACAGAGAGGAGAATGTGGGGGCATCCCTGTGGGGAAGGCACTCGAGGAGGGGGGCAGGAGGCTGGGCACGGAGAGGAGGGGCTGCAAGGAGGGGGCCAGAGCCATGCCTGATGAGAAGGGCATCTGCGGGGAGATGGGCAGTGGCAATGGGAGGGAGGTGATTACACCCAGGGGGTCGGTAGAAGAAGTAAAGATATTGAAGTAAATGGGAGTCTGCTTTCTCACTGTGGGCAAAGAGAGTGACAAATATTGAAAGGGATGAAACTAGAACGCAGCCTGTGGTGTTGGATTGGAGTTGGAGGAATCCATTTATTCTCCAGCTCCTTCCTCTAAGAGGCTCTGAAAGCAGCAACCCCCCAGTGGCAGACCCTGGCCCCTAAATACCACTCACCACCGACAGGACCCGGGGCTCCCTGGGGAAGCAGCTGATTCCAGGCTGAGACAGGTCAGGGGCAGGATGAGCCAGGGCGAGGACATGCAGAAAACACGCAGGAGTCGCTTCCCACCGGCCACGCCAGAGACAACTTGAGCATCAAAGCCAATAATGTTAGTCAAGATTACAGTTTATTGCATAAAATAGGAACCCGAGTTTAATACACTGATGTTAATACATCAATAAACTGGTAGTTGAACAACCACAGTGATCTTTAGTTCCAAAGAAATTTCCTAAAGAGTCATCGCAATCACAAAGAAACTTTATGACTTTATGCCTTCAGAGGTAACTTTACAGGTGGGGAAGCCCAGCAGGCATCACCTTGATCAAATGATCAAAGTGAATGTCATCAACAACCAGATAAATTGAAACTGTTCACCACCTGATGGGATGCACTGATAAGAACGGAGTCGTTTCTGTGATATTTCTGCCGGTTAAGGACTGAATGTTTGTGTCACCTCCACTGTGATGGTATTGACGGCAGGGCCTCTGGGAGCTGATCAGGGTTAGATGAGGTCGTGAGGATGGGACCCCCATGATGAGGTTAGTGTCCTTATGAGAAAAGACACCAGAGGGCTTGTTCTCTCTCTCCCACAGCCTGTGAAGACACAGTGACAAGGCGGCCGTTTGCAAGCCAGGAAGAGAGCCCTCACTAGGACCCAAATCTGCCAGCACCTTGATCTTGGTCTTGTACTTCCAGCCTCCAGAAATGAGAAAGAATAATTTTTTTTGTTTCAGCCACCCAGTCATATTAGCTGTGGCAGCCTGAGGTGACTAATATCCTGCCAAAAACGCACAGCCAAACACCAGGCAGACCCAAACTGAGGGATCGTGAGAATAGATCTGGCCTATAATCAGAAGTGTCGAGGTCATGAACGTCAAGGAAAGATTGAGGAACCATTCCAGACAAATGTAATTAGGCACACTCTCACTCTGCAGTTTGTCTTTTCACTGTCTTAATGTTATATTCTGATAACTAAGTTATTTTTTATTAAATTCCATTTATAATTTTTATCTTGTATGACTGATGTTTTTCATGTCCTGTTAATTTTTAATTTCTTTTTTCTTTATTTTTTTTTTACTCACTTCAGGGTCATGAAGCTTTTCTCTTAATAGCTTTATTGTTCTGCCTTTTGGATCTAGGTCTGTGCTCCACCTTGGATGAATTTTTGTGTATGATGTGAGGTGGGAGGTCGGGGGAGCTGAGGACACTGTAGGTCCTCCACCCAGGTCTGCTTGGGTCATACCACTGTTCCTCTGTGCCCCACCCCCAGCCTCAGTGTGCATCTGTCTCCAAGAGTCCACGACTGAGATGGTACTTGGGAAGACCCTGTATCTGGACTTCATATCCCTTTCACAGTCTTTAGTCACTGCTGTTTCCGGCTGGAGCCCCAAAGCCAAGCTCCCCTGTCTGCATCAAGATAAACTTATGATCTATGATCAAGAGTTGCCATTGATTAGGCAGAAGCTGGGCCTGCACAGAAACCCCCACTCTCCTGAAATCTTACTTCCCTTCCCCCATTTTCCTAGGAGCATGTCCCCAGTAAATTACAGACATGGAGATCTTCTCACTTCTGGTTCTGCTGCCGGAGAACCTGAACCAACTCCGGGGCAATGTTAGTATTTTTATTCTTCCCATAGAGACGTCCCAGTGCTGCCATGTCCCTCATGGAGAAGACCATCTTTCCCCCACTAAGTTGCAGGGGCCCTCAGTGGTTTGTTGGGTGGCCGTAGAGACGTGGTGCATGTGTTTCTGGACTTCAGTCTGTCCCACTGGTCTATTTATCTGACTTTACAGCAGCATCAGACTGTCTCCATTCCTGTGGGAATACTATCTGTATTAAGTCTTCATAACTGGTAATGTTTTTCAAGGAATTTTTCCATTTCATTGAAGCTGCCAGATGTATTGACATAAAGTTGTTCATAGTATATTTTTATTCCATTTTGGATGTCTGTACCCACATTTTCATTTCTGATCATCCTATTTCATACTCTTGACAACTTTTGATTCTCTTTATTCTTGGTCAGTCTTGTAGATAATTATCAATATACTTATTTAAAAAAGAAAAGTTTGCCTGTGGGTCTTTCCATTGTGTGTCTGCTTTTCATTTCATTAATTTTTGTTCCTAACTTTATTATTCCCTTTCTTGTAATTTCTTTGGGTTTAAATTGCTGTTTTTCCCTCCAGCCTCTTTGGTGAATAATTCTTTTTAACTTTCTTTTTTCATAATATAATGAATTAATTTAAATCCATAAATATCCTACAAGTTTTGATATTATATATGTTTTATTATCATTTGTTTCAATATAGTTTCTGAGTTCTATCCTGATTTCTTTTTTGAATCCTTGATTACATAGACACTTGGTTAATTTGCAGACATTCAGATTTTTTTTTTTCTGAGACGGAGCCTCGCTCTGTCACCCAGGCTGGAGTGCAGTGGCACCACCATCTCGGCTCACTGCAAGCTCCGCCTCCCGGGTTCACACCATTCTCCTGCCTCAGCCTCCCGAGTAGCTGGGACTACAGGCGCCTGTCACCTCGCCCGGCTAATTGTTTTGTATTTTTAGTAGAGACGGGGTTTCACCGTGTTAGCCAGGATGGTCTCGATCTCCTGATCTCGTGATCTGCCCACCTCGGCCTCCCAAAGTGCTGGGATTACAGACGTGAGCCACCGTGCCCGGCAGACATTCAGATTTTTATAGTGATTATTATTGTTTTTTTCTTTGAGACAGAGTTTCGCTCTACACTCGCCCCCACTGGAGTGCAGTGGCGCAATCTCAGCTCACTGCGACTTCCGCCTTCCAGGTTCAAGCGATTCTCCTGCCTCAGCGTCCCGAGTAGGTAGGACTACAGGCACCCACCACTACGCCCAGCTAATTTTTTGCATTTTTAGTAGAGACCATGTTGGCCAGGCTGGTCTCAAACTCCTGGCCTCAGGTCATCTGCCCGCCTCGGCCTCCCAAAGTGCTGGGATTAAAGGCGTGAGCCACCACGCCCGGCCTGTAGTTATCCTTCTGTTCTCAGTATCTGGCTTTATTTTTACTATTGTCAGGGAACATTCCCTAGATCATTTCAATACTTTAACAATGCATGAGGCTTCTTTTTGAAGCAGATTTTGGTCTGTTCCTGTAACTGTGTCTATGTGCACTTGAAAAGATGTTTATTTTCCAGTTATTGGCTGTAAATTTTAATTATTTCCAGTGGTTAATTATGTTGTTGAAATCTTCTCCTGCCTTACTGATTTCATTTTCAGTCTAATTGTCCTATCAGTTGCTGAGAGACGTGCATTACGGCCTCCAACTCTGATTGTAGATTTGTCTATGTCTCCTTGCCACTGTCAAGCTTTGCTTTTGCGTATTTTAAGCAACGCTATCAGATGAATGGAAGTTTAGAATTGTCGTGTCTTTTTGATTGATCTTTTTGAAATTATCAAGTGATTCATTTTATTGGTAGCAATATTTCTTTTATTAAGTCTACTTCCTTTCTGATGTTTATTTAACTACCTCTGCTTTCTTTTGGGTAATGTTTGTAAGCTATATCATATTTCGATTCCAATCTGTGCATATCCTTTAATTATATCTTTTATAAAAAACTATTTATGTATTTATTTAGATGGAATCTTGCTCTGTCACCCAGGCTGGAGTGCAGTGGTGCCATCTCGGCTCACTGCAACCTCCGCCTCTCAGGTTCAAGCGATTCCCCTGCCTCAGCCTCCCGAGTAGCTGGGATCACAGGCGTGTGCCACCACGCCCAGCTAGTTTTTGTATTTCTAGTAGAGATGGGGTTTAGCCATGTTGGCCAGGCTGTATTTATTTATTTTTGAGACTGGGTCTTGCTCTGTCACCCAGGCTGGAGTGCAGTGGCACAATCATGGCTCACTGTAGCCTCGACTTCCCGAGCTTCAGCGATCCTCCCACCTCAGCCTCCTGAGTAGCTGGGAACACAGGCACATGCCACCAAGCCTGGCTAATTTTTTTTTTTTTTTTTTTGGGGTACAGATGGGGTCTTGCAATGTCGCCTAGGCTGGTCTCGAACTTCTGAGCTTCAAGCGCTCCACCCATCTCAGCTTCCCAAAGTGTTGGGATTACAGGCGTGAGCCGCTGTGCCCTGCTGTAAACAACATTTGTTTTTTTTAAAGTTGTATTGACTAATTTGACTTTTATCTGCAGTGATTATCCACTTATTGTAACATTGAAAATAATTATGATATAGTTACATTTAAATCTACCTTTGTTTTGCAATGTTTTCCTCGACTCACTTGTTTTTCCTCCTTATTTCTTTTCTGCCTTTTGTTAGATGAATCAAATTTTTGTTTGTTTGTTTGTTTGAGAGGGAGTCTTTCTGTTGCCCAGGCTGAACTGCAGTGGCGGGATCTCAGCTCACTGAAACCTCTACCTGCCGGGTTCAAGCAATTCTCCTGCCTCAGTCTCCCAAGCAGCTGGGACTACAGGCGAGTGCCACTACGCCCAGCTAATTTTTTGTACTTTCAGTAGAGATGGGGTTTCACCATGCTGGCCAGGCTGGTCTCGATCTCCTGACCTAGTGATCCATCCACCTTGGCCTCCCAAAGTGCTGGGATCACAGACATGAGCCACCGCGCCCGGCCAAATCAAATGTTTTTATTTCATTTTATCTCCATTAGATCTTTAGCTATATACTTTTGTATTAATCTCTTAGGAGTGATAATATGACAACAGGAGTTACTGGCTTGTTACGGTCTAAAGAAAGTTGTGCTTTTACCACTTCCCAGAAACAGTACAGACATTTTACAGGAATTTAACCATGTCTACCTCCTCCTGCCCTTTGTGCTATTGTCATTTTATATTTTACCTCTATATATGTTATAAACATCTGTAATCTCTTTGTTTTAAATACGCAGTCTCTCTCTCTCTCTCTCTCTCTTTCTCTTTCTCTTTTTCCATGTAGTGACTTGCATACTTACTCAGCCTTTCCAGGACACTGTATTCTGTTTTGAAGTTCCGCATTCTATCTGGGACAATTTTTTTTCAGCACAAAAATCTCCCTTGAGTGTTTCCTGCAACAGCCTGGCTGGTCTGAAATGGTCTTTGCTTTTATTTTTGAAGGATATTTTTGTTGCCTATAGAATTCTAGGTTGGCCATTTTTTTCTTTTAAAAAAACACCACCACCACACTGTCATCCCGTTCTCTTACGGCTTCCATTGTTTCTAATGAGAAATCAACTAACTCATAAAATCAGTCAGTTACGCTGACCGATTGTCCCTTGAAAGACTGTCTTTGATTTGTATATTTTCTATTCATCTTTCTTTAAATTTGCTAATTCAGTCTTCTGCTCTGTTCAGCATATGATTGAATATACCCAACATGTTTTTAGAAGAATCATAGTTGATTGCAGAAAATCTTGATTAGGACTCTTGGCTTGTGTGAAGGAAAACAAAAGAATATGTTAAGAACCCTTCTCTGAAGATTCATAATGCATATTAGCTAGGTAAAATAAAACTCACAAAAGACATGTTGCTTGGAAATCTATTGAGTGTTGCTTAATCCAACATTTTCTATACATTGTGTATTTTAAGCAAAATTTAATTATATCTTGATTATTGCCAAACACTTTAAGAAATACTACCTTAGGATATAACTTGTGTAAATATCTCAGGATCTACTCTCAGAAAGTATATGTGGGCATAGCACAGCTATATTCTGTTTTTTCATCCAATGCATTTTCAAATTTTAGATATAATGTTAGTTTAACAATGCTTATACCATTGTTTTTTAGATTCCAATTTTCTGATGAGATTCTTCACCTTCTCATGCATTTTGTTCATCTTTTCCTCTATCTTCAAAACATATGTATAATAGTTCTTTTAATGCATAACTCCAACATACAGATTATAAGTGGTTGCCTCTTACTGTCTGGCTTTCTTTTCTTTTTTCGTTCTTTACAACAGGTAACCATCCTGCTAAGTTTATTTTCTTGATATTGGATGTATTTATCTTCTTTTCATGTCTCTATTTATTTTTGCATTTCATACATTATGCATAAAAGAACTTCAGAGGCTAAACATTATGTATTAATTTATTAAAGACAAATTGTTGTTTTCTCGTGAAGAAGATTTTCTCCTGCTAGGTGGATCGCATGGGAGGGCTTGACGGTTTCAACCCAGTTTGTTTGAGGAATTCGTTTGACTGCGTTTGCTCAGGATTGGATTTGAGATTTTCTGAGTCAGTCGCTTTTAGTTTGTTACCGATTTGGGGCAGAACCCTCCTGAGCCCTTAAATGTTTCTCCTAAGCCGTGAAAGAGGATGCAGATTCCGTCTTCCCGGCAGAGGTTTTGCTCTTTGCTCTTCGCTCTGGCTGGAGATCTGGGTGGGAATCCTGGGGGCCTCGAGCACTGGGGGCAAGCCACTGTCTCCAGAGGGACTCACGAATCATGGGGCCGCAAGAGAGGAGTTCACTCAGCCTCTTTTTTTTTTTTTTTTTTTTTTGAGACGGAGTCTTGCTCTGTCGCCCAGAGCTGGAATTACAGGCCTGAGCCAGCGCACCTGGCCGGTGATATCTTTTAAATCTGGTTAAACCAGGTGCGCTGGCTCAAGCCTGTACTCCCAGCACTTTGGGAGGCCAAGGTGGGTGGATCACCTGATGTCAGGAGTTTGAGACCAACCTGGCCAACATGGTGAAACCCCATCTCGGCTCACTGCAAGCTCTGCCTCCTGGGTTCACGCCATTCTCCTCCCTCAGCCTCCCGAGTAGCTGGGACTACAGGCACCTGCCACCACGCCCGGCTAATTTTTTGTACTTTTAGTAGAGACGGGTTTCACCGTGCTAGCCAGGATGGTCTCGATTTACTGACCTCGTGATCTGCCCGCCTCGGCCTCCCAAAGTGCTGGGATTACAGGCTTGAGCCACCGCGTCTGGCCCACTCAGCCTCTTAACAGTTACCAACCCAACATCCCCGCTCTGCGGACCACCCTAGACCTGGACAAGTGTCCAGCGGCCACAACCGGCTCTGCCCTGCGCCTCCCGCCACTCCCTTCCAGCCCCACGAGACTCAGCAATGTCTCCACTGGCTTCTCTTCCCCTAGCAGAATCCCAACACCCAGGCCAAACCCAACCCTCAGCCCTCTCCCAAGATGGGCCCCCAGGAGAAAATCAGCCATTTAGAGCAACTATCTAGAAAAGGTTATTCTTTGGAAGTTGAGTTGCTCTAGTCTTCTTTGCTTTTATGGCTCTTGAATGTCCTGTGTGTACTTGTCATCTGCATTTTTTCTAGTGGTCGTAGCGTTGTTTCCTAAAGTGATACACGACATCTCAACGAAGCAGGGGTCTTCAGTGGTTGTCCTTTTCTTTATTACCAGTTCTTGATTTAACCAGATATAAAGGAGATCACCGGCCAGGTGCGGTGGTTCACACCTGTAATCCCAGCACTTTGGGAAACCAAGGTGGGTGGATCACCTGAGGTCAAGAGTTCGAGACCAGCCTGGCCAAGATGGTGAAACCCCATCTCTACTAAAAATACAAAATTAGCCGGGGGTGGTGGCGTGCGCCTGTTATCCCAGCTACTCGGGAGGCTGAAGCACGAGAATCACTTGAACCCGGAGGTGGAGGTTGCAGTGAGCTGAGATGATGCCACTGCACTCCAGCCTGGGTGACAAGAGCAAGACTCCATCTCAAAAAAATAATAATAATAAAATAAAAGATATCACCCTTGATGATCTTCTAGGGTCTTTATTATGTTGTTTTTCACATTTAGATGGATAATCTCCCTGCGCATGGAGACAGGCAGAGGTGAGTTCCGCCTCTCTGCTGTTTTGAAAACCCGTCCTTTCTTCATTGTTCTGCTGAGACACCTTAGCTGGACCTCAAGTGTTCCTGGATGCAGGGTCTAGTGCTCGGCTCTCTATTTGCTCTTCTGTCTGTTGCTGTACCGATGCCAGATCATCTTACTTACCGTAGCTTGAGAATAAGCCCACATGTCCACTCCACCCCTCATATTGTCACTCTCCAAGAATTTCTCGATTATTTTACTTTAGATTTTCACTTAATTTTAGAGCCAGTTTATCCAAATTTTTTTAAGCCTATCGGAATTTTGATTAAATCTATAGATATATTTTTGTTGGTGCAAAATTAATTGCGGTTTTTGCCATTAAAAGTATGCCATATAGCATGCTTGGAGATTTGGAAAACCCTTACGTATTATAAACATATGTAAACAAAAACTCTCACACATTGTAAAAACGTAAATTCTCCCCAAATATTAGGCTGGTGCAAAAACAACTGTGGTTTTTGCCGTTAATGAATTTACATTTTTATAATATGTAAGTTTTTCTTTACATATTTTTATAATAGGCAAGGGTTTTCCAAATCTCCAAGCATGCTATAACCTTCCATTTATGTAAGCCTTCTTTAATTTCTCCCAAAAAAAAACGCTTTATTGTTCTCTGTGTAGTCTTACACAGTTTGTTAAATTTATTTCTAGATATTTGATTTTTATGCTACTGTAAATGTCACACCATTTGAAACATTTTCTTTTCTAAGTTTTTATTACTAATGTGAAGAAATACTATTGACTATTAAAGAGTAATCATATAGCCAGGATCCTTACTAAATGCATTTCTTATTTTAATAATGTTTTGTAGCTTTATCTGGATTTGTTATATATATAATCATGGCACCTTATCATATGAATAATTAGAGTTTTATTTCTTCCTTTCTAATTCACATACATTTTATGTGTTTTTCTTGACTAACTGCATTTTCTAGGACCTCAATTTCAATGTAAAACAGGTGGTGATAGCAGGCTTTTCTTTTATAATCCTTATCTCAAAGATAAATCTTTGAAGTTTGTAGGACTTGTGTGATATTTGTTCTGGGTATTTGCAGACATCCTCTATTAACTTAAAGAACTTCCCTATCATTTATAATATGCTAATATTTACATTTTTGCTATAATGCCATAAATAGGAAAGACTTTTTATTCTGCAAAAGAAAGCATGGACTAAAAACTAACAGAGCTGATGGAAAAATAGATCTGGGCGGCAGTTTTGTTCCAAAGCTGTGTAATTTTGGGACTGGAGTAAATGACAAGCGTTAGCAAAGTTCAGTCCCCGTCATCACGTCCACCCAGCACCTGTTAACTGCCCCTTCTCAGCCTTCAATCCTGGCTCAGGATTCTCATTTCAACAAAGAGGCCCTGACAGGCACTCACTTCAGATTTTCCCAAATTTAAACGTGTGCTTCAGATTGTAGGCATTTTCATGATTTTTTTTCACCATGGGTGAAATGCATTTTTTTTTTTTTGGAGACAGAGTCTCGCTCTGTCACCCAGGCTAGAGTGCAATGGCACGATCTCTGCAACCTCTGCCTCCCGGATTCAGGCGATTCTCATGCCTCAACCTCCTGCGTAGCTGGGATTACAGGCGCCCGCTACCACGCCTGGTTAATTTTTGTATTTTTAGTAGAGACGGGGTTTCGCCATGTTGGCCAGGCTGGTCTTGAACTCCTGACTTCAGGTGATCCGCCCACCTCAGCCTACCGGAGTGCTGGGACTACAGGTGTGAGCCACCTTGCCCAGCACTTCTCAGCCTTTTCATGTGTGCCCCCAGCTTCTTCAGATGGCTCATCGGGGCAGGTGCAGCAGCAGTCCCTGCGGACACCAAGCCAGCCATGGCCCGCGTGGAGAGAAGCGCCTGTCTTAATTGTGAAAATGCTTACCTCAGTCCTTTTACATCATTAATATGCTGGGGGGAAAGGTGTCTAAAGGAGAATAATTCTAGTGTCATACTGATATTACTTTATTTGCCAGTTGCTTTTGAGCTGGTTTGCATTTTACACAATGCATTCTGGCAGAAATGACCCCGTTTTATTAAATTCCTATGAAATATTATGGAATGACGTTTCTACATCATTTATGTGATTTTCTTTCGTGTATTCAAGGAAGTTAATGCAGCAAATGACATTCTTGGACATTTTGTCTAATGTTAAAACAGGCTCGCGTGCCTGGACTGGGCCTAAAATGTTCATTGTGTATTTGTGTTTTGAAACGCTGCTATTTTTGTCATGCCTCTTTGTTCCAGAAGCAAGTGTGCGCTGGACTCCCAGGCTTCCTTGTGCCCGCCGCCCCCCTGGGGCTTGGGTGCCAAGATTTGGCCTGCTTGGCCTCGAGTTGCTTAACAGGGTTTTTGCCTCTGCATTTTATATTTGGTGCAGCAGCTGGTGAGGCCACATGACCCTGGAGCTTTCTTTGTAGGAAGGTTTTAATTTAGTTTGAATTCCTTTAATAGTTATTGCTTTATTTGCTATCCTATTTATGTCCTTCTCTCTCCAATATCTTGCACCGAATGCTTAATTCATTAATTTTTTTTTTTTTTTTTTTTGAGGCAGGGTCTTACTCTGTCGTCCAGGCTGGAGTGCAGTGGCCACAATCTTAGCTCACTGCAACCTCCACCTCCCGGGCTCAAGCGATTCTTGTGCTTCAACCTCCTGAGTAGCTGGGAAAAAATACTTTTTTGTTTGTTTGTTTTACTCAACGCAACAGTTTTTAGTCAGAGAATATTATATTCCACAGTCTGAAGTATGCACCATATTCCAGCGAACCTCAGTTGTTTTAACTGGTGCACAAACAGCAAACAAGAGGGCCATAGAGGCAGCATTTTCTGCAGCTCTTTCATCTAGTATATATCTGTGTAAAAATGCTATGACGATGAGCTTCGATTTTTCCCTTCAGATGTTTTCATGTTTTCTAATTTTATTTTTAAGTGTAGTTTGAGTGCAAGGTAACTGTGGCAAGTTGGTGACAAATTGGCTGGTTGACAAATTGGTGAAGAAAATGCAGAATAAAAGAAGGGGTAGGCCGGGTGCAGTGGCTCACGCCTGTAATCCCAGTACTTTGGGAGGCCGAGGTGGGTGGATCACCTGACATCAGGAGTTCAAGACCAGCCTGACCAACAAAGTGAAACCCTATCTCTATTAAAAATACAAAATCAGCCAGGCGTGGTGGTGAGCACCTGCAATCCCAGCTACTCAGGAGGCTGAGGCAGGAGAATCACTTGAATCCCGGAGGCGGAGGTTGCAGTGAGCCAAGATGGCGCCACTGCACTCAGGCCTGGGCACCAAGAGCGAAACTCCATCTCAAAAAAAAAACAAAAAATAAACAAACAAAAAAAACAAGAAGGGGTAAAATGAACCTTTGTTAAAACATTTTAATTAGGGGCCAGGCGCGGTTGCTCACACCTGTAATCTCAGCACTTTGGGAGGCCGAGGCTGGTGGATCATGAGGTCAGGAGATCGAGACCATCCTGGTTAACACGGTGAAACCCCGTCTCCACTAAAAATACAAAAAAAAATTAGCCGGGCGTGCTGGCGGGCGCCTGTAGTCCCAGCTACTAGGGAGGCTGAGGCAGGAGAACGACGTGAACCCAGGAGGCGGAGCTTGCAGTGAGCTGAGATCGTGCCACTGCACTCCAGCCTGGGTGACGGAGTGAGACTCCATTTCAAAAAAAAAAATTTTTTTTAATTAATGTATTTTTTTAATTTTAATTTTTTTTTAGAGGCAGGGTCTCACTCTGCCATCCAGGCTGGAGTTCAGAGGTGTGATCATGATTCACTGCAGCCTCAACTTCCTGGGCTGAAACCGTCCTCCCACCTCAGCCTCTGGAGTAGCTGGGACTATAGGTGTACACCACTATACCAGGTTAATTTTTGTATACGTATATATGTGTGTGTGTACCTATATTTGTAGAGATGGAATCTTTCTATTTTGCCCAGGGTGGTCTCCTGGGCTCAAGTGGCATGGACGTGATCTCCACTCACTGCAACCTCCGCCTCCCGGGTTCAAACGATTCTCCTCCCTCAGCCTCCCAAGCAGCTGGTACCATAGGCGCGTGCCACCATGTCTGGCTAATTTTGCATTTTTAGTAGAGACGGGGTTTCACCATGTTGGCCAGGCTGGTCTCAAACTCCTGACCTCAGGTGATCCGCCCGCCTTGGCCAACCAAAGTGCTGGGATTACAGGCGTGAGCCACAGTGCCCGGCCCAGAATGTTCTATTTACATTTTATTCATGGAGTTGTAGCATAATTGCAGAGAATACTCACCGTATGATTTCAATCTTTTCAAATTTTTCAATACTGACTTTACGGTAAATCTTTTGTGAATGTGTCACATGTCCTTGAGAAAAATTATGTCCTTTTCCGTGTTGGTGCTGGGTTCCTTAGAGGACTTGTGGGCTGTGTATTCGTTGTGATGTTCTGCTCTCCTGCATACGAATTGACTTTGCCGTGCAGACAGTGGCTTTCCCAGGCCCCGGCAGGTGCACTCTGCATCCAGCACCGCATTTACGCCAAAGCCATGGGCTGCTTCCAGAGACTGGGGTGCTATGCGGGCTTGCTCCTGGGAGACCCGACACCCCTCTGATGAAAGACGTTGGCGTAGGGATCCCCGGAGGCCTCATCCAATGTTTCTTTGATAGCATGGCGGTCTCCCATGCTGCTTCCCCTCGCCCTTCATTCAGGGTCACACTTGCAGCAGGGACATGGCTCCCCCAGCCCTTATGGCTCCTCCCCATTTCCTCCACGTAGACATTTCCCTGCTGAAATCCCCTGCATTTGATCCCATCTTTGGGCCTGCTCCTTAGAAGGCCCCTGACGAAAGCAAGTAGTGCTGAGAGTGTTCTGAGAAGGCGGGTGCTGGGATGAGCACTTGGGACGGGCCCACCTACTGGTCAGGAGGCACTGGAACCACCCCTCTGGCTGTTGGGTGGGGCATGGACAGTCCTTGACACGAGGTGGAGCCCCCATTGTTAAAATCTTTGCTGGTGATGATTTGCAGGGAAGGTCTAGGTGGAGGAGAGGCCTGTGGCAGTACGATGACGTAGGCATTTGCAAAGCAAAAGGGGACAATGCCAACAAGGTCAGCAGGGTTGGGTGGCACCGCTGAGCTGCACGGCAGCCCAGCCCAAGGATAATGAAACATGGACGGCTGCCAATGAAGAGTCCTGGACTAAGCACAGAGCCAGGGGGCTTGGTGCCAGCTCACAAAGAAGCCCCTGCCCCCCTCCATGGAAGGCAGACCCAGCTGAGTGGCAGACTGATGACCTGATTGTGACAGTCCCAGAGTCACAGAGAGGTTGGACTGCTCAGCCAAGGAAGACCAGGGACGTGAAGTCAGGCCCTGAAAACAGAGACAGAAACATGCGGATATGTGTCCCCAAAGATGTGGACTCTGCAACCCACCTGGACTCTCAGAACTTAGCGGGAGGTCGGCCCTTCCCAGGCAGAGCTAACACTGCTGTCACGTTTGAGCGAGCTGCTGAAACCTTTCTCACACAGGACAACAGGTGCCCTTTGAAAGCTGCCCCTCATCTTTTCACCTGACTTCCAGGTAACTGAGGTTAAATGCCAGCCTAACTTGGTCAGTGACAGATGGGACCTGGTGAGGTGAGAAAGACACAACACACCTGAAGACTCCCAAGAACCAGCTGGCAAGGACCAGGAGGGGCCAGGGACACACTTGGGATGGGACGTATTTCCCCTATTAAACAATAGACCGGGCATGGTGGCTCAAGTCTGTAATCCCAGCACTTTGGGAGGCCGAGGTGGGCCAATCATTTGAGGTCAGGAGTTCGAGACCAGCCTGGCCAACATGGTGAAACCCCATCTGTACTAAAACTACCAAAAAATTAGCCGGGCGTGGTGGCAGGCACCTGTAATCCCTGCTGCTAGGAAGGCTGAGGCAGGAGAATTGCTTGAACCCAAACAAGGTGGAGGTTGCAGTAAGCCAAGATCGTGCCACTGCACTCCAGCCTGTGTGACAGAGCGAGACTCCATCTCAAAATAATAATAATAATGATGATGATAAGGTAACATTCACAGCTCTATGAGTTTTTAGCAACCATACAGTCGTGTCACCTCCACTCAAATCCCCGGTGCCATTTTGTGGTCAAACGTTCTTTCCCCACTCCCAGGCCCTGGCAACCAGTGATCTTTTTCTTGTTTCTGTAATATTGCTTTTTCCAGAATGCCGTACGTTCTGGGATCATACAACAGGGAATCTTCCAAGCCTGGCTTCTTTCACGTAGGCTGATGCCTTGAGATTCGTTCGTGTTGTGTGCCTCTATGGTTTGCCCCTTGCTTTGCGAGGTAGGACTCCCAATTACAGATGTGCCACAGTTTATCCACTTTTATCCACACTTTATCCCAAGTTGAGGGGCAGTTTGGGCTTTCTCTGGCTTTTGGCAATTACAAACAAACATTCCTATGCAGGTTTTTGTGTGAACACAGATTTTTATTTCACTTGGATAAATGTCTTTGAGTAGGATTGCTGAGTCTTATGCTAAGTGTACGCTTAATTTTATAAGAAACTGCCACGCCGATTTCCCCAGGGGCCATACCATTTTCTCTCCCACCAGTGGTGTACAGAGTTCCATTTCTGCCACCCCTGCCAGCACTCGACATGGAAACTGTTGCCATTCCAAGGAGTATATAGTGTTACTTCGTGGGTTTTAATTTACATTTTCCTAATTACTAATTATGCGGAGCACATTTTCATGCACTTATTTGCTATATATATATATATATATATATATATATATATATGAAGTGTCTGTTTAAATCTTTTGCCCTTTCTTTTTTTTTTTCAGATGGAATCTTGCTCTGTTGCCCAGGCTGGACTGCAATGGCATGATCTCAGCTCACTGCAACCTCCGCCTCCCAGGTTCAAGCAATTCTCTTGCCGCAGCCTCCTGAATAGCTGGGATTACAGGCGTGTGCCACCACGCCCAGCTAATTTTTGTATTTTTTTTTTTTTTTTTTAGCAGAGATGGGGTTTCACCGTGTTGGTCAGGCTGGTCTCAAACTCCTGACCTCAAGTGATCCACCTGCCTCAGCCTTCCAAAGTACTGGGACTGCAGGTGTGGGCCATGCTCCCGGCCCCTTTTGCCCATTTTTAATGTAAATCAGTGTAACCTCTATGGAAAACAGTGTGGAGATTCCTTACAGAGCTAAAAGTAGACCTACCATTCGATCCAGCAATCCCACTCCTGGGTATCTACCCAAAGGAAAAGAAGTCATTCTATGAAAAAGACCCTTGCACGGGTATGTTTATTCCAGCACAGTTCACAATTGCAAAGATCTGGAACCAACCTAAGTGCCCATCGACTAACGAGTGGCTAAAGAAAATGCGGCACAGATACACCATGGAATACTGCTCAGCCATAAAAACGGAGCAAAATAATGCCTTTTGCATCAACTTAGATGGAGCTGGAGGCCATTATTCTAAGTGAAGTAACACAGGAGTGGAAAATAAAAAACCGTATGTTCTCACTTTTAAGTGAGAGCTAAGCTGTGAGTATACAGAGGCATACAGAGTGATGTAACGGACTTCAGAGACTCAGAAGAGGGGCGGCGAGAGGGGGCTGGAGATTTTTAAAATGACACTTTTAGGTACGATGTACACTACTCAGGTGACACGTGCACCAAAATCTCAGAATTCACCACCATAGAATTCATCGATGTAACAAAAAAATCACTTGTACCCCAAAAGCTATTGAAATAAAAATTAATAAAATAAATAACAAAATAAATAATAAATATTTTGCCCATTTTCCATACTTAGTTGTTTTCTTCTTATTGGTTTTTTTTTTTTTTTTTTTTTTTTTTTTTTGAGACAGGGTCTTGCTCTGTCGCCCAGGCTGGAGTGTGGTGGTGCGATCTTGGCTCACTGCAACCTCCGCCTCCCAGGTTCAAGTGATTCACCCACCTCAGCCTCTCAAGTAGCTGGGAATATAGGCGTGCACCACCGCACCCAGCTAATTTTTGTATTTTTTGGTACAGATAGGTTTTCACCATGTTGGCCAGGCTGGTCTCAAACTCCTGACCTCAAGTGATCCACCCGCCTAGACCTCCCCAAATGCTAGGATTACAGGCATGAGCCACTTGCCCAGTCATGATTTTTAAGAAGTCTTTTTTTAGCTTTATTTTTTTAAAACAAAATGAGTCGGGGTCTTGCTATGTTGCCCAGGCTGGTCTCGAACACCTGGGTTCAATTGCTCTTCCTGCCTCAGCCTCTCAAACTGCTGGGATTACAGGCGTGAGCCATTTTGCCCAGCCAGACTTCAAGAATTCCTTAAAGACTGATACATGTCTTTTATCAGATAATATGTTTTCAAATGTTTTCTCTCCATCTGTGGCTTGCATTTTCACTCTCCTAACAGTGCCTCTCCAAACACAGAATTTCTTAATTGTGATGAAGTTCAACTCATCACTTTTTGTATTTTATGAAGTGTGCTTTTGGCCTCATGTCTAAGACATGTTTGCCCAATACGAGGCCACAAAGACTTTCTCCTAAATTTGAATGTAAACCTATGATTTGTTTGGAGGTAGTGTTCTGTGGCATGATGTGTACCTTGAAGTTCACTTTTTGCACACAGATACGCAGTTATTCCAGCAGCGTTTGTTACAGAGACCAGGAGTTGTCCATTTATGTGCGGCTCTGTTTCCAAACTCTCTATCCTGTTTCACTGGTTTATTTATTTATCTCATGGTTCCTCAATCTTGACATTATCAGCATTTGGGGCCAGACCATTCTTTGGTGTGGAGCCGTCCTGTGCATCATAAAGTATTCAGCGGCATCCCTGGCCGCTGCCCATCCAATGCCAGCAGCACCCTCCCCACAAGTTTAACAAACAAAATATCTTGAGATATGGCTGCCTCAGTCAACAAGGGGCTGACAGAACAGAGTGCCACAGATTGCGTGACCTAAACAATAGAAATTCAATTTCTCGCAGTTCTAGCGGTCAGAAGTCCAAGATCCCAAAGTGCTGGGCTTACAGGCGTGAGCCGTGGCGCCTGGACAAATTTTTGTATTTTTGGTAGAGGCGAGATTTCACTGTGTTGGCCAGGCTGGTCTTGAACTCCTGGCCTCAAGCAGTCTGCCCACCTCAGTCTCCCACAGTGTTGGGATCACAGGCGTAAGCCACCGTGCCCAGGCAGGTTTACATTTTTTAAAATCAAGTAGGGTAGACTTTTCCTTTTTCAGATGTGACTTTTTTTTTTCATTTCTGTGCATATTTTAGAATGAGTTGGGAATGTTCTTTCCTCTTCAATTTCCTGCAAACATGAGTGTGGATTTGGTGTTAAGTCTTCTTTGCATGTTTGGTAGAATTTGCCTGTAAAGCTGCCTGGGCCAGGAGGTTTCTTTGTGGGAAGTTTTGTTTTTGCTTTTGTTTTTGTTTTTTAAAGCCAAATTTTACGTATTAAATAAATACAGGGCTACTCTGGTTATCTTTTTCTTCTTGAGTAAGCTTTGAAAGTTTGTGCCTTTCATAAATTTTGTCCATTTAATCTAAGCTGTTAAATGCATCAACATTAAATTGCTCATATTATTCCTTCTCAATTCTTTTAACACTTAGTAGAACCTACGATGATTATGCTGTTGTCATTCCTGATGTTAGTAATTTGTGTCTTTTCTCTCCCTTTTTCCCCTTGATGAGTCTAGCTAAGAATTTATCAGTTTTATTGATCTCAAAGAATGAGATTTGGCGTCACTGATTTTCTCTATTTTTGTTCTGTGTTTCATTGATTGTTCACTCTGATCCTTTAAATGTACTTTTTTTCTTTTTTTTTAATTATTTGCTCCTTTCTCTCATTACTTAAGGTGAAAACTGAGGTCATGAATTGGAAAACTTATTTTTGTTGCTGTTCTTTTCTTTTTTTTTTTTTCCAGATGCGGTCTTGCTCTGTGACCCAGGCTGTAGTACAGTGGCACAATCACGGCTCACTATAGCCTCAACAACCTAGGCTCCAGTGACCCTCCCACCTTCAGCCTCCTGAGTAGCTGGGACTACAGGCATGCACCACTGCACCCAGCTAATATTTTTGATTTTTAGTACAGACAAGGGCTCACTATATTTCCCAGACTGGTCTCGAACTCCTGAGCTCAAGCAATCCTCTCTCCTCAGCCTCCCAAATGCTGGAATTATAGGCATGAGCTACCATGTCCAACCTGGAAAACTTCTTTTCTAACATGGACATTTAATGCTATAAATTTGTGAAAACACAAATTTAGATGTAGCTTTGATTTTCTTTTAGTTTGAAATAATTTTGGGTTTCTCTTTTAATTATTCTTTGGCCCGTGGATTACTTAGCAGTATGCTATTTAGTTTCCAAATATGTGGGATTGAATTCCATAGGGTCAGATAATATACTCTGTGGGACTTGGACCTCTTAAAATCTGTTGAGACTTTTTTTCTGGCCCAGAATATGGTCTATGTTGGTAAATGTTCCCTGTGCACTTGAAGAGAGTGTGTATTCTGCTGTTATTGGGTGGAGTGACCTCTAAACGCTGACTACATCCTGCTGGTTTAAAGCGTTGTTCAAGCCTTCTGTGTTCTTTTTTTTTTTTTTTTTTTTTTTTGAGACGGAGTCTCGCTCTGTCGCCCAGGCTGGAACTCAGTGGCGCGATCTCGGCTCACTGCAAGCTCTGCCTCCCGGGTTCACACCATTCTCCTGCCTCAGCCTCCCGAGTAGCTGGGACTACAGGCGCCCGCCACCACGCTCGGCTAATTTTTTGTATTTTTAGTGGAGACGGGGTTTCACCGTGTTAGCCAGGATGGTCTCGATCTCCTGACCTCATGATCTGCCTGCCTCGGCCTCCCAATGTGCTGGGATTACAGGCACCCGCCACCACGCCTGGCTAATTTTTTGTATTTTTAGTAGAGACGGGGTTTCACCGTGTTAGCCAGGATGGTCTCGATCTCCTGACCTCGTGATCCGCCCGCCTCGGCCTCCCAATGTGCTGGGATTACAGGAGTGAGCCACCGCACCCGGCCCTGTGTTCTTATTTAGTTTCCATCTGCTTTTTCTAGCAATTATGGAGGGAAGATTCTTAGTAGAAGGTTATTTATTCTCCACTGTTGAGACCCTTCTCAATATTCCACCCACATGCTCCATGAATTGTGGAATTTTCCAGCCTTTCTGCTGGGGTCAGTCACTGTCCCCAGCCCTGTGTGCGCGCCTGGCACAGTTCCCTTTGGTCCTCTCTGCTGGTTCTTTCCCTGGCTTCAAGTAGTTCTCTCCCACGCATGTGCCATTCAGTGCCCTGCTGAGGACTGAAGAGGGGACCCTCCGCATGTCTCCCAGCTCCCTGTGCAGCGCTCCACTCTCCGATGCTCTGCCCTGTGACCTCGGGCTGCCTTGGTCTTCACAAATGCTCAACTCAAGGAATACACTGAGCTTCCCCGGGGTCTCCTCTCCCTGCGCCATGACCTGGAAACACTCTGAGGGCTGAAACCTGGGGCCACTGAAGGGCTCACGTCCCAGGGCTCACCTCCCAGTCCTTTCTTGTCTGTTGTCTACCTCTTGAGAATAATGTGTTTGTCTTGGTTTTGTTGTTGTTGTTTTACATTTACAATTGTATATTTATTCTCTGTTGCTCTATCTTGACCCAAAGCAGAAGTATCCTAATTCTTTTTTTAATATATTAATCTTTTTATTTTGAGATTATTTTAGGTTTGCATGCAGTTGTAAGAAATAATAGAATATCATGAACCCTTTATCCAGTTCCCTCAATGGTAACTCCTTGCAAAACTACGGAACAATATCACAATCAGAATATTGGCATCGATATTTTCAAAACACAGACCACATTCATCACTGCCGGAACCCTGGGCGATAAACCCTAGGAGACACTAATTGGTTATCCATTTCTATAAAGTTTTCATTTCAAGGATGTTATGTAACTGAAATAAAACAGCATGTAACCTTTTGAATTGGCTTTTTATTTTTCATTCAGCATGATTCTCTGGAGATTAGCAGGCTGTGGTATGTATCAATAGTTCATTCCTTTTTCTTGCTAAACATATTCCATAAGCTGAACGAGCCCCAACTTATTTAACTGTTCGCCCATTGAAGGACGCCTGGATTTTCAGTGTGGGGCTATTATGAATAGCCCAAAGCAATTGTGTGAAAGCTTTTAGGTGAAAGCTGCAATGACTGGAATACTGCAGTAAAGTCTGTTTCCCCTGAGAAGTAGTGGGCAGGTCCACCTTGATATGATGGGGGTGTGGGAAGGCTCTCTTCGTCTCTTTCCCTGACCAAACCCAGCTGCTAAATTCGTCATTGCAAGCTGGTTGCTCGATTGTTTTTGACATCACCCTAGGGAATAAATTGCTTCACAGACTAATCCAATCAAATTCTGACTCCTTTGAAAGGAAAGGCCAGTGCTTGAGATTTCTTACTAACCCAGAAAGTCTCTTCCCAGCTCTCTCTTTCTCCATTTCTCTCCAGAAAACTAGCCATCTTAGAGTTAGGCTACGTCTCTAAAGAATCTATCAATCTTCTCCCAGTTGCCCTTCACCACAACCGCCACTGACTCTGAGAGCACCCTTAGGTTTGAACTTCATACTCTGTTGCAAATGAAGTCAGTTCCTTTTGGGAGAGACTAGGAGATCCTCTGTTCTACATCCTGCCATTCTCCCTGGACAAAATCTCTAAGCCACAGCTCTGGAACTGACGGCAGGGATCTTGGCTCACTGGTGTCATGCCTACTTTAGAAGCTGGACACTTGAGTGATGGGCAGCAGCTCCAGGTGTCCTCAGCTTGCCTCTCTCAGCATGAACCCCTCCCATAAGCTGGAGCAAAGGTGACCAGAGACCCGAGACCCAGGATTCTCAGCATGATGAACCCAGGGCAGCCTTTGCTGCATGAGTGAGACCTGAGGCTGAGTAGAGGAAGGGACCCTCACCTCTCGGACACACTCACTCAGAATTCAGCCTGAGACACAGGTAGCTGGGGGCAGGATGCTAGCACACTGACCCTCACAGGAAGAGAGCCTCACCAACTGGAAGTGAAACTACCTTTTGACAGCGAGAGAGGTCTAGCATGGCTGACTCCATCTTGCTTCTGGCTCATAGGCTGGTTGTCCTTGCTTATTCCTGGACTCAGGCCAAGCTAACTGATGCAGGATTTTTTCTCAGCCTCTTTGCTGGACTCACAGCAGAGGCTCCTCATCTACTTGGCCCAGCATGCTCAGCCCCTTGCGGGAGGGAGTGCATGAGCGAGCAAGTGTGGGATCTGGCCAGCCACTCTGAACGCTGACACGGGAGCAAACTCCACGTGGGGCCCACAGCCAGACCAGGTGTGTCACCTCGAGGAGAACATGGCAGTGCCCAGACAAGGGTGCCCGCAACCCCGAAGCCCCAGAGGGGGTGTTAGTGCTCTAATCAGCTCTTATAGTTCCACCATCCACATCCCAATGGAGGGCAATGTGTTAGCAGCTCGGTCGGCCCCTGGCCTCATCGCGTGGGGCAGCTGCCCTCTGCTGGCGAGGGCAAAGGGCCCGGGTGACATCCTTTCTAGGTACCTGCACTCTGTGGGTCCTGAGCTCTTGTCCAGCGTCCAAGAAGAATGAGGTCATGCTGGTGATTGAAGGATGGTGAAAGTGGAGACTTTTACTGAGCAATGAAAACAGCTCTCAGCAGAGAGGGGAACTGGAAAGGGGACAGGGAGGGCAGGTCGTCTTCCCCAAAGTCAGGAGATCTCTTCCTTGAAGTCAGGCCTTCTCTCTCTCTCTACCAACTGAGTCTGGAGTCTTTATAGGCCCAGGACGGGGGCAGGCCAGGCCATAGGTAGTATTGGAAAAGGCAGTATTTGATTGGTTAAAAAGGCATTATTCAAAATGAACCAATCCGGAGCGAGCAGGCAAACAAGAATAGAAGTTTTCACTCTGGGCTGCAGGTTTCAGGATGTTTTGGCTTGAAGGTGAGGTTTCACTGGGGACCCACCCCCATCTGCCTGGGATTTGTCTGCCTCCTGCCTCTATTATATCCATGGGAGGAATTTAGTTTATAGTTTAACTTGTAAGCAAGGATGATAACGGTCCCGCCCTAAAACAAATCCCCTCCTTTTTGGGGAGCTGAAACTGCCTTTATAGGACTAATGAAAGACCACAAGATTAGAATTACAGGAGGGCATGAGTTCTGCTAAAATATAGGCATAGTTTCTATAATCCCCCTCTGCTTAGGAGTCATTTGTCCAGAGATCACAAGATTTGTGGCTTCCCCAGTTGCTCCTATAGATAATATCACTGTGGTAGAATTAAGATTGGTCTTTTGAGGTGGTTTTCCAACTGACCCCATGCAGACTCGTGACTCACGACTTGTTTAACCGTTCACCCGTTGAAGGATGTCTGGGTTGCTTTCACTTTGGGGTTGTTATCCACCCAGAGGCAGATTCAGGGCACAAGGACCATTTTCCACACCCCTGTGATTGCCCCCGCAACCAATGAGGAGCACCCATTCCCCAGCCCCCCACCCACCACACTGTCCTGGAAAAACCCTAACCTTCAAGCCTTCAGGGAGACGGGTTTGAGTGATCATTCCAGTTCTTCCACCTGGCAGGCCTTGCGTTAATTAAACATTTCATTTACTGCAATACCATGTTCTCAGAGTGAACTGGTTTTGTCTGTGCAGCGGGCGGGAAGAGCCTGTCGGGCAATTACAGAAACTGGAGGAGAGATAGTCTTGCATTCCTGGCTGTACAGCCTGGAGTGGAGCTTCTGTCTCACTGGGCTGGGAGAGGGCACACGCATTGGCTCAGATACCACAGACTCACACAGTTCTCACTAAGCTTTAGTCGATTTTCTTGAATAAATGTTTCTCTATTTGAAATGGCTACAGGGCCATTTGCAGATGCTTTAAATGGTTGTTGGGGGTGGGGTTTCGTTTGTTTTTGTTTTTAAAGTCTTCACCAGTTTCACATGGAAGTGGATCTCTGGAGTTCCCCCTCATTGTCACGCTGCAGTGGGACTGCCCTGTGACTTTATTATTTCATAGCATTTGAACATAAGATAATCACAAGCTTTCAAAGGACTAAATGTTCGATGAAGAAAATGGCACAGAAAAAAAAAATGTCCCTTCTAAATAAGGACTCACTTGGTCCTCCACCAGCAACCAGGAGCACTGCCAAGTGTGTCTCTCTCCTTATGACGTGACCTTTTATCTTTAAAGGACACTGAATTTCACTCACATTATTATTTCTTACACAGTGTGTTTTTATTATTCAAGGTCACTAAGACTTTCTCCTGTTTTATTCCAAATGTTTTATTGTTTTATATTCAACATTTAGGTCTATGATGGGCATAGAGTTAATTTTATATAAAGTATGAGGTTGAGGTTGAGGTTTTGTTTTCGTTTTGTCTACGGCGGTTCAATTGTTCCAATGCCATTTTTTGGAAACGGTTCTCCTTTCGCGCGCTGGTATGAATGCGTTCCCCAAAATTCATGCGCTGTAACTTAACCCCTGTTATGGTGTTACTAAGAGGTGGGGTCTCTTGAGAAGTGATCAAGTCAGGGCTTTGCTCTCAGGCATAGATTAGTGCCTCATTAAAGGGCTGGGGGGGATGAGCTTGGGTCCTTTTTGCCCCTTATGTTTTCCACCAAAAGGACACAGCAAAGAGCCTCCACCAGATGCAGAATACTGGCACCTTGATCTGGGGACGTCTAGCCTCCAAAACTGTGAGAAATGTACTTCTATTGTTTGTAAAATACCCAGTCACAGGTATTTTGTGATTGCAGCAGACACTTCTCCATTTAGTTGTCTTGCCCCTTTGTCATAAATTAGCGCAGTCTTGTGTGTGCGAGTGACATCTCAACTCCGTGCTTTTCCCTTGATCTGTGTGTCTACCCCTCTGCCCATACCACACTGTCTACATTGCTGTCGCTTTATGGAATGTCTCAAAGTCAGCTAATGTCATTCTTCCAACTATATTTCTTGTTTCAAAATTGTTTTGGCTATTCTATTTTCTTTTCTTTTTTAAATGTTTTCTTATTACACTTTAAGTTCTAGGGTACATGTGCACAACGTGCAGGTTTGTTACATATGTATACATGTGCCATGTTGGTGTGCTGTACCCGTTAACTCGTCATTTACATTAGGTATATCTCCTAATGCTCTCCCTCCCCCCTCCCCCCACCCCACGACAGGCCCCAGTGTGTGATGTTCCCCTTCCTGTGTCCAAGTGTTCTCATTGTTCAGTTCCCACCTATGAGTGAGAACATGTGGTGTTTGGTTTTCTGTCCTTGCGATAGTTTGCTGAGAATGATGGTTTTCAGTTTCATCCATGTCCCTACAAAGGACATGAACTCATCATTTTTTATAGCTGCATAGTATTCCATGGTGTATATGTGCCACATTTTCTTAATCCAGTCTATCATTGATGGATATTTGGGTTGGCTCCAAGTCTTTGCTATTGTGAATAGTGCTGCAATAAACATACGTGTGCATGTGTCTTTATAGCAGCATGATTTATAATCCTTTGGGTATATACCCAGTAATGGGATGGCTGGGTGAAATGGTATTTCTAGTTCTAGATCCTTGAGGTTATTCTATTTTCTTTTGCCTTTCCTCATAAATTTCATAAACAGCTTATGAATATCTACCAAAAAATCCTGCTAAGATTGTTGTTGGAATCCAATTAAATCTGCACATCAGTTTTGGGGAAGTTGACGTCTTTATTATTTTGTGTCTTCAAATCTATGAATGCACGACTCTCTCCACTTATTTAGGTATTTTTTGATTCCTTTCATCAGTGTTTTGTATTTATAACATGTGCATTCTGTACATATTTTGTTAGATTTATAACTTTTTATTTTTGGACGTATTTCAGAAAACACACTATGTTTTAGGGCAGTTTTAGGTTCACAGCAAAATTGAGTTGAATGTATAGAAAATTACCGTATTTCACCTGCTGCCACACCTACATAACGTCCCCTGCTGTTAGCATCCTACACTAGGGTGGCCCATTTGTCATCATTGATGAGCCAACATTGACACGTGGTGAGCACCCAAAGTCCAGACCTAACCTTCACCTCCACTCTTCATGTTGTACGTTCTACAACACAAATGATGAACGTGGAATGCCATTTATTCACCATCACAGTATCATATAGAACAGTTTTGGGCCGGGCACGCTCACTCCTGTAATCCCAGCACTTTGGGAGGCCAAGGCAGGTGGATCACCTGAGGTCAGGAGTTTGAGACCAGCCTGGCCAACATGGTGATATCCCACACACACCTCGGTCATGTGTGTCTGCTCTTTTTTCTTGTCTGTCTTGCTACAGGCTTATCTTTTTTGATCTTTATTTATTGATCTTTATTGATCTTTTCAAAGAACCAGATTTTGGTTTAATTAATTTTCTTGTTTTATTTTTTTTATTTTTTTGAGATGGAATTTCACTCTGTTGCCCGGGCTGGAGTGTGGTGGCACGATCTCAGCTCAGTTCTCTGCAACCTCTGCCTCCTGGGTTCAGCTATTCTCCTGCCTCAGCCTCCCAAGTAGCTTACATTACAATCATGGGCCACCACGTCAGGCTAATTTTTGTACTTTTAGTGGAGATGGGGTTTTGCCGTGTTGGCCAGGCTGGTCTCGAACACCTGACCTCAAGTGATCCACCCACCTCGGCCTCCCGAAGTGCTGGGATTATAGGCGTGAATCACCACGCCTGGCTGGTTGAATAAATTTTCTCCGTTGTTTTGCTATTTTCTATTGCATTGATTTCTAATTTTATATGCATACATACACACTTATCCATAAATTTATATATTTTTTCCTGCTTGCTTTCAGATTATTTGTTCCTTGAAGGTTATGTAGAATTAACCAATGAAACCATCTG
The DNA here is from genome assembly GCF_000001405.40 of Homo sapiens. Lineage (NCBI taxonomy): Eukaryota > Metazoa > Chordata > Mammalia > Primates > Hominidae > Homo > Homo sapiens. The sequence continues at coordinate 1,702,428 of NC_000011.10, read as the reverse complement.
GCCTTGAAGGGTTTTTTTGTGTGGGAAGGCTTTTAACTACAAATTCTGTTTCTTGATAGAGATATTCAGGCTCCCTCTTCCTTCTTGAGTTTGGTGGTTCATGTCTTTCGAGCAATTGGTCCCTTTCCTCTTAGTTTCCAAATGTATGCGGCGTGCAGTATTCCTGCATTATCCTTTTAATGTCCGTGGGACCCGAAGTGATATCCCTTTTCTCATTCCTGATATTGGTAATTTGCATCTTCTTTCTTTTTCATCTTGCCAGTCTTGCTAAAATTTAAAAAATATGTTGATCTTTTCAAAGAACCAGCTTGACTATATTCTTTGTTTATATCTTTTTAATGGTTGTTCTAGAGTACGGGTATATTGCTTACTTTTGCACTGTGTACTTAGAATCGATATTTCACTAATTTAGGTGGAATCCAGGAATCTTCCCGCAATAGAGACCACTTGTCTCATAAATGACAAATACTCATTTTGAAAACCCCACCAGAGAATGGTGTGATTTTTGTTTACAACATCAAACACATTTTGAAGAGAATAACCCATTAGATTTACCCATATGTTCACCTAAAACTCTGAGGATAGGAAACTTTCTCTCTCAGAAGAGCCTTCGTGGTCCCAAGACAGTGGGTGAGCCCATTGTTTTAAATATTTAGCTGGTATTTTATCTCCTCATGTCCTCATTCATGGCCCTTGGTGTCTCCATGTGTCTCTGACTGCGGGTGCTGGCTCTTGCCCACGGTGGCTGCTTTCCTTGTGTGCTTGTGGTTTTCTGCTGTGAGCTCATGTTTGCCTCGGCTGTAGGTGGGGAGCTCAGGGCCTTGGCTGAGGACACAGACTTTGTCTGAAGTTTTGCTGCACTTCCTTCCACCGGGCTGCTCTGGGTCCTATCAATTCAGGACCACTTTAAGTGACTTGCTCAGCTTGTGGTTTTCTGGACCACAAAACTGATGCCAATGTGTGCCTCCCACCTGGATAATGGTGGGCCTGAAGTTGTCACTTCTCAAAGGAAATGTTTTTATCACCCATCTCAGACTCAGCAAACGTATTTCTCTGCTGTCTCCTTCTGGCAGTGGCTGGGTTGCCTTCTAGCTGCCCCCATGAGAGGGCACAGTCCCTTCCTTCTGGCAGCGGCTGGGTTGCCTTCTAGCCACCCCCATCAGAGGGCACAGTCCCTTCCGGGATCTCTGCTTTGGGCAGCAGCTCTGAGCTCCAACCACCCACTGTGCAGAACAAAGACTTGTCTTCTGCATTGCACCCTCCCACGCAGCTCTTAAAACCAAATCCTCTGAGTGCGTGTGCATGCTGCGCTGCACTCTTACAATTCAGGACCCAGCAACAGCCGCGAACGGGGCAAATTCCATGCAACACAGTGGATGAACCTCGCCAACATAGTCTGGGGCCAAAGGAGCTGGCCATGAGAGGACACGGCCTACGATGGCGTTTTATGAAGTCCAGTAACAGACAAAACTGGTGTCTGATGGGATAATTCAAGCTCATGGTTACTCTTGGTGGGGAGTGGGTAGCAATTAGAAATGGGTGCTTCTGGGGTGCCGGAATGTTCTATTTCTTGTTCTGAGGGCCAGTTCTAGGAAGGTGTTCAGCTTTTGTGGAAACTTATTGAGTTCTACATGGATACCTTGTCCACTTTTTTATAGTTTTATTTTAATACAATGTGGCAACAGCAGCGAGGGACCCTCTTCCCTGAGGGGCACCTCTATTCCACAGCTGTCACCCCAACTGACTCTTCACTCTGAAACGTGACAGAGCGTATTTCTGCTGTAAACTGTGCTGCTCCCTCCTCCAGGTGATGAAGCCTATGTGTCCCCTCTTTCCCTTTTTGCTCTGACTGCTAGGGAGCTCACATTAAAGGCTGGGCTCTCTGGTTGTCATTTTCCTGGATCTGGATGCCATGATATCGATGTCTCTTCTACCCTTTCTGGTCTTTTTTGGGTGGTTTTATTCCTGGGGAACTTTCACTCTAACATAATCCACACTTTTTGGGTGAGGCAGCCGGCATCCAAGAAAATCAGGGTAGCATCAGGCCTTGGGGACCAAGTGACATGGGCTGAGATTCTGGCTCTGTGGTTTTCACTTCCGTAACCGGGATAGAGGATGCAAAGCATTGAACTCAGAGCCTGGCAACATGATACAGACTCCGTGAGTATGAGTGCGATGATTATTTTTGAATCATAATGCATCCATGGACACACTGGAAGCACCAAATTAGACCCGAATGGAGTGGTCAGCAGGGAGACCTCCTGGCCAAGGATGGCCAGGCAGAAAGATGAGAGGCTGCTCCCCAGGGCCACCAAGTCACTGATGGCCTGGGGCTCAGGGGCTGAGGGCAGAGACAGTCAGGAAGGACTGGCAAGGCAGCCATACTGGGGCCTCAGGAAAAGGCGCCACTGACTGGCCAAGGTCCTCCCCAGGGCCTGCCCTGCACTACCTCTGCCCCCACATTTGCTGTCAGAGCCATGGTGAGACGGGGCCTGGGATAGGAGGTATCTTCCTGGTGATGTCCCTGAGTGTGGCTCCCGAGAGGAGAGCAGTCTCTGGCCAAATGTTCTGTTGTGGTTATGAGCAGCATTTGCAGTCGGACTGAGAGGTTAGAACTGCACCCATGCCACCTGCGTGTGGGGCCATGCCCAGGTGTGTGCCAGCTCTGCATCTCAGTCACAGCTGCTATGGGAGTCAAGAAAAAGGACACCCACCTTGTGGTCCCTGGAGGACTGGATAGGCTGTCTCCACCCAGGACCTGAGCTGCAGGGGAGGGTTCTGATTCCCTGTCAGCTGTGAGCACGTGGGATGCAGGAGGAGCTCAGTAAACACACATTCAGTGACGGGCCGGGAATGGGCTGACCCTGCAGGCAGATTCACTCAGGCAAGAGCTGCAGGGAAAGAGATGCAGTGGTAGGCGGTGCTTGTTATTTTGAGGTGTGTTCCTTCAGGACCTAGTTTATTCAGAGTTTCTGGCATGAAGGGATGTCAGCCAGGCACAGCGGCTCACGCCTATACTCCCAGCACTTTGGGAGAGCAAGGCGGGCGGATCACTTGAGGTCAGGAGTTTGAGACCAGCCTGGCCAACATGGTGAAACCCCGTCTCTGCTGGGCGCGGTGGCTTATGCCTGTAATCCCAGCACTTTGGGAGGCAGAGACGGGTGGATCACAAGGTCAGGAGATCGAGACCATCCTGGCTAACATGGTGAAACCCCGTCTCTATTAAAAATATAAAAAAAAATTAGCCGGGCGTGGTGGCAGGTGCCTGTAGTCCCAGCTACTCAGGAGGCTGAGGCAGGAGAATGGTGTGAACCCGGGAGGTGGAGCTTGCAGTGAGCCGAGATTGCACCACTGTACTCCAGCCTGGGCGACAGAGTGAGACTCCGTCTCAAAAAAAAAAAAAAAAGAAACCCCGTCTGTACTAAAAATACAAAAATTAGCCGGGCATGGTGGCAGAAACCTGTAATCCCAGCTACTCGGGAGGCTGAGGCAGGAGAATCACTTGAACCTGGGAGATGGAGTTTGCAGTGAGCCAAGATCACACCACTGCACTCCAGCCTGGGCAACAGAGCGAGACTCCATCTCAAAAAAATAAAAAATAAAATGAAGGGATGTTGAATTTTAACAAAAGCCTTTTCTGCCTGTATTGAGATGATCATGTGGCTTTTGTCTTTAGTTCCGTTTATGTAATGAATCACATTTATTCATTTGTGTAGGTTGAACCAACCTTGCATCATAGGGGTAAGGCCTACTTGATCGTGGTGGATAAGCTTTTTGATGTGCTGCTGGACTCATAAATCATTCTATCATAAACACACATGCACACGTTTATTACAGCCCAATTCACAACAGTAAAAACAAGGAATCAACCAAAATGCCCATCAATTGTAGACTGGATAAAGAAAATGTGGCACATATACACCATGGAATACTATGCAGCCATAACAAAGAATGAGATCGTGTTATTGGCAGGAACATGGATGGAGCTGGAGGCTATTATCCTTAGCAAACTAACTCAGGAACAGAAAACCAAATACTGGATATTCTCACTTACAAGTGGGGGTGGAATGAGGAGAGCACATGGACACACAGAGGGGAGCAACACACTGGGGCCTATCGGAGGGTGGACGGTGGGAGGAGGGAGAGGATCAGGAAAAATAACTAATGGGTACTTGGTTTAGTGATGAAATAATTTGTACAACAAACCCCCATGACACGAGTTTACCTGTGTAACAAATCTGCACATGCTCCCTGAACCTCAAATAAAAGTTTTTTTTGTTTGTTTGTTTGTTTGTTTTAAAGCCACAGTGAGAGCAAGCCTCATGGGTGGGAAATGTGTTTATTTAAAGGGTCTCAGGTCCTGCTGAACCTTAACTGAGAGAGAAGCCGCGAGAGTGGCCGTCTCCTGGGGAGGAAGGTTTGGAGCCTTTGGGGATGGGGGCAGATCTCCACTGCCTCCCCGACCTGCAGCTGCTCTAGAGAAGGAGGACAGGAGGACTGATGGACAGGGAGGGCCCTGTCGCAGCAGGACCTGGCAGGGAGCTTGTTGGAGGAGATTGCAGGGCTCTGGGAACTGGGAAGGTGTTGGGCACCAGGAGAGAGGAAGAGAGTTCTCATGAAGAATGACCAGAAAGGGAGTCAGGAAAGGCCAAGAACCTGGAGTCATCACCTTCTGCAAAATTCAGGGGACACAACTCCTGGAGCTGTGGGACAGCCAGAACTGAAATGCAGCACTGGTCACTTCTTGGGTGGTGTGGATATGCTGGACTCACCTGAGGTCCAAAGTCAGAGCCTCAGATTTTGCACTGGCAGCAAATGGGGACACAGCAGCTGGCCTGGGAACAGCAGGGCTTGCAGCAGCTGGACTGGCAGCAGGATGACCCACAGCCTGAGGAACAGTAGCAGGGCTTGCAGCAACTGCACTGGGAGCAGCCACAAGAGCCACAGCCTCCCTTGGAGCCCCCACAAGAGCCACAGCCCCCTTTGGAGCCCCCACAAGAGCCACAGCACCCCTTGGAGCCCCCACAAGAGCCACAGCTGGTGCAGGAACAGGCTGGCACACAGCAGCACACGGGCTTGCAGCAGCAGATGGGCACACAGCAGCTGGACCCACAGCCCCCACAGCCAGAGCCACAGCCCCCACAGCCGGAGCCACAGCCTCCAGAGCAGCCACAGCAGCCCATGGTTCTGGTGGATTGAGGGTGGAGCAGGTAGAGGAGCAGGTGAGAGGGAGGTGTGCAGGTATGGAGCTCCCTGAGCCTGGGCCCTTTATATCCCTGCCCAGGATCAGGTGTGATGCTGGACACACAGTCATTTCCTGGTTCCTGTTTGTGCCATTTCCTTAGGGAAACTGTGTTTGTTTGCTTAATCTTAAAATAACCTCAGTGGTGTACATAGTTTTGCACTTTTTCTTTAGTTCATGATTTCCCTCACATGTCCTCTGAAAAATGACAAGGCCCCTGTCCTTCTGTGTTAGTAAGGGCAACGGGAGCAGGGACTTGGCTTTGATGCTGCGCTCATCTTTGCTACCAGTGTTCATTTCCTGGGGCTGCCATAACAAATGGCCCCCAACGGGAGCCTTAAAGCGGACATTGGTGCCTCGCGGTTCAGGCAGACAGAAGTTCAAGATCAAGTTCTCCGTGGGCCACACACTCTCTGAAGGCTCCAGGGAAGGATCCTTTCTGCGTCTTCCAGCTTCTGGTGGTGGCCAGACATTCTTGGCTTGTGGCTGCATCCCCCGTCTCTGCCTCCATCCTCAAGTGGGCTTCTCCACTGAGTGTCTGTGTCTGACCTCCTCCCCTCCTTTCTCTTACAGGGACACCAGACATTGGATCAGGGCCCACCCTACTCCAGTACAACCTCATCTTAACTTGATTACATCTGCAAAGACCCAGTGTCCAAATAAGATCACATTCAGAGTTTCCAGGTGGACAGGAATGAGGGGGTCCTATTCAACCCACTTCTATGCTGATGCTGATGCTGACTTGACTCCGAAAGTCTCAGGGGAAGTTTACAGAAGGCACAGGGAGACCACGCATGGAGACACCCTAGAGCAGGTGACCCCATCCTGGGCTATCACCCGTGGGTAGAACAGGATGAAACCCAGGATCTCATAAGAGCCAGGATCAGGAAATACTCAGGATCAGAATAGGACTCAGGATCAGGGCAGGCTCAGGACAGGACTCAGAAACAGGGCAGGAACCAGGATCAAGACAGGACTCAGGATCAAAACAGGACTCAGGATCAGAACAGGACTCAGCATTAGGGCAGGTCTCAGGATCAGGCAGGACCCAGGATCAGGACAGGACTCAGAATCAGGGCAGGACCCAGGATCAGGGCAGGATCAGGACAGGACTCAGGATCAGGGCAGGACGCAGGATCAAGACAGCACTTTGAATCACAATAGGACTCAGGATCAGGGCAGGATCAGGACAGGACTCAGGATCGGGGCAGGTCTCAGGATCAGGACAGGACCCAGGATCAGGACAGGACTCAGGATCAGGGCAGAACCCAGGATCAGGGCAGGTCTCAGTATCAGGGCAGGACCACAGGATCAGGGCAGGAATCAGGATCAGGACAGGACCCAGGATCAGGGCAGGTCTCAGGATCAGGGCAGGACACAGGATCAGGGTAGGACCCAGGATCAGGACAGGACTCAGGGCAGGATCAGGTCAGGACCCAAGATCAAGACAGGACTCAGGATCAGGACAGGATTCAGGATCAGGACAGGTCTCAGGATACCTGGGATCCTGCTGTCTTGGTTGGAAAGAGGGGGCCTGAGTGCAGACCCAGGAATCGTGACCCTGCAGAGTCATTTCCCTGGAGCTGGATGACTCCAGGCTCAGTGGTTTAGGGCTTAGAGATGCTGTCAGTCAGCACACTGTGAGGCACCAAGGGCATAGTCCAATGAACCGGCAGAGTTGGAGAAACAAAGGAGGTGGCAGCTCAGGAGCCCCCCACCTTTGGGCTTTGCTGACAGAGGAGGACACAGGGATAGAAACTCTGAGAAAGCCAAAGCTGTGGGAGGGTCCCAGTGCCCCACCCCACACACAGGACAATGGCCGCCCACAGACCACGGGGCCTGTGGCTTGTATGCCCAGTCAGGTGACGACGCCATTCAGAAACTAGATCTCATAGGGTGCCCAGCTGCTGAATCTCAGGCCAGGTCTGCAGTGAGTGCAGTGCCCCAGGCCTGGAACACTCTGATACCATAGGGACCCAATGCTGAGTGCACCCAGGAGCTGTGGGTCTGAAACAGTGGTCAGAGGTCACCGACATGTGGAGGAGGCCCCTAGAGTGTGGGAGACAGAACCCCCAGGTGTCAGTCTTGGCCGAAGGCTTTGCAGGACTGAGCAGGTGGGGAAGAAGGGCAGGGAGCAGGGCTGCCATAGGAGAGACCTGTCCTTGGATGTGGGTCTCCAGAGCAGGGCAGGGCAGAGCACCGGCGTGGAGGTGTTTTGTGCATATGCTGGATACCTGGCAACTATGGCAGCGTGGGCTCAGGACGGGCTCCCGAATTTTCAGGGTCCAAAGCAACGTGACAGCGCAGGCCCCTTGTCCGAGCATGGCAAAGGAATTCAAGACCATCAGAGCCTCACGCTGAGCAGGGTCCTTCTCACTTGCATGGCCCCTGCATCTCCAATCCCCACTGCATCCCGTGCGCCCGGATATCTTCGGGAATTAGTGCATTCTTGTGAAACACGGGGTTTTATTTTGAGGCGCGTTTTCAATTCTGCAACGGGGGTGTGCACGGCCTTGCTCTACCGGTCACCCTCCTGCTTCAGCTCTGGGTCTGAAGGTGGCTCCACGTGGCTCCGGGGTCACTACATCCACACCCAGGGACCCCCACCTCGGCCGCTTCCAAGCTCTGCCCCGCCGTGTGCCTCGAGGACAATCGCCTGGGGACAGACCCGCCCGCCGCCCCACCAGTCGTGTGACATCAGGCAGTCCACAGCCTCCCTGGCCCTCAGTATCTTCATCTACACAACGAGAGGAGCATTGACCACTTTGCAGAGCTGCTTTGGAGGCCAGAGGTCATGAAATGAAGTTGCCGGCCTCCGCTGACCCACGGTTGTCGTTTTAGCTCTCCGCTTCCTGACCCGGGGTTCTCGGTCTCCCCTTTAGTCTCTCTTCCTCCCCAAAGCGCAGTGCCTCCTCCCCCGGGCCAGTAGGGCCCAAGGCTGCAGGGATGCGGCTGGAGGAGCGCAGCGGGAGGGGTCAGAGCTGCCCGCGGCAGAAGCGCAGATGAGCAGTCCTTGAGCGCCCCCTGGGGGCCGTGAGCTCCGAGCCTGTGGCCGAGGGCGGGGAGGCGCCTGCTGGGCTCTGCAGAGGTCACAGGCAGGGACTTGGGGGTTCCTAGGGGCCCCGGCACAGGCTGGCACGGAGGAGGAGGCATCGCCCGGCCCCCCCTCGGGGCTGTAGCTCAGAGCAGCCCTGGTGCCATGACCACCCCCCAACCCCTGGCCCAAGCGGGCAGAGCCCTCGGTGTGGGGAGACCTTCCCTTCTGCCCCTTTCTCCTGCGTGTTGACCTCACAGAACAGGAAGGGGGCCAGCAGGAACATGGCAGGGGGCGTGACAAGGGCAAGGCCCTGGGGTCGGCTCGCCTGCTCCTTGCCCTGTGCCAGCCGACCTGGGCCTCCCTGTCTCCGCCACATCCCTCGCCTGTCTCGACCACGGCCTCCGTCCCCAGGCACTGGCCCCTGGTCCCCAGGCTCTAGGTGGTGGCAACCCCTCGCTCGGGGCCACTGGGGGCAAAGAGGGGGGGCAGCTCCTGCCTCTGCTGTCTCTGGGTAGACTCCCTTTCTGTCCCCACGGTAGCAGCTCTGGTTTTCTCTGCACCTGAGTCCCTGTCCCCATCCCCCAGAAGGTTCCTGTGTCCGGGGAAGGGTCCTTCGTCCCTTGCGACTTTCTCCAAGTTGCTATATATGCACTCCGAGTCTCCTTTTCTGACCTGTAAAATTGTGATGGGAATAACAGGGCCGTCGCCATTCCTGGGGAAACGAGACTGCAGGTCCTGCGGCCCGGGCTGGCCGAGAAGCGCCACCTGGTGGCAGGAGGGCCCCGCGGGGCGGCCGGCGAGTGGGAAGCAAAGGCTCCTCGCAAGACCACTCCCCTAGCCCCGGGGTCGGCAGCTCTCCAGGGGCCATGTCCCCGGCTGGTTCGGCGCCCAGGGACAGCACCCCAGACCAACTTGCGCATTCCTTCCAATCACAATGACTTTGATGCTTTTGAAAAAACAAAAATTAAATTAAAAAATAAAATAACACATCCTTTAAGTTTTGTATCTGTGGGCTCCTCTTTCTGGGACTCAGGGCGAGTGCCTAGCCCGCCCGTGCACACCGTCAGAGCAGCGCAGCCAGACCCCAGCCTCTGCTCAGCCAGGGTCTCTAGGGAAGGTGCCTGCAACCAAGCCCTCGTTTCTAGTTTGTAATGCACGGCTTCTATTTTGTGGCATGCACTGATGCTGGTTTAGAACGGCTCCCACCCTTCCCTGTCTTCGTAGCAGGTAGTGAGTAGCTGTGACCCTCTGAGAACAGGACAGGGGCTCACCCCTCCAAGCCATCTCCTTCCTGCTCCTCAGCCCTGGAGAGTGGAAGTGGGTGCGTGGGAAAGTTGAAGGCTTCATGCTCAGGGCTGGCATGGCCAGGGGCACCGAAGGAGGTCGGGGGAGGAGGGACATTCGAGAGCCGGGCTCTCAGAACCTGGGTGTCTGTGGCTTCCTGGGGATGCAGGGATGGATGGAGTTGTGCCTGGCCAAAATCTCACCCTGCACCGTCACTCCAGCCCCTGCCCCTCCCCGGGGTGAGAGGCGGCCTCTGGCTTCCCACCTGCCCACAGGGCCTTGCCTGCCTGGGGCCCAGCAGGTGGTTCAGCTTAGCTCCATGACTAATTTCCCTCCGCCTTCACCTGAACACACAGGTGCACCCCGAATCTGCTCCCACACCCCCTCCTCCAGCAGCTTAGGGTCGAGGACCAGAACCAGTTTTCAATGCATTTAATGACCTCTGAGGAAGTCCCCTTAGAAGATTGCGGCAGCAACCGGGGATGGGAAGGGGCTGTTTCCAAATGAGGTGAACCTGGGGAGGTTGCCTGAGCCTCTGGGCCTCAGCCTCTGTTTTCTGGCAGGCAGAATGGAATGAGCATTCCCTTTTCTCCTGGGCCACTGGGAGACTTTGCCATTGTGAAGGCAAAACGCCTGGCAACAAGTGGGTCTTCTGTGACCATGGCTCTCGCCGTAGGCTTACAGCAGCAGCCGCTGCTTCCTGGGCCTCTGTCCCTCTGTGAAGGTCCCCGGTCTCTCAGACAGAATCTTCTGTCTGGGTCAGGGTCTGGCCACACTGTCCCTGAGCTCTCCTTCCAGGCATCCCAGCTGGGGGCAGAAGTGAACCCACAGAAACCCCCATCCACCCCGGACATTGAGGCTGCCCCTGGGAGCTGGCAGATCCTGAACTCTAATAAGGCCTGTCCTAGGCGTGGAGCTGGCTGGTAGCTTGAGGGTTTCAAGCCCTCTGGATCCCACCTACACAGGGATTCCCTGGAAACACCCGTCCCTCCTACTCCACACCCCAACCTGACCTCCTGAGGCAGTGGCTGCAGGGGCCCTGGGGGTTCAGCCCCAGCAGTGAGATGGGCCATGGGGCTCTGGAGCCCTGGGTCGTGTGGGGCTCAGGCCTCAGGGCAGATACCCTGGCCCTGGCCTTGGCAACAGCGCCCCTCTTGTTCCCTGGGGCATTGCTCTGCTGCTCGTCTCCTTTTTGCAGCCACCATTTATGTAGCGCCGACTATGTGCAGAGTCTGGGAAGGTGACACAGAGAAGAATAAGAAGAGGGAGTGGTCCTGCCCCAGGGGTGCGGGGCCAGCTGTGAGGCGTTGCAAAGCGCGAGGAGGGGTCCGCGGCTGGTCCGGGGGCCCATGCCTGCGCTTGGGGGACGTGCTGGACAGGGCACGTGGAACCAGGCCAGAGCTGACTTTGTTCTGGGAATGGGAAGAGTTTGTTATTTAGCTTGTTCCTTTCATCTATTTGCATTGCAGAAGTAATCCTTAAATCCAGCCCTTATCTAATCACTAGAAGAGTTACAGAGACAACCAAAGTGCTCTTTGATCCTTCCCCACATCCCAGTCATCTGGGAGCACCCAGGGAGTCACATGGGAAGGGCTGGGATCAGATCTGAGGGTCTAGCAGGGTGTGTCCCAGGGCAGAGCCCTTGCCAGGGGTGAGCAGTGTCCGGGGAGGGAAGGGCCCCAGGGACAGAGCACAGCTGGGCCCTGAGAAGCCTGGGAGGCTGAGGTGGGCAACATGGAGCTGGCTGGCTTCTGAGCAGCCCAGTACCTACCAGGCCCACCCACCCTCAGCCACTGCCAGGAAAACCTGCTCAGGCCCCACTCAGAGCCACTGTGGAAGTGGGAGCTCCACCAAACCTGAGCCCCCAAAGGTGTTTCTCCAGGATCCCCTGCCAGCCCCACCTCCCACAGCCTGAGCACAGACCCCGGGATGCCCCACAGGACCACCTGCTCCCACACAGCCCCGTCACATTCCCCACAGCCCTGTCGCACTCCCCACAGCCCTGTCACACTCCCCACAGCCCTGTTGCACTCCCCACAGACGTGTCAAAACTCCCCACAGCTCTGTCACACTCGCCACAGACCTGTTGCACTCCCCACAGCTCTGTCACACTCGCCACAGACCTGTCGCACTTCCCACAGCCCTGTCACACTCCCCACAGCCCTGTCACACTCCCCACAGCCCTGTCGCACTCCCCACATCCCTGTCACACTCCGCACAGCCCTGTCACACTCCGCACAGCCCTGTCAAAACTCCCCATGGCCCTTTCAAAACTCCCCACAGCCCTGTCGCACTCCCCACAGCCCTGTCACACTCGCCACAGACCTGTCGCACTCCCCACAGCCCTGTCCCACTCCCCACGGCCCTGTCAAACTCCCCATGGCCCTGTCACACTCCCCACGGCCCTGTCCCATTCCCCACGGCCCTGTCCCACTCCCCACGGCCTTGTCCCACTCCCCACGGCTCTGTCACACTCCCCACGGCCCTGTCAAACTCCCCAAGGCCCTGTCACACTCCCCACAGCCCTGTCACACTCCCCAAGGCCTTGTCACACTCCCCACGGCCCTGTCGCACTCCCCACATCCCGTGGCATCTGGCTGTACATGGAAGTGAGGAAGCTGCTGTCTCCCCCAAAGAACATTGCTCCCAGCCAGGGCTCAGCCCTGTGGGGCAGGACTCAGAGGCTCCTGGTTCAGAGACCAAGGCCCTTGTCACTTGCAGCGTGAACAGCAGGGAACTTTGCCCCCGAGTCCCACAACAGAGGTGGGGACCTTGTCACGGTGGGCCCAGGTGACAACACAGGGCCAGCGATTCTTCACCCGGCAGCAAACACTGCGGCAGACGACAAACATTGCAGCCCTTGGCAAACAAAAAGCACGCAGCAAACAGCGTGGTCAGCGAAAAGACCCTCCCCTCCCCGGGGATCAGACAGTGCAAGGCCATCCCCGGGATGACCTGCACCCACCCGGCTGCCTGTGTGACCAGCCACAGAACCCACTCTGCATTAGCACCCACGGCCGGGACAGGCAGGGAGCTGCGCCCGTGGCTTCCTGCATCTGCCGACACCACCCGAGGCTGCCAGGCCACAACATGAAGTCAGCTGTGCCAGGAAATCCCAAGCCTCACCCACACCTGGCCCCGGGCTGTCGCTGCATGCCAAGGGGTTGTGGGACCTCGCAGGCCTGCAGGCAGCATGGGTGGGCGCTGGGCTGGGGTCCGAGTGTGCCCCTACTCTAGGGCATGGCCGGTGGGCAGGGACAGGGGAAAGGGAAGGAGCAGGATGCCCACCTGGCTGTGGCTGTCTTACCCCATGGAATCCAGGCTCCAACTGACCTCACCATTCTGTGGGTTAATTTTCATTCTTAAAACCTTCATCTAAAGACCTTTGCTTCCTGGAATACAGGCCTGGGTTTTCCCAACAGTCGTGGGCACCCGGCCTGGCACGTGCTGCTCAGTGGAGGGACCTCACAGCCCGTTCTATGTGAGCCGTGCAGGAAAAGCTCCACGGACAAACTCACTCTCCGTGACAATCAGGAGGTTTCTTCTCCAACCACCAGAAGGAGCTGGGGGAGCTCATGAGGCCAGGAAGAGAACAGTCCTAATCCCATCCTTCCCCTCCTCAGCAGTGACCCCAGGGTCTGCTGTCCTGCCCCAACCCGCACTTCAAAGAAGGAAGGACACCTGCCTTCCCCTGCTACCTCACACCCCGAAGCATGGGGAGCATGGGGACCCTCGGCAGAGTCCTTTTGTAGTGAAGAATAACAGACTAGTGTAAAATAGCAGAAAAGAAGCTAATGGCCAAACACATCCAAGCTGGGGAAAACACCTGTTAAATATAATGACAGAATATGCTCTCATCAAAACCCAGGAAACTTTAAGAATACACTAAACCTCACAAAATGGGGGCGAAATACAATGATGACCACACGTATGAGAAATGGTCAATGGTAGAATTGAAAGAAATGCAAGGGAAATAAAAGGTAAGGGGTCCTTTCCGAGCAAAGTGGCAACGTCACAACAGCTCACAGTCAGGCTTGGCGGGACAAGAATGCTGGGCAGTGCTGGTTTGCAGGGAGGGGTCAACTTTTCTGGAAGCAGCCCAGCAAAGTGCCCCAGAGCCATCAATTATTCCTGTGCTTCGCAGCCACAGCCCACGAATGCAGGTGCAGCCACAGAAGCGCTGGCAGAGGGGAGGCTGAGAGTGGCGCTGGTTGAAGATTTCTCACAGGAAACAAAAGGCACAGCCTCCACGTGGCTCATGGCCATGAAAACCCTTGACTCAAACCATTCCACGTCGTGAGGAAGACGCGGGTCAGCTGCCCTAGTTGGGTGATGATGATGCTGTCAGGGAAAGCGTCGGTGCCTATGTGGGGAGAGTAGGGGAGTGAGAAACAAAAGCAAAGCGTGGTGGCTCTGTGGCTCCGGTGCCCCGGAGGCCATGGCTCACTTTTTCACAATGAACATGGGCTATTTTCATTTTTTAAAGTCTGCTAATGTTTCTAAGGAGACCATACAGAACCGAAAATTCTGAATAACCTTGTCTTCCATAAGGCAGACTTTTCATTTCTGTCATCTTTCCGGAAGGGCTGGACACAGAGACTGTGGGTCTGTGATGGAGGTGCCACCATCTCACCCCGAGTCCACGGCCCTCAGTCTCTGTGCTCCCCGAGCCGAAGGTGAGGAATCCATGCCTTATGGTTGGCGAGGGCTGCTGGGGCACCTGCCATCTCATCTGCATCCTGGGAAGCAGGAAGGAGCACAGAGGAAAACACAAGCCTGCTCTGGCCAGCTCAGTGTGCTCCTTCCAGAAACAGGTAAACACAAAATTACCCTGCGAAGCCGCCATTCCATTCCTAGGTCTATCCCCAAAAGAAATCAAAGCAGGGACTCAAATACTTGCACAGCCCTTACCACGACCTGGATGTAGTCAGTGCATCTGTTCCCAGCAAAACTCTTGTTGAAACGGGACCCCCAGTGTGGCAGCGTAGGGAGGTGGGGCCTGAGGGGAGGGAGACGTGTGGGTCGTGGGAGTGACTCCCTGGGGAGTCCGTGGTGCTGGGAGTGATTCTCCTCTTGTGATACAGGGTGAGTTCCCATGGGAATGGATTTGTTCCCATGAGTGGGGCTTGTTCTGAAGCCAAGACATCCCTGAGCTTTATCTCTCTTCCCGTGTCTGCTTCCCCTTTGACCTCCTCCAGCAGAAGCCAGGGCCATGCCATTGAACTTCTCAGCCAGCAGAACTGTGAGCTTGATGAATTACCCCATCACAGAGGTTCTTTTATGGCTACACAGAATGGACTCAGACACCCATGCTCACAGCCGTGCAGTCACAATAGCCCAAAGGTGGAAACAACCCAGCAGGTGAGGGGATCTGAAATGGGGTAGACAAACACATCGGGGTCTTACGGAGCCTGGAAAAGGAGTGTGCTCTGACGCCTGCAGCAACGCCACCAACCTTCACAGCCTCGTGCCGAGTGAAGCCAGCCAGTCACAATAGGACCAATGCTGTGACCCCACAGATGGAAGGCCCCCAGAGGAGTCAGATTCAAGAGGAAGATGGCAGAATGGTAGTCAGCAGGGCCAGTGACAGAGGCCGATGGGAGTGAGTGATTAGTCAGGACGGAGCTCCAGTTTCGCGCGATGAAAAGGTGCTGGAGCTGCATGGTGGCGACAGTGGCACAGCCACGTGCAGGTTCCCAATGCCACGGAACTGTGCACTTACCATGGGGATGGTGGGAACTCTCATGTACCCGCATTTGACCAGAGAGGAAGGAAGGAAGGGAGGGGGGAGGGAGGAGGGAGGGAGGTAGCAGAGAAGGAAGGAAGGAAGGGAAGGGGGAGGGAGGAGGCAAAGAAGGAGGGAAGAGGGAGGCAGGGAAGGGGGGAGGGAGGGAGCAGAGAAGGAAGGGAGGGAGGCAGGGAGGGAAGAAGGAAGGAAGGAAGTGAGGGAGGGAGGAAGGGAGAGAAGCAGGAAGGAAGGAAGGAAAGAAAGAAGGAAGGAAGGGAGGGAGGGAGGAGGAGGGAGGAGGAAGGGAGGGAAAGAGGGAGGGAGGGAAAGAGGGAGGGGGGGAGCAGAGAAGGAAGGAAGGAAGGGAAGGGGGAGGAAGGAGGCAGAGAAGGAGGGAGGAGGGAGGCAGGGAAGGAGGGGGAGGGAGGAGGGAGGGAGGGAGCAGAGAAGGAAGGGAGGGAGGCAGGGAGGGAAGAAGGAAGGAAGTGAGGGAGGGAAGAAGGAAGGAAGGAAGGAAGGACGGACCAGCCTGTTAGGCTGACTGACAGAGTACCCCCTGTCCTCCAATGCTGCCCACGGCAGGCATGTGGCAGTGGCTGACAGGGAGTGAGTCTGGAAGCGACCCTTGTCGGGGCAGCCTCCTTGGTCCTGTGATTCAGGACAGGGTGAAAGTCAGTGGCGGCCATTGGTGCCTCTGGCTGGGGTTCCTCACAGGGGCCCGCAAGGGGACAGCGAATGGAGCGTGGAGGGTGGAGGGCTCCTTCTCCGGACCGGAGCGATGGGTTCGGGAGCCATTCTGTGCCTGTCTTTGCTGCTGGGCTGAGGAGCTGGATGGCATGCTGGGAGTAGTGGGAGCTGCTGAGGAGTTTGGTCCTGGAGCGAAGAGGCTGAATCCGCATGTCTGGAGTCACCGTGGAGGGCACAGCTAGAGGGAGCAGCAGGGTGTCCCAGGGAGAAGACACCAGGGCTGGAATTAGAGGGACATCAAGGCTGATACTTAGAGGCATCCAATATATGGGGCCTGCCTGATGGGCTGCTCTCAGGTGGGATTTGGGGGGTGTGAGAGGGGTCAGTGCCCAAATGACCATGGGGTCCGTGGCCTGTATGCCCAGTCAGGTGACGACGCCATTCAGAAAGTAGATCTCATGGGGTGCCCGGCTGCTGAGTCTCAGGCCAGATCTGCAATGAGTGCGCTGCCCCAGGCGTGGAACACTCTGGTGCCATCGGGACCCAAGGCTGAGTGCACCCAGGAGCTGTGGGTCTGAAACAGCGGTCAGAGGTCACCGACATGTGAAGGAGGCCCCTGGAGTGTCAGAGGTCACCGACATGTGAAGGAGGCCCCTGGAGTGTGGGATACAGAACCCCCAGGTGTCCAGCTAGGCAGGAGGCTTTGCAGGACTGAGCAGGTGGGGAGGAAGGGCAGGGAGCGCGGCTGCCAGAGGAGAGAGGGCACTGGGGGTGGCTCGACCTGACGAGGCTGCTTGAAGGAGACACTCTTGGAAACTGACAGGGCTGCAGGCACTCCTGGGAGCAGGAGGAGGGTGGCCTGTCCTGGGCAGACCAGCCTCTCTGGGCTGTGTGGCCCCAGCTCCCTGAGCCCAGAGGGAGGTGAGGGTGAGAAGGCCTGGACCAGGCAGGACGCAGCCCCCAGGGCCCCTGCTGGGAAGAGGTCAGAACCTCCCAAGGACCCAGAAGGCCAGGTAACTGAGAACGGGGCTGCTCTCTGAATCTCCAGGGAGGACAAAGGCGGCCATGGCAGCAAGGGGACAGGGCAGAGGGGAAGGCGGGCAGGTGGATGTTGGAAGCCGCAGATTCCCATCCAGTATCCTAGAGGAGGAGACCCAGGGCTGTGTCCTAGGAGGCCCAGGAAGCCTGGTCAGCCTGGAGGCTGAGGGCGGGCCCGGGAGATCTGGTAAGGACATCAGTGTCTCCACGAAGAGCAGCAGGGTCTCAGCCCATGGCAGCCGCAGGCCCCATGACTGGGGCCGCAGCCTCCAGAGCCGCCACAGCAGCCCATTGTTCTGGGGGGTCAAAGGTGGAGGCTGTCAGAGGGGCAGTGCAGGGGGCTGCTGGGGTGAAGCCCCCTGTAGCAGCAGCACCCAGCCTGCTGTGGCTCTGCCCTCCTGGACCCCCTGTCCTCCTGGACCCCCTTCCCTCCTGGGCCCTCCTGGACCCCCTGCCCTCCTGGACCCCCTGCCCTCCAGGACCCTCTGCCCTCCTGGACCCCCTGCCCTCCTGGACCCCCTGCCCTCCAGGACCCTCTGCCCTCCGGGACCCCCTGCCCTCCAGGACCCTCTGCCCTCCGGGACCCCCTGCCCTCCAGGACCCCCTGTCCTCCTGGACCCCCTGCCCTCCTGGGCCCTCCTGGACCCTCTGCCCTCCTGGACCCCCTGCCCTCCTGGACCCCCTGCCCTCCAGGACCCCCTGTCCTCCTGGACCCCCTGCCCTCCTGGGCCCTCCTGGACCCTCTGCCCTCCTGGACCCTCTGCCCTCCTGGACCCCCTGCCCTCCTGGACCCCCTGCCCTCCAGGACCCCCTGTCCTCCTGGACCCCCTGCCCTCCTGGGCCCTCCTGGACCCCCTGCCCTCCTGGACCCCCTGTCCTCCTGGATCCTCTGCCCTCCCGGACCCTTTGCTGTCCTGGGTCCTCTGCCCTCCTGGACCCCCTGCCCTCCTGGACCCCCTGTCTGTGGCCCCTGCTCCCCTCCTCCTTCCCCGACACATGACTGGACCCCCCGATCTGCAGCCGGGGTCTGGGCACTGGGGGTCCTGTGGGCCTCTCGGTGTCTGGGGACAATCACAGGTTCCCGTGCCCACACCCAGCCTCTGCTTCCAGAACACACTAGAGGGTCCCGGCATCCTGATGAGTCCACTGTCCCCGCGATGGTTTTCAGGGATGGAGAAGGCTCCCTGTCCTCCGCTGGAACCCTGCAGCCGGGCTGACGGTACCCCCACCACCCACCCAGGGGCCCCCAGACCCTCCCCATCTCCACCGCCAACCCAGGCCCCGGCTGCGCACGCGGGGCCAGGCCGTGAGCTGCTGTCCCCGGATGGGGCCGCCCCGGGCTGGCCTGGCTCACTCCGTGTCACAGATATTCCCACAGAGACCCCAGCGAGACCTGCAGAACATTACAGCAGAATGAAGGAGAGCCAGAGGAAGAGGCAGATGTGCTGGCCTGTAAACAGTCTGATTTCCAATGTAAACCAGATTCAGGCCCACGACATCAGGTAAACATCTGCATCAGAGCCCCCGGCCCCCCACCGCCCGGGAGGCCCCGGGGTCCACACGGCCGACTCTGGGACCCGTCACAGTGACCGCCGAGACATTTCGTAATTAGGCAAAATTGATCCTTGCATTCCTTCCCTAAATCCCAAATCTCTGCAATTTTACTTCTTCTCAAAAATGAAAACATTTGGCAATTAGCTGATCCAAGTGAAAAAGGTAGAGAATGTGCTCTCAACTGGAAAATGCCAATTAAGGAAGCAGCTCTGACTTCCCACCCGCCCTGGCTAAGCTGGGAGCTTATCTTCCCCGAGAAGAATCTGCTGGGATAAGGGGGCTTGGGAAACACCGAGGGCAGGGCTGCCTCCTCACCTCCTCAGCTTCCTCTGAGAGCAGATTAGCCGTGGCCTTGTGCCAGCAGGGCCTGGGTGCCACACCGGGTGGCAGCGGGTGGCAGAGCCGGGCCCCGCTCCGGCACTGGGATTTGGGGTGGCGGGACCCAGTGGGGCACCCGCTTGTGGGCAGCACTGAGGGCGGTGACGTAGGCAGCGGGTGCCGGTGTCTGCCCCTCCATCTGGCCGGGCTCCCCACCCTGCTCCTGCAGCCCTGGACCTCAGGGCCCATTTGCGGTGCAAGGCGGCTCTTGGTCGGTCTCCACTCCTAAACATTTATGCGTTGAAAATGCCCATTTGTTTGTTTTCTTGTGTTCCATTTATGTGTTCTGTATCCTTTTTTACTTAATTTAAATAATTTTTAAATGTGAAATCGTTAAGTAACCTCAGACGCTCAAACTTTCTGTTCTCCACTCACCGAGTCCATGAGTTCTGTCTCCTTCTTCCCGTGGTTTCTGTTTGCAACAATAACGGAATACCTGCATGTCTAATTTTTTTTTTATTCAAAAGGCAGCATACAATGTATATTCTCTTTATCAAGCTCGTGATTTCTTTTAAAGATTTTATTTTGAAATCATTACAGATTCACAGGAAGTCTCAAAACTAGTACAGAGATTTCCACATGCCCCTCAACCAGTTTTCCCAACGGCTTCGTCTCCCTTAGCTGGAGTGCGTGTCTAAGCCAGGAAGCTGACCGTGCTACAGTGTGTGTATCTGGGTTTTTGCCATGTTGTAGGATGTGGGAATTTGTGTACACACCACCAGGAACAGGACACAGAGCTGTCCCACTGCCACGGCCATCTCCGGGGCTGCCTCATCCCAGAGACTCACTGCCCATGTCCCCGTTCCTTCCTCCTCACACCCTCTGGCCTTTTCCTATGGCTATAAATTTGTCATTTTGCAAATGTGATGTAAATGGAATGCGTGGGACCCTTTCAGATGAGCTCTTCACTCAGGAACATGCCCTTGAGACCATCTAAGCTGCTTCCTGTGTCAACAGTTAGTTCCTTTTTACTGATAAGTAGCCTCCCCTGGTAGGAAAGGACCTCTTTGTTTACCATTCACCTACTGAAGCTTTTGACTATTACAAATAGCGCTGCCATGAGCAATCACGTATAGGTGTTTGTGTGAACATAAATCTTTCTTTCTCTGGGACAAATGCCCAGGAGTGTGACTGCTGGGTCAAATGGTCAGAGTCTGTTTCGCTTTTTTAAGAAACTGTCAAACTCTTTTCCATGGTGGGTGCGCCATGTTACATTCCACACGCAGTGAATGTCATACCGTTTCTCCGAATCTCTGCCAGCATTTGGTCTTGTTATTATATTTTGCGTTAGCTGTTCTAATAGGTACGGAGAAATATTGGGTCATGGTCCCAGCCTGTGTTTCCCTGGGGCCACGCGGGTTGAAGGCCGTTTTGTGACTTCATCTGCCATCTCCACCTTGTCTCCATGATCCTTCTTTCATTGGATTATTTGGCCCTGTTCCGTTGAGTTTTGAGAGTTCTTCTTATATTCTAGATACGAGTCCTTTGTCAGACATGGGTTTTGCAAACATTTTCTCCCAGCCCACAGCTTATCTTTTCATCCATCCTAACAGGATCTTTCACGGCATAAAAGTTTTTAATTTCAATGAGATCTAATTCATTGATTTAAAATATATATGAATCATGCTTTTGATGTTATATCTAGGAAGTCCTTGCCAAGCCCCAGGTCCTGGACACTTTCTTCTATTCTAAAAGTGTTATTGTTTTTGATCCAATTTGAGTTAATTTCCTTTATTTTTACTTTTTTTTTTTTTTTGGGGGGGGACGGAGTCTTACTCTGTCTCCCAGGCTGGAGTTCAGTGGCGTGATCTTGGCTCACTGCGACCTCCAACCCCCAGGTTTAAATGATTCTCATGTCTCAGCCTCCCAAGTAGCTGGGATTACAGGTGCCTGCCACCACGCCTGGATAATTTTTGTTTATTAATGTATTTATTTATTTCGAGACGAGTCTCTCTCTGTTGCCCAGACTGGAGTGCAGTGGCATGATCTTGGCTCACTGCAACCTCTGCCTCCTGGGTTCAAGCGATTCTCCTGCCTCAGCCTCCCAAGTAGCTGGGATTACAGGTGCCTGCCACCACGCCCAGCTAATTTTTGTATTTTTCATAGAGACAGGGTTTCACCATGTTGGCCAGGCTGGTTTCGAACTCCCGATCTCAAGTGATCTGCCAGCCTCGGCCTCCCAAAGTGCTGGGATTACAGGCATGAGCCACTGTGCCCAGCCCCAGTTTGAGTTAATTTTCATATGAACGTGTAGGTCTACGGCCATTTTTGAACCCATGAGTCTGCTCTAGCATGGCTTGTTGGGAAAGCGGCTCTTCTGGCATTGACGGCTCTTGGTCCCTTGTGGGAGGCCAGGTGGCCGTGATCCTGGGGGTCTGCACGCCCCTTTACCTCCACTCTCTCTCTTCCCTGGGGTGACACTCTCTTTTTCAATTTTCTATTTTTTTAATTTTAATTAATTTTTTTTTTTTTAATTTTAGAGATGAGGTCTCACTATGTAGCCCAGGCAGGTCTAGAACTCTAGCCTCAAGAGATCCTCCTTCCTCAGGCTCCCAAAGTGCTAGGATTACATGCATGAGCTGCTGTGCCCACACCCACGGTGACACTCTTGATTACGGGAGCTTTTGAGTAACTCTTAACATTGAGGGGCACGATTCTTCCTTTCTTCTTCTTTTATCATTTAGCTATTCTAGTTCCTTTGCCCCTTTGTACACATTTTAGAATCAATTTATCTAATAAAAAATATTTTTGATATTTTGGTGTGTTGATTAATATGTATTCCTGGTATTTTTGATAAAAAATCTATCTAGATCAATTTAGGAAAAACTAAATTAAAATATAAAAGCACTCAATGTAATTTACTACATTAATATATTTATTGAGAAAAACTATATAGATGACACTCAAAACTATTCCCTAAAACTTAGCCCCTCTGTGAATTTTAAAGTTTTTCTTTTTCTAAACATTATTCCATAAAAAGTGTGAGAATTAATATTCATACGTTTAGTCCATTTTTCTACTGAGCTGCTATTGATTTGTATAATCAATTTGGATATCAGAGATATTAATTTTTATTGTTATATTTGTAAGAAACATTTTCTCTGAATCTGTACTATGTCATTTTTTTACTGTGATTTTCAATAAAGAAGTGTTTCCTTTTGAAACAGTGAAATCTCCCAGACACTCCGTTAACAATGCTTGTGTTTCGCGCCATGCTTTAAGGCCCCCCCAATATCGGGAATACATTCCCCACATGTCCTTCCAGGAATTTTGTACTTTTATTTTTTTGTGTGCATTTGGATTCCTCGTGGATGTGCTCCAGCTGAGATGGGACTGCCTAGCTGGGTGGTTGCTCTGTGTCTCAGCTGAGACGGAGATGGGACTGCCTTGCTGCAGGTGCGTGGTTCTGTTGTTACGTCCTCTGCAGCAGGCCCTGTCTCTTCCTGCTGGCTCAGACACCCCGTCCACGGGGTCCTGAGTTACACTGAGAAGGCTGCCAGGGCCCGGCTCCACTTCCTCCTTCAATTTATGTAATCCAGAAGCAAGGCAGTGCTGTTTTAATAACTGTAGCTTTATAGTCTGTTCTGATAGCTGTCTGGGAAATCACCACTCATTCTTCTTCCTTTATATTTTGCTTTTAAATTTTTAATGGCTATAAAAATTTAAAAAAATTATAAAGACATCCCCCCAAAATTTAATGGCTACACTTGCCTATACATTTTGATGAGAATTTTAGAGAAAACTTGGCAAGATAAAAGTAATTATTTATTTTAATTGGAATATAATTAAATCCATAGGTTGATTTTTAGAGACCTGAAGTTGTAAGTGTTCTCAATCAAGAAGCCTGTTATATCTCTCCATTTATTTACATCTTATGGGTAGGAGGCTTTTTTTTTTTTTTTTTTTGAGATGGGGTTTCACTCTCATTGCCCAGGCTGGAGTGCAATGGTGTAATCTTGGCACATTGCAACCTCCGCCTCCTGGGTTCAAGTGATTCCCCTGCCTCAGCCTCCCAAGCAGTTGGGATTATAGGCATGAGCCACCATGCCGAGCTAAGTTTTTGTATTTTTAGTAGAGACTGGGTTTCGCCATGTTGGCCAGGGTGGTTTCGAACTCTTGACCTCAAGTGACCTGGCCTCCTCAGCCTCCCAAAGTACTGGGATTACAGGTGTGAGCCACTGTGCCCGGCTGCCCATAGAATTCTATAATTTTAAAATTATAAATGGGAAATGTTGTCATGTGGTATTTTCTCTACATAGTGTCTAGAAAATCCGTTGATTTATAATGTTGTATCTTTACTCAGCTTTTGTTCTAGTTGTTTCATTTCTTCCTTTTAAATATTTTGAACTGTATTTAGTTTTTAGTGTGTCCCAATGCTATCATTCAAAACAATGTTTAATAAGACAGGTAGTAGCTGCTTCTCCTAATGTTTCTATGTGACTTTTAATATCACTTCCCGAGGGATATTCTTCAGAAGTTAGATATTAATAGCTTTTCAAGTTTTTCTTTTTTTCTAACATAAACGAATGCTGAACCATAGCAAGCTTTCGAACTTTGTTGAACTTTACCAGCTTTTGCAGCTAATACTTGAGTAGTCATAGGTTTCATCCTTTGTGAATTTCCAGAATCACATAAATAGACCCACTGCTCTTCCTGCCTCGCTAGAATAAACCATACTTGAGCTCAGTGTCTGGCACATGGCAGTTGCTCAATAGATATCTGTTGCGTAAAATGAACGAAGGGGCAAGAACATGGAGAAAACCACCTCTGTGGTTCAGGCATGAAGGGCCTGCTGCAATGGAGCTGTAGGGGCACTGAGGAAACCCTCCCTGGGGCCGGGCGTGGTGGCTCACACCTGTAATCCCAGCACTTTGGGAGGCCAAGGCGGGCAGATCACGAGGTCAGGAGTTCGAAACCAGCCTGGCCAACGTGGCAAAACCCCATCTCTAATAAAAATACAAAAAAATTAGCCCAGCGTGGTGATACACGCCTGTAGTCCCACCTACTTGGGAGGCTGAGACAGGAGGATGGCATGAACCCGGGAGGTGGAGCTTGCAGTGAGCTGAGATCACGCCACTGCACTCCATCCTGGGCGACAGAACAAAACTCTGTCTCAAAAAAAGAAAAAAGAAAATCCTCCCTGGTCCCCAGCCCCAGGCTTCAGCACCAGGTAAGGGTGAGCTTGCCTAGGAGGCCTCGCAGTCTCTGACGCCCTGAGGTAATGGCGGCCACACCTCACCCTGACCCGGCCCACCCATGGCCCAGGCTGGCACAGATCCCACATTCATACCCAGAAGAAGGGGATCCAAAGCCATCTGGGGCATAAAGGCTACCTGCCTCCGTCTCTATTATTCTCTGGACACAGTGTCTGAAATTCAATTAAAATTTATGAGATAGCAAGGAAGGAAGGTAAAATGAACCATGGCCATGTGATAAAACAATTAATAGAATCCAACTTTGAGATGACTCCAATGTTGACACTGTTGCACAGGGACTTTAAAATAACTCACAGGCCAGGTGCGGTGACTCACTCCTGCAATCCCAGCACTCTGGGAGGCCGAGGTGAGCGGATCATGAGGTCAGGAGTTCGAGACCAGCCTGGCCAACAAGGTGAAACCCCATCTCTACTAAAAATACAAAAATTAGCTGGGCATGGTGGCAGGTGCCTGTGGTCCCAGTTACTCGGGAGGCTGAGGCAGGAGAATCGCTCGAACCCGGGAGGCAGAGCTTGCAGTGAGCTGAGATTACATCACTGTACTCCAGCCTGGGTGACAGAGCTAGACTCCATCTCAAAAAAACAAATAAATAAATAAAAATAACTGTGATGGGTATGTTTAGTCAATATGCATTAACAGGTGAGGAATTTCAACAGATAAATGAAAACTGAAAAAAACTAGAACACTGTTTTTATTTATTTATTTTTGAGATGGAGTCCCACACTGTTGCCCAGGCTGGAGTGCAGTGGTGTGATCTTGGCTCACTGCAACCTCTGCCTCCCATGTTCGAGTGATTCTCCTGCCTCAGACTCCCCAGTACTGGGATTACAGGCGTGTGCCACCATGCCCAACTATGTTTTGTATTTTTAGTAGAGACGGGGTTTCACCATGTTGGTCAGGCTGGTCTTGAACTCCTGACCTCAGGTGATCCACCCACC
Source organism: Homo sapiens (assembly GCF_000001405.40). Taxonomy (NCBI): domain Eukaryota; kingdom Metazoa; phylum Chordata; class Mammalia; order Primates; family Hominidae; genus Homo; species Homo sapiens. The sequence continues at coordinate 1,677,326 of NC_000011.10, read as the reverse complement.
TTGGCCTCCCAAAGTGCTGGGATTATAGTCCCAGCTACTTTGGAGGCTGAGGCAGGAGGATCTCTTGAGCCCAGGAGTTAGAGGCTGCAGTGAGCTGTGATCGAACCACTGCACTCCTGCCTGGGCAACAGAGCGTGGCCCTGTCTCAAAAAAAACAAAAGTCAAATGGAAATAGCCTCTCCACCACCGCCCCCCCACCAACAATATCAACATTCTTATCATAGGCTAATTAACACACTGGAAAGAACTAAGGAAAGAATCCATAAACTGGGAGACAGGTGAGTAGAAGTCATCCAAAATGAACACAAAGAGAAAAAAGACAAAGAGAGAGAACTAAATCAAGCATCCAAGACCTTTAAAACACTTCAACACACTCTAGTGAATGTCCACTTATGATCCTAAGAGGAAAGAAGAAATCGTGGAAGAAAAGCTACTTGGAGAGATGGTGGCTGAGAGTCTCCCAAAGCTAGTCAAAGACAAAAAAAATCACATATTTGAGAATTTTGGAGAGCCCTAAGCAGAATAAACACAAACACTCCTGTTAGAACTAATAAAAAATCCAGCAAAGGTGCAGAGTGTAGTATCAATACACAAAAATCCACTGAATTTCTATACATTAGTAATAGACAATCTGAAAATGAAATTAAGAAAATTTTAAATAATAATAGAATAAAATACAGAAGCATATACGTAACCAAAGAAGTATAAGAGTTAAATGCTAAAACCCCCAAATCCTGCTGAGAGGAATTAAAGAAAACATGAGCAACTGGGGAGGCCGCCCGTGTTCATGGGCCAGAGGCACAATCACGTTAACATGGCAATTTGTAAATCCAATATAATCCCTGTCAAAATCCAGCAGGCATTTGTGCAAAATTTGACAAATTGATCCTAATATTTACAAATGAAAATGAAAGGAAAGCCACCGATTAGGATAAAATATTGACAAATCATATAACTGATAAAAGATTGTATCCAGAATAGAAAAAAGAGCTAAAAACTTCATGACAAAAATAACTTAAAGGACCCGGTATGGATAAAACAATTTTTTAAAAGAACAAAATTTAGTAACAAAGACAGTCTCGTATTGGTTTCACTGTAGCCACACAGATCAATGAAACAGGATCAAAAGTCCAGGAAAAAAAAAAAACGTTTTATGTAGATTGTCAATTGATTTTTGACAAAGGCAACAAACAGAACTCAGTCGGGGGACAGACAGTCTTTTCCACAAATAGTGCTGGGACATCTGGATAGCCACATGAGAAAGAAGTTTGGAACCCTATCTCATGTCCTCCACAAGAATTAACACAAAGAGGGTTACATGAAAACCGGGAACTAAAACTTGTAGAAAACATGGGAGAAAGTCAAGGAAGCTGTGGGCCAGGTGCAATTCCTTAGCCATGACATCAAAAATAAGATCGTAAAATAAAACATTGATAGGGTGAACTTCATCGAATTTTTTTCAAATGTGTGCTTCAAAAGACACTAACAAGAAATCGGAAGATAAGTCGCAGATCTGGAGGATGTATTTGCAAACCATATCACTGATGAAAGATTGAACCCAGAATGGAAAAGGAACTAAAAAATTAATGACAAAAACAGCTCCGTTAGAAACAGGCAAAACATCTGCGTAGACATCCAATTTCATAATTTGTGAGAAATGTATTTAGTACCGTACACCTCTCAGTAACAGCTGCTTCACTCTGCCCCGTCCTTCTAATGTGCAATGTTTTTATTACTTTTTAATAATTATGATTATCTCTTTAACCCCAAATTTATGGTAATAGACTATTTGGTTTCCAAACATACAATATTTGCACTATCCCTTTTGTGACTTAATTTCTAATTTTTTTTTTGCCCTGTGGTTGGAAAATATATTTCTGTATGTTGATCATTTGACTGTCAGAAAGCTGCATTGTGGCTTAATGTTTTAATCCTTTTGTAGCCTTCTTTCAGTCCACATACAATTGGCTTGCATTTTCCCTTCCTGTTATTGTCAACTATTCTGTGTCTCTCGCGGGTAACATCGTTTAACTCCATCCATACTCTTGTGTCTTTTAATTGGTAAGTTTAATTTATTCGTTCTTCTGATAACCTGTTGTATCAGGATTCAAAAGTCCTGCTGTCTTAAATCAGGTTTTCTGTTTTGCTGTAGTCCTTTTTCTTTCTTATTATTTTCATGACCATGTTCCCTTCCCAGGGCTGGTCATTTGAGGAGCTGCCAGATTAAGACCTTTGTTGTCCCAGGACAAGCTCCGTTGCAGAGGCCGCAGAGGCCACCAAGAAGAGGGCTCCGTGCGGAGAGTGCATCCTGATCCCCGGGACCAGGCCAGGTGCGAGGCGTGCCCTGGCTGAAACTCAGTGCCTTGGTATTTTTGGAACCTACTTGGGGAAGAAAAATCTGGAAACCCTGTCCTCCCAGTACTGAGCGTTTTCTGTCTCGGAAGAGGTGGTAGTTGCAGTTCACTTCGGAGCCGCCTGCTGTTTTCACTTTGGGGGACTCTGGAGTTTTAGTTGCACAAACAAGGAATTGCCTGCATGTTCCCTGGATGCAAATGTCTCAGGAGGGGAATGTGTGTGTGTGTGTGTGTGTCCTGTCGTACGTGGGTGCTCCCCCCTGCCCTCCTCTCAATCCTCATCAGTGCCTGACGAGCTCTGGGCAGCACACCGAGGGATCCAGGCTGGTGCCTTGGGGCTGAGACTCAGGAAGATCATGTCTCCTCCCTCCCACTGAGGTCTTTGCCCAGGACCTCACTTCCTAGACGAGGAGCAGCCTCTTTCCAGGACAACCCAGAGTGGAAAGGTCCTCCTTGGGACAATTACTCCAGAACTCAGGCGGTGGGTTTCACTCTGTCCAGGTGGCAGCTGCCTGTCCAGCTGATGAACACCCCACAGCGTGCAGAGGCCGTGCTATCCCGTGGCTGCTCTGCACACATGATTTCAGAAAATCCATAAAATTGATTAATCTTTCCCCTGTCTAATCACTAAAGAGAGAGACTGCACAAATTAGCAAGATTGGGAAAGAAGGAGATTCTATAAATATGTAAAAGGATGAAAGGGACTATTCAGAACATTCAGGTCAATAAATCTGACAACTCAGATGTGATGGATACATTTTTTTGAAAGACACGAATTATTAAAGTCACTAAAAAAATAGATAAACCAAAGAGCCCTGTATTTGTTAAGAAAATTAAACTTGTAGTTCAAAAACCTTCCGACAAAGGAAATGACAGGTCAAATTGTTTCACTGGTAAATTTCACCCAGCAGTCAACAAATAGAGAATCCTGACTCTGTACAACTTTTTCCAGGAAACCGAAGACCAGAGAACATTTCCTAACACATTCTACGAGGCTTATCCTGATACCAAAACCAAACAAAGATATCACAAGAGAACTACAGGCCAATACCCCTCATGAACATAGAGGCAAACATTTAGCAAACTGGATACAGTAATATGTACAATAATAATACATGATGACAACGTGGAGTTTATCCCAGTAACGCAAGATCAACTGAATATTTGAAAGATCAGTGCATTTCACCACATTCACAAGCTAAAAAAGAAAAGCCATATGATCATCTCCATAGACACAGAAAAAAATCTGATATCCGTTATGCATTTATAATAAAAACTCAAGCCAAATGAGAGCACAAGGGAATGTTCCCAGTCTGATAAAGGGGCGTCTCCGAAGCAGATGCAGCAGGCATCTTGCTTCCTAGCAGAAGATTGCCCGCTTTCCCCCAAGAGAAGGAACCAGCAGCAGTGCCTACTCAAAGCGTCTCTATTCTAGTTGGTGCAATGAGGCACGGAAAGGAAAACAAAACAAAACAAAACATAGATTGCAGAGGAAGAAGTAAGACAGGGTCATGGCCATCCCTGTAGAAAATCTAACAGAATCTTCTAGAAAGCTACTAGAACTAATGAGTGACTTAAGCAAAATAGTAGGCTATAAGATCAGTATACAAAATCAGTAGTCAGTAATAAAGGGATAATTAACCCCATTTAAAAAATGATAGACATGTCTCCAAAGAAGAGATACAAATGGCAAATAGCACAGGAAAAGGTGTGGCATGTCACTACTCATTAGGGAAGCACAAAACACACTCACAGTGAGGCATCATTCCACACTGTCTCTGGAACAGCGTCAGTGAGGCCGATAATCCGTGTTAGTGAGGACGTGGATAAGTTCGAACACTCCTATGTTGTTGGCGGGAACACAACATGATTTAATCGCCTTGGAGAACAGTTTGGCAGTTCCTCAAAATGTTAAACATAGATGTATCCTATGATTTAGCAATTCTACTCCACCCAAGAAAAATGAAAACGTGTCCACACAAAAACATGTGCACAAATGTCCACCATGGCATTGTTCTAATAGCCACATGGAGGGAGCAGCCCATGTGTCCCAGCACCAATAAATGGTTTCACAAAACGCAGACTAGCCACACAATGGGGTATTTCTCAGCTATAAAAAGAAATGAAGTTCTGGTCACCATGACGTGCATGAACCTTGAAACCTTGCGCTAAGTGAAAGAGGCCAGACACAGAAGGATGAACATAGCAGAACCCGATTTGTATTCAGCAGAGGCAAAGCCGCAGAGAGGGAGGAGAGATCAGTGGTGGCCAAGGCCAGCGGAGAAGCTCAGCGGGAGGAGTAGGGAGTGACTGCTGATGGGTATGGCTTCTTTGAGGTGATAAAAATGTTCTAGAATTACATTGTGATGGTGGTTAGAGCATGGTGACGGCTGGACAACTCTGCGAATATATGAAAAACCACCGAATTGTGTACTTGAAGTGGGTGAAGTGTGTGATATGAGTTTTATCTTCATGAGGCCACTAAAAATCAATTGCATTTCTGTATTACAGCAGAAATTGAACTCAAATGCCATTTAAAATTACAGAGAGAACATGAATCCTTACGAATAAATCTCACAAAAGATGTACGAGATATGCTAAGAGCACGGCTGGGAGAAAGTCAAGGTGAATGAAATAAATGGAGGTGCGCACCACGTTCACGGGTCAAACTCTTGATATTGACGGGATGCCACGTCTTCCCAAATGGGTTAATGAATTCAGTACCATTGCAATCAGAATCCCAGAAGCGCTTCTTTTCTCTTAAGAGAAATTCCCATGTTGATTATAAAAAATATAAGGACATGCAGAGGACCTAGAATAACCAAAAGAATCTTGAAAAAGAGAAAACAGTTGGAGGACCAAAGATCTGTGATTTCAAGACTCGCCGTGAGGCTACAGTCATGGAGACAGAAGGGGATTGGTGTCAAGAGAGACAAACGGGTCAGCAGAACAAAATATACAGTATGAGGAGGGGATTTTAAACGACGCAACCGCTTTGAAAAACAGTTTGGTGGGTTCTTAAACGGTGAGGTCCACGCTTTCCATATGACCAATTCTACACCTAGGTATTTAGCAAGAGAAATGAAAGCATTTGCCCACGAACGCTCACAGCAGCTATGGGCGAAGTCTCCCGGGTTTGCTTCTGGATAGGATGAAGGAACTTAGCAAGTCCTCTCTGTCTTTCTCTCTGTTTCTCTCTTTCTCTCTGTCTGCCTCTCTCGACAAGCCTAGCTTTCCAGCTGACTGTCTTGTTGCAAGATCCTATTTTGAATATTAAAAAATGAATGTCAGCTCTCTTATGATGATTAATTTTATGTGTCAATTTGGAAAGTGTATTTAGAGGACATTAACTTCATTTATTTATTTTTTTTGAGACGGAGTCTGGCTCTGTTCCCCAGGCTGGAGTGCAGTGGTGTGATCTCGGCTCACTGCAGCCTCCACCTCTACCTTCTGGGTTCAACCGATTCTCCTGCCTCAGCCTCCCGAGTAGCTGGTATCACAGGTGTGTGCCACCATGCCCGGCTAATTTTTTGTATTTTTAGTAGAGACGGGATTTCCCCATGTTGGCCAGGCTGGTCTCAAACTCCTGACCTCAGGTGACCCGCCTGCCTCGGCCTCCCAAAGTGTTGGGATTACAGGCATGAGCCACTGCGCCCAGCCTGAGGTTAACTTTTAAATGGATGAACTTTGGGTGAAGCATGTTGCCTTCTGTAATGTGGGTGGCCTCTTCCGATCAGTTAAAGTCTTGAATACAGCAGAAAGCCAGCCTTCCTGAGCAAGAGAGATTCTCCAGCGGACGGCCTTGGGACTTCATCCGCTCCACGGACTCTGCTGGGTCTGCAGCTGGCCAACCCACACTGCCTGCACTGCCCACACTGCCCACACTACCCACACTACCTACACTATCCACACTACCCACACCACCCACTCTATCCACACTACCCACACTACCCACACTGCCCACATTACCCACACTGCCCACACTATCCACACTACCCACACTATCCACACTACCCACACTGCCCGCACTGCCCACGTTACCCACACTGCCCACACTATCCACGCTACCCACAGTACCCACACCACCCACACTATCCACACTACCCACACTACCCACACTATCCACACTACCCACACTACCCACACTGCCCATGTTACCCACACTACCCACACCATCCACACTGCCCACACCACCCACACTACCCACACTGCCCACACTATCCACACTACCCACACTGCCCACACTACCCACACTATCCACACTACCCACACTACCCACACTATCCACACTACCCACACTACCCACACTACCCACACTATCCACACTATCCACACTACCCACACTGCCCACACTACCCACACTGCCCACACTACCCACACTATCCACATTACCCACACTACCCACACTGCCCACACTACCCACACTGCCCACACTACCCACACTGCCCACACTACCCACACTGCCCACACTGCAGATGCTGGACTTGCAGCCTCCATTACCCCATGAGTCCCCGCCTTATAATAAATCTCCTTCTCACTTTATGCACCCCCCTACCCCCAGTTCTGTTTCTCTGGAGACCCCGACTCAGCTACTGTGATCCCAGGGAAAGGGAGCCTCAGAGAAAGGAACCCTGTGTCCACCGGGCTTTCTCTCCAGGGATTTGCTGACACCTCCACTGTGCATGGCTGGGGTGAGAAGCCAGGCAGAAAACAGCTGCTTCGAGGCCAGAATTACAGGTAAAGAGTTCAGCATCCTCCCCTTTGTGGGGGAACTGTGGAGCACGAGGCCTTCCAACGAGAGGCCCTGGCGTCAGCACAGACCACGAGAGGGCTGGGCTCAGGATCAGCGCCACTGAAGGACCCTGCCTGCATGGAGGCGCGTGATCCAATGTTCTTTCCTTGCTGGCAGCAGAAAATGTTACTGGCTCCGAAGGAAGATGACAACATCCTGCCTCTTTGCTGAAGTACGTGCACAGCATCCAATGCACCCAGGACCTCTCAGGGCGCCAGACCCTGGCTCTGTGCTTCGGTTGCGTGACTCGGGCAAGCTTCTCATTTCTCCCGCCTTAGTCTCCTCTCACCTCACAGGGCTGTCATGAGGCATGCTGGGCACATGCAGCTCACAGAGAAGGGCTGGCTTCCTCCTTGCACCCTCGCTTCCCTCCTTCCTCTCTCCAGCAGGCAGGCTGATTGTGGAGATGTCTCCTGGGCAGCATGCGTCAGCAGGGATTTCATGGGGACGGTGAGAATTAGCATCCACTCTTGCGGGCGTCAAGTCACTGAAGGACAAATCCCCGGAGGCAGAGGAGGCTGTCACCCTTTCCCCAGGACTCCACATCTGTGGCTGCTGGTCCCCCAAAACCCTGAGAGTTAATAATCCATGCCTGACCTAGGGCAATGGAACGAGGTCTTATCAGGAAAAGCAGGCAGGTCCTCTGCCTTCCTAAAAATTAATGTTTTATCATCAGACTATGAACATGATAATTTTTAAATCTCGATGCTGGAGATCACAGGAAAACATTCTCTCAGGGGCAACATGGAAATCGCTGCTTTGCACAGGGTGACCCAGCCCACACTGTCAATCTGGTGAACTCCCTCACTCTACAAAGCCCACCTCAAATCCCCCCTGCTCTCTGCACAGAAAGCCGCAAATTGTTTCCTGCAATAAAGAGCCTGACTCCGTTTTTATGATGTTTGACGGCTCACTGCTTTGACACCTCACCCATCCCTCTTCCCGTGTGCCCCACAGCAGGGCAGGTGTCTTTGGTGCCAGTGAGAGGCTCAAGCCCTGCAGGCTCCTGCCCATGTGAGGCCATCACCCCACCCCCGAGGCATAAGAAGAGCCCCACGCCAGCTCCCTTCCTGAAGCCACCGTGCACCCCGTGAAAGCCCAGCTAGGTAAGTACCAGACCCTTTCATCTCGTCCCGGTGTGTGGGGGCGTCTTCAGGGTTGACGGAGGAACCACATTTGGGTGGGGTCCCTCCTCTTTTTCCAGAGTGACCACAGCACTCCACTATTTCTTCTTTTCTTTCTTATTTATTTATTTATTTATTTATTTTTTTGAGATGGAGTCTCAGTCTGTTGCCCAGGCTGGAGTTCAGTGGTGCTATCTCTACTCACTGCAGCCTCTGCCTCCTGGGCTCAAGTGATCCTCCCACGTCAGCCTCCCGAGTAGCTGGGACTACAGGCACACGCCACCACACCCGGCTAATTTCTGTGTTTTCAGTAGAGATGGGGTTTCACCATGTTGCCCAGGCTGGTCTCGAACTCCTGACCTCAAGTGATCCATCCGCCTCGGCCTCCCAAAGTGCTGGGATTACAGGCGTGAGCCGCCGCGCCCGGCCAGCACTCTCCAATTTCTGATCCAACTGCATTGTCATACAGAAATCACACCTTGATCGTGTTTACAGACTCATTTCTACGCATAGATACATGTCTCTGATTCCATGCACTGCAACGGTCATTGCATTTAAAAAAGAGGCAAACGCCAAGTCTCCCAGCGCCTTGGAAGACTCAGCCTCTGGGGGCTCCATGGTTTCTGCTTGAAAGGCCGATGGCTGCTTTGCAGAGAACCAGTCCTGAGACTCATACCTTTCTATTCCGATGAGAGAACATTTCTGCACAAGAACCTAGGTCAGGGTTCATGTGTCTGTCCCTTGCGTTCTGCAAAGGACCGGATCATAAATGGTGCAGCTCTGGGGGCCACCCGGGCCCTATGGAAGGAACTTGTCCCTGCCGTCGTGGGGGATGCAGCTGCACATGGCCTGTGGACGTGCTCCAGGAAGGCGCCTGCGGGGGTGGCTGTGAACTCCCGCTGTCCCCAGCACATTCCCTGTTGACACATCCTGGCTGGGAGATGTCTCCACAATCAGCCTGCGTGCTCCGAAGTGAGGGGGAGAGGGGAAGGAGGGAGGTGAGGGGGCAAGGAGGAAGCCATCACTTCTCTATGAGCTGCGTGTGCCCAGCAGGCCTTGTGACAGCGCTGTGAGGTCGTGCACGTGAGAAGAGACTGAGGCGGGAGAAATGAGAAATAAAAACTGAACATGAGTTCAATTCATCTTGCGTTTCCTTCAGGACAAAATGTGAATTTCATGTCAGTAGTTTGTGCAACCAAGTCCTCTTTGTCCTGTGACTTTTATTCAGGCACTGAACAGTGTAAACTGATTCACACCTTCTGGGCTGCACCACCACAGGGGCCAGCAGGCCTGGGTCCCCCCACCCACCTGGAGTGAGGGGTGCAGTTAGGCCGGCCGGGCATGGTCCCTGCAATCAAGTCTCTAGAGCGGGGGTGACGGCCACGGGGCCTGAAAAGCGGTTCCATAGTGTCTGCAGCTTCTGAGCACTGAGGGATGAGCCCACACACGCATCACAAAACAGCCACAGTGACCTGACCCACACTGTCCAGACGATGGGGCCACATAGGATTCCCACAGTGGGAGATGCTGACCTGGACAAGAGAGGGCAAGGGACAGAAGCTCCCAAGACCCAAGGTAGGGCCCTGCGGGCAAAATGGCCAAGAGCCGCCTTGCACCGCAAATGGGCCCTGAGGTCCAGGGCTGCAGGAGCAGGGTGGGGAGCCCGGCCAGATGGAGGGGCAGACACCGGCACCCGCTGCCTACGTCACCGCCCTCAGTGCCGCCCACAAGCGGGTGCCCCACTGGGTCCCGCCACCCCAAATCCCAGTACCAGAGCCGGGCCCGGCTCTGCCACCCCTGCCACCCTGTGTGGCACCCAGGCCCTGCTGGCACAAGGCCACGGCTAATCTGCTCTCAGAGGAAGCTGAGGAGGCAGCCCTGCCCTCGGTGTTTCCCAAGCCCCCTTATCCCAGCAGATTCTTCTCGGGGAAGATAAGCTCCCAGCTTAGCCAGGGCGGGTGGGAAGTCAGAGCTGCTTCCTTAATTGGCATTTTCCAGTTGAGAGCACATTCTCTACCTTTTTCACTTGGATCAGCTAATTGCCAAATGTTTTCATTTTTGAGAAGAAGTAAAATTGCAGAGATTTGGGATTTAGGGAAGGAATGCAAGGATCAATTTTGCCTAATTACGAAATGTCTCGGCGGTCACTGTGACGGGTCCCAGAGTCGGCCGTGTGGACCCCGGGGCCTCCCGGGCGGTGGGGGGCCGGGGGCTCTGATGCAGATGTTTACCTGATGTCGTGGGCCTGAATCTGGTTTACATTGGAAATCAGACTGTTTACAGGCCAGCACATCTGCCTCTTCCTCTGGCTCTCCTTCATTCTGCTGTAATGTTCTGCAGGTCTCGCTGGGGTCTCTGTGGGAATATCTGTGACACGGAGTGAGCCAGGCCAGCCCGGGGCGGCCCCATCCGGGGACAGCAGCTCACGGCCTGGCCCCGCGTGCGCAGCCGGGGCCTGGGTTGGCGGTGGAGATGGGGAGGGTCTGGGGCCCCTGGGTGGGTGGTGGGGGTACCGTCAGCCCGGCTGCAGGGTTCCAGCGGAGGACAGGGAGCCTTCTCCATCCCTGAAAACCATCGCGGGGACAGTGGACTCATCAGGATGCCGGGACCCTCTAGTGTGTTCTGGAAGCAGAGGCTGGGTGTGGGCACGGGAACCTGTGATTGTCCCCAGACACCGAGAGGTCCACAGGACCCCCAGTGCCCAGACCCCGGCTGCAGATCGGGGGGTCCAGTCATGTGTCGGGGAAGGAGGAGAGGAGCAGGGGCCACAGACAGGGGGTCCAGGAGGGCAGGGGGTCCTGGAGGGCAGGGGGTCTAGGAGGGCAGAGGGTCCAGGAGGACAGGGGGTCCAGGAGGGCAGGGGGTCCAGGAGGGCAGAGCCACAGCAGGCTGGGTGCTGCTGCTACAGGGGGCTTCACCCCAGCAGCCCCCTGCACTGCCCCTCTGACAGCCTCCACCTTTGACCCCCCAGAACAACGGGCTGCTGTGGCGGCTCTGGAGGCTGCGGCCCCAGTCATGGGGCCTGCGGCTGCCATGGGCTGAGACCCTGCTGCTCTTCGTGGAGACACTGATGTCCTTACCAGATCTCCCGGGCCCGCCCTCAGCCTCCAGGCTGACCAGGCTTCCTGGGCCTCCTAGGACACAGCCCTGGGTCTCCTCCTCTAGGATACTGGATGGGAATCTGCGGCTTCCAACATCCACCTGCCGGCCTTTCCCTCTGCCCTGTCCCCTTGCTGCCATGGCCGCCTTTGTCCTCCCTGGAGATTCAGAGAGCAGCCCCGTTCTCAGTTACCTGGCCTTCTGGGTCCTTGGGAGGTTCTGACCTCTTCCCAGCAGGGGCCCTGGGGGCTGCGTCCTGCCTGGTCCAGGCCTTCTCACCCTCACCTCCCTCTGGGCTCAGGGAGCTGGGGCCACACAGCCCAAAGAGGCTGGTCTGCCCGGGACAGGCCACCCTCCTCCTACCAGTGCCCTCCCTCCTCCGGCAGCCACGCTACCTGCCCTTCCTCCCCACCTGCAAAGCCTCCTGCCAAGCCTGACACCTGGGGATTCTGTCTCCCACACTCCAGGGGCCTCCTCCACATGTCAGTGACCTCTGACCGCTGTTTCAGACCCACAGCTCTTGGGTGCACTCAGCCTTGGGTCCCGATGGCACCAGAGTGTTCCACGCCTGGGGCAGCACACTCACTGCAGATCTGGCCTGAGACTCAGCAGCCGGGCACCCCATGAGATCTACTTTCTGAATGGCGTCGTCACCTGACTGGGCATACAGGCCACGGACCCCATGGTCATTTGGGCACTGACCCCTCTCACACCCCCCAAATCCCACCTGAGAGCAGCCCATCAGGCAGGCCCCATATATTGGATGCCTCTAAGTATCAGCCTTGATGTCCCTCTAATTCCAGCCCTGGTGTCTTCTCCCTGGGACACCCTGCTGCTCCCTCTAGCTGTGCCCTCCACGGTGACTCCAGACATGCGGATTCAGCCTCTTCGCTCCAGGACCAAACTCCTCAGCAGCTCCCACTACTCCCAGCATGCCATCCAGCTCCTCAGCCCAGCAGCAAAGACAGGCACAGAATGGCTCCCGAACCCATCGCTCCGGTCTGGAGAAGGAGCCCTCCACCCTCCACGCTCCATTCGCTGTCCCCTTGCGGGCCCCTGTGAGGAACCCCGGCCAGAGGCACCAATGGCCGCCACTGACTTTCACCCTGTCTTGAATCACAGGACCAAGGAGGCTGCCCCGACAAGGGTCGCTTCCAGACTCACTCCCTGTCAGCCACTGCCACATGCCTGCCGTGGGCAGCATTGGAGGACAGGGGGTACTCTGTCAGTCAGCCTAACAGGCTGGTCCGTCCTTCCTTCCTTCTTCCCTCCCTCCATCCCTCTCTCCCTTCCTCCCTCCCTCACTTCCTTCCTTCTTCCCTCCCTGCCTCCTCCCTCCTCCCTCCCCCTTCCCTTCCTTCCTTCCTTCTCTGCTACCTCCCTCCCTCCTCCCTCCCCCCTCCCTTCCTTCCTTCCTCTCTGGTCAAATGCGGGTACATGAGAGTTCCCACCATCCCCATGGTAAGTGCACAGTTCCGTGGCATTGGGAACCTGCACGTGGCTGTGCCACTGTCGCCACCATGCAGCTCCAGCACCTTTTCATCGCGCGAAACTGGAGCTCCGTCCTGACTAATCACTCACTCCCATCGGCCTCTGTCACTGGCCCTGCTGACTGCCATTCTGCCATCTTCCTCTTGAATCTGACTCCTCTGGGGGCCTTCCATCTGTGGGGTCACAGCATTGGTCCTATTGTGACTGGCTGGCTTCACTCGGCACGAGGCTGTGAAGGTTGGTGGCGTTGCTGCAGGCGTCAGAGCACACTCCTTTTCCAGGCTCCGTAAGACCCCGATGTGTTTGTCTACCCCATTTCAGATCCCCTCACCTGCTGGGTTGTTTCCACCTTTGGGCTATTGTGACTGCACGGCTGTGAGCATGGGTGTCTGAGTCCATTCTGTGTAGCCATAAAAGAACCTCTGTGATGGGGTAATTCATCAAGCTCACAGTTCTGCTGGCTGAGAAGTTCAATGGCATGGCCCTGGCTTCTGCTGGAGGAGGTCAAAGGGGAAGCAGACACGGGAAGAGAGATAAAGCTCAGGGATGTCTTGGCTTCAGAACAAGCCCCACTCATGGGAACAAATCCATTCCCATGGGAACTCACCCTGTATCACAAGAGGAGAATCACTCCCAGCACCACGGACTCCCCAGGGAGTCACTCCCACGACCCACACGTCTCCCTCCCCTCAGGCCCCACCTCCCTACGCTGCCACACTGGGGGTCCCGTTTCAACAAGAGTTTTGCTGGGAACAGATGCACTGACTACATCCAGGTCGTGGCAAGGGCTGTGCAAGTATTTGAGTCCCTGCTTTGATTTCTTTTGGGGATAGACCTAGGAATGGAATGGCGGCTTCGCAGGGTAATTTTGTGTTTACCTGTTTCTGGAAGGAGCACACTGAGCTGGCCAGAGCAGGCTTGTGTTTTCCTCTGTGCTCCTTCCTGCTTCCCAGGATGCAGATGAGATGGCAGGTGCCCCAGCAGCCCTCGCCAACCATAAGGCATGGATTCCTCACCTTCGGCTCGGGGAGCACAGAGACTGAGGGCCGTGGACTCGGGGTGAGATGGTGGCGCCTCCATCACAGACCCACAGACTCTGTGTCCAGCCCTTCCGGAAAGGTGACAGAAATGAAAAGTCTGCCTTATGGAAGACAAGGTTATTCAGAATTTTCGGTTCTGTATGGTCTCCTTAGAAACATTAGTAGACTTTAAAAAATGAAAATAGCCCATGTTCATTGTGAAAAAGTGAGCCGTGGCCTCCGGGGCACTGGAGCCACAGAGCCACCACGCTTTGCTTTGTTTCTCACTCCCCTACTCTCCCCACATAGGCACAGACGCTTTCCCTGACAGCATCATCATCACCCAACTAGGGCAGCTGACCCGCGTCTTCCTCACGACGTGGAAAGTTTTGAGTCAAGGGTTTTCATGGCCATGAGCCACGTGGAGGCTGTGCCTTTTGTTTCCTGTGAGAAATCTTCAACCAGCGCCACTCTCAGCCTCCCCTCTGCCAGCGCTTCTGTGGCTGCACCTGCATTCGTGGGCTGTGGCTGCGAAGCACAGGAATAATTGATGGCTCGTGGGGCACTTTGCTGGGCTGCTTCCAGAAAAGTTGACCCCTCCCTGCAAACCAGCACTGCCCAGCATTCTTGTCCCGCCAAGACTGACTGCGAGCTGTTGTGGCGTTGCCACTTTGCTTGGAAAGGACCCCTTATCTTTCATTTCCCTTGCATTTCTTTCAATTCTACCATTGACCATTTCTCATACGTGTGGTCATCATTGTATTTCGCCCCCATTTTGTGAGGTTTAGTGTATTCTTAAAGTTTCCTGGGTTTTGATGAGAGCATATTCTGTCATTATATTTAACAGGTGTTTTCCCCAGCTTGGATGTGTTTGGCCATTAGCTTCTTTTCTGCTATTTTACACTAGTCTGTTATTCTTCACTACAAAAGGACTCTGCCAAGGGTCCCCATGCTCCCCATGCTTCGGGGTGTGAGGTAGCAGGGGAAGGCAGGTGTCCTTCCTTCTTTGAAGTGTGGGTTGGGGCAGGACAGCAGACCCTGGGGTCACTGCTGAGGAGGGGAAGGATGGGATTAGGACTGTTCTCTTCCTGGCCTCACGAGCTCCCCCAGCTCCTTCTTGTGGTTGGAGAAGAAACCTCCTGATTGTCACGGAGAGTGAGTTTGTCCGTGGAGCTTTTCCTGCACAGCTCACATAGAACGGGCTGTGAGGTCCCTCCACTGAGCAGCACGTGCCAGGCCGGGTGCCCACGACTGTTGGGAAAACCCAGGCCTGTGTTCCAGGAAGCAAAGGTCTTTAGATGAAGGTTTTAAGAATGAAAATTAACCCACAGAATGGTGAGGTCAGTTGGAGCCTGGATTCCATGGGGTAAGGCAGCCACAGCCAGGTGGGCAACCCCTTGGCATGCAGCAACAGCCCGGGGCCAGGTGTGGGCGAGGCTTGGGATTTCCTGGCACAGCTGACTTCATGTTGTGGCCTGGCAGCCTCGGGTGGTGTCGGCAGATGCAGGAAGCCACGGGCGCAGCACCCTGCCTGTCCTGGCCGTGGGTGCTAATGCAGAGTGGGTTCTGTGGCTGGTCACACAGGCAGCCGGGTGGGTGCAGGTCATCCCGGGGATGGCCTTGCACTGTCTGATCCCCGGGGAGGGGAGGGTCTTTTCGCTGACCACGCTGTTTGCTGCGTGCTTTTTGTTTGCCAAGGGCTGCAATGTTTGTCGTCTGCTGCAGTGTTTGCTGCCGGGTGAAGAATCGCTGGCCCTGTGTTGTCACACCTGGGCCCACCGTGACAAGGTCCCCACCTCTGTTGTGGGACTCGGGGGCAAAGTTCCCTGCTGTTCACGCTGCAAGTGACAAGGGCCCTGGTCTCTGAACCAGGAGCCTCTGAGTCCTGCCCCACAGGGCTGAGCCCTGGCTGGGAGCAATGTTCTTTGGGGGAGACAGCAGCTTCCTCACTTCCATGTACAGCCAGATGCCACGGGATGTGGGGAGTGCGACAGGGCTGTAGGGAGTGGGACAGGGCCGTGGGGAGTGTGACAGGGCCGTGGGGAGTGTGACAGGGCCTTGGGGAGTTTGACAGGGCCGTGGGGAGTGGGACAGGGCCGTGGGGAGTGTGACAGGGCCGTGGGGAGTGTGACAGGGCCGTGGGGAGTGGGACAGGGCCGTGGAGAGTGGGACAGGGCCGTGGGGAGTATGACAGGGCCGTGGGGAGTGGGACAGGGCCGTGGGGAGTGGGACAGGGCCGTGGGGAGTGGGACAGGGCCGTGGGGAGTGGGACAGGGCCGTGGGGAGTGTGACAGGGCCGTGGGGAGTGGGACAGGGCCGTGGGGAGTGTGACAGGGCCGTGGGGAGTGGGACAGGGCCGTGGGGAGTGGGACAGGGCCGTGGGGAGTGTGACAGGGCCGTGGGGAGTGGGACAGGGCCGTGGGGAGTGCGACAGGGCTGTGGGGAGTGCAACAGGGCAGTGGAGAGTTTGACAGGGCCGTGGGGAGTATGACAGGGCCGTGGGGAGTTTGACAGGGCCGTGGGGAGTATGACAGGGCCGTGGGGAGTGGGACAGGGCCGTGGAGAGTGGGACAGGGCCATGGGGAGTATGTTTATTGGTACCCATGAGACAGTCATAGACTGACATTCAGCTTCTAAGCAGGGTAGGGTCTCCAGCCTGACACACGTCTTCGTGGTCACCCAAGCCCCCGAAGGCAGTGTTCTGTGCTCATCATCCCTCTGCGCCTGTGGTGACCCGCACAGCTCACCCCGTCCAGCTTAACGCCCTCTCTCCTCTCACCTGCTGCCCCTACCCTCCCGGCTGTCCCCTGTGTAGGCTTCGCAGCTTCTCCGCGTCCATCAGCTCTGAGGCTCCTGGAGGCCTTCTCTCTTCTCCTTCTCCCCCTCCTCCTCTCCTTCCCCTCTCCCAATCTCCCGCTCTCCCAGTCTCTTTACACAACATCTGTGCACCAGAAATTTTAAATATGATCCTGCAGTCCCTAACTGTGCCCAAGGGGCAGTCTCATCATGGGCTGTGTTCTGCACACCTCCTGGCCGTGTCACAGGCGTCTGATCTCGGCATACGTATGATGCACCTTCTGATTCGACCCACAGCCTTTACCCTTCTGATTGCTGGTGCCACGCCCCATTGTGAGAAGTCAGGAGTCACATCAGAAACTTGCTTTTCCTCAGCGGCACCTCCTGCTCGTGACGGGCCCTGTTCCTTTCCCCTCAGAGACGTACCTGGGATCCATCCTGGCCTCTCAGTCAGGGCCGACTTCCCCACCCCAGTGTTTGCTACCATGATTGTGACCTGTTCTAAGCTGAGTTTCTGCAGCTTTGCCGGTCACATGCATTCTTTCCTCCCCAAGACAACCCCTCATCACACAGCAGAGACAGTGGTCACTGAGAACATGGTCTGCCTCCCATCTCTCCCCTTTGTGGGCACCTCAGTGGCCTCCTGCTGCGCTCCGAACAAAAGCAAGAGACCCTGCTGAACCTGGGATGGGTTGGTAGAAGATGGGCTCCCCACGGGACCCGGGCGGGGGACAGCCCCCTCAGCCTCACGGCTTCCCAGACAGAGCGAAGGTGTCCTTCCAGTCTCTCCACATGTCATCTTAAATAAAGTTAGTTAATTCCATGCCTGTGGTTCTGAACCTCCTTTGTCTAATTGCTTCTGGTAATTCCATCCTCCAGCCGCCGCGGCAGGGGAACATTAAGTGGGGCTACCAGGTTTTGTGGGTGTTGTTTTTGTCCTGGGTGCCAGTCCGCGCATGAACAATGTCCTTATCTGATGGGAAGGGGCTGCTGCAGCCACAAGCACAGGCCCCCGCCCCGCAGACAACGCGGCTTCCTTTTCCTGACTACACTCGACCGGAACACACCAAACACCAGACACCTGCTCTCCGTTTGTGAAATGCTCAGCTCTTCTTTTCTATTTCTTTAATTTATGTTTTTTGGGTTTTTGTGGTTGTTGTTGTTTTTGAGACGGAGTCTCGCTCTGTCGCCCAGGCTGGAGTGCAGTGGCGCGATCTCGGCTCACTGCAAGCTCCACCTCCCGGGTTCACACCATCCTCCTGCTTCAGCCTCCTGAGTTGCTGGGAATACAGGCGCCCGCCACCACGCCCGGCTAATTTTTTGTATTTTTAGTAGAGACAGCGTTTCACTGTGTTCTCCAGGATGGTCTCAATCTCCCAACCTTGTGATCCACACACCTCGGCCTCCCAAAGTGCTGGGATTACAGGTGTGAGCCACCGAGTCTGGCCTAATTTATGTTTTTATCTTTACCAACTTCTTTCTTTAAAAAAAGTATGGTTAGAAATTTTGGTTTTCATTTTTCTAGACATTATTTTTACCTAAAAGAAAGGCCCACAATAGGCATGCATCTTTTTCAACTTTATTTATTTTATTTTCTTCAATGGATTACTTCCTTTAATTATAAAAGGAATACCCGACCATTCTTACTGGGTAAACAATAGGGGGTACAAAAATTAAAAGCGAAAAACTTCCCCCAACCCCTTCTCGTCCTGATCCTTCCGCTGTCAGTGTGAACACCTCTTAGTGTCTGTTTCACCCACTGTCTGTGCTCATGCTCATAAACCTGCAGATTTCTTTCTTATTTTTTTTTCTTTTTTTTTTGAGGCGGAGTCTTGCTCTGTCACCCAGGCTGGAGTGCAGTGGCACGATCTCAGCTCACTGCAACCTCCGCCTCCCGGGTTCACGCCATTCTCCTGCCTCAGCCTCCCGAGTAGCTGGGACTACAGGTGCCCGCCACCACACCTGGCTAATTTTTTGGATTTTTAGTAGAGACGGGGTTTCACCGTATTAGCCAGGATGGTCTCGATCTCCTGACCTCGTGATCCGCCCACCTCGGCCTCCCAAAGTGCTGGGATTACAGGCTTGAGCCACCGCGCCCAGCCTAACATGGGACGGTTGTAACATCAATATGTATATGCACCTCCTTTTTTCCATCAGCTTCCACGGTTACGTTGGATCGTCGTGAATTCGGCGGTCACCTGTTGATGGAGATCTCAGCATTTCACGTCGTGTGTTTGGCATCGTTTTGTTGTTTCTGTGACACTGAAGGCAGTGCCAGTGCCCTTGTTCATGCACCTTGTGGTGACAGGGCGCAATTCAGACTAAGGCCCAAAACAAGATGGAAGAGCCACAGGGTATTTACATTCTGAACTTAAAAGATGAAGACAAAATCTTTGTAGAAATATGGGCTGGGTGCCGTGACTGATGCCTGGAATCCCAGCACTTTGGGAGGCCGAGGTGGGTGGATCACGAGGTCGGGAGTTCGAGACCAGCCTGGCCAACATGATGAACTCTTGTCTCCACTAAAAATGCAAAAATTAGCCAGGCATGGTGGCGGGCGCCTGTAATCCCAGCTACTTCGGAGGCTGGGACAGGAGAATTGCTTGAACCCGGGAGGTGGAGGCTGCAGTGAGCCGAGATGGCACCACCGCACTCTAGCCTGGGCAACACAGTGAGACTCCGTCTCAAAAAAAAGAAAAGAAATATGGGCAAATAATACACACAGGAAACTTATATCTTACAGGAAACACTCATGGCCAATGTGCATGCAAGAAAGTTAGCAGCCATCACACAAATGCAAAGAAAAACAAAAATGAGGGGCAGTTTCTTCAGGGCTGGTGAGGGGCGGGGAAGGGCGCCACCAGTCACAGCCGCTAGGGCGACCCACTCACTCCCGGAGACTGCCTTTTTAAAATGATTCTTAGCATTGAAAGCCCTGCATCCCTGGAAATCTCTCATACTTGGGCAGACCGGGCCACTCAAGTGGCTGAGGAACATTCAAACCTTTCTGTTTTGTTTTGAGATGGAGTCTCGCTCTGTCGCCCAGGCTGGATTACAGTGGTGCAATCTCGGCTCACTGCAACCTCCATCTCCTGGGTTCAAGCGATTCTCCTGCCTCAGCCTCCCAAGAAGCTGGGAGTACAGGCATGAGCCATCACACCCGGCTAATTTTGTTTTTGTTTTTTTTTTGTTTTTTTTGGGGGGGGTCTTTAGTAGAAACGGAGTTTCACTATATTGGCCAGGCTGGTCTTGAACTCCTGATCTCAAGTGATTTGCCTGCCTCAGCCTCTCAAGCGCTGGGATTACAGGTGTGAGCCACTGTTCCCGGCCCTATTCAAACCTTTCTCAAGGCATATGTCAGCAACAAGCCCAGACCCCAGCAGCACTCACCTCACCAGCAGGACACCCCACTCAGGCAGGCTGCAATTTTCTTCCTTTCTTTCCTTTCTTTTTTCTTTCTTTCTTTCTTTCCTTCTTTTCTTTTTTTTTTTTTTTTTGAGATGGAGTCTCGCTCTGTCACCCAGGCTGGAGTGCAGTGGCACCATCTCGGCTCACTGCAACCTCCTCCTCCCGGGTTCAAGTGATTCTCCTGCCTCAGCCTCCCAAGCAGTTGGGACTACAGACAATTGCCACCATGGCCAGATAATTTTGTGTTTCTGATAGAGATGGGGTTTCACCATGTTGGCCAGGCTGGTCTCTAACTCCTGACTTCAGGTGATCTGCCCACCTCAACCTCCCAAAGTGCTGGGATTCCATATGTGAGCCACCATGCCCGGCCAGGCTGCAATTTCCCTACATGGCCTGTGTTATTCTGTGATCCTCCTGCGGTGGCTAGAACCAAAATAAATGATGGGGGTGACGGGGACCACGTTAGTTCTCATTCGAATGACAGTGGTTTGCATTTCATATGTTAAGGTCGTGTTCACCACTGGCTCCTGAGAAGCACGATTCCTCATGTTTGAGCAGTTTCCTCCCATCTCTCTTTGGCTTTGGGTTTTGCCATGAGTGGCTTTGGAGTTTTGTCAAGGGCATCTTGGGCACCTATAGAGAAGGTTTGCTATTTTATTTGGTTTTCTGGCAGCTGATCATCTTTCCGGCTAGCACCCTTGTTTCTTTGGGGGAAAACACTTCATGTGTATAGTTTTTGTTACATGAGTATTTTCCTTCCACCACTAAAGGCGAAGAAGCACAGTCCCCCGGCCCCCAGCAGCAGAAGGCAGGTGAGCACGGCAGCCAGCCCCACTTGACAGCCAGCCCTGCTCAGCGTCCCGGATGTGCAGGAGACTGGGACCCTGAACAAGGCTGCTGCCAGGGCAGCATCTGAGTGGGTGCCAGGCATGCTCCTGGCTTCCCCAGACAGCTGTGGTCTTTTACTGGTATAACTCTGCCTAAATCATCCAGGGCCTGTGGACGCTGACCCATGGGGTTGAAGGACACTGCGGCCCCCTCCCAGTCAGAGTGGAAGTGTGTGGAGAGCAGACGACTGCCTGGATTTCAATGCAAACCGCTCAGGGCAGAACTTGCATGGACTCTACAGCTGGCCTGCAGCTGTCCCCTCGGGCACTGGACAAAGTGTCTGCACGAATGTCCTCAGTGACCACAAACCTCTGTGTTGGCTGCATGGACCCACAGCTAGAAGCGGCGAGGTGGGTCCTGCAGCTGTCAGTCCATCCCCGACAGGCGCGTGAGAAATGGCACCTCTTCCAGACTCCCAGGAACCATTCTACACCAGGGACTGGGGGTCCAGAGGCTTCCGTCCCACCCATTGCAGCCCCCCAGGTCTAACAGCACAGATCGCCCACACCTGGGTATAGGAATGACAATAGTGGAGTTGGATCAGGACTCCAGCAGCTACCGCTCCGGGACAGTTGGCTTGCTGGAGCAAATCATTGCGGTGTCTGGTGTCTGCCGGGGGGCTGAGATCTGGGCTGTGTTTGTCCCTATCCAAACAGACAGAACATTAGAATGAGGTTGTCTTTACTGCGTATCCCTGATGTTCGGGAGCCTGTGTGGGCGAGCCGTCACCTCCTGGCACTGCCTCAAGGCGGCACCACCTTGCAGGGTGCCCTGCTGGTCCAGCATGCGGGAGCCCTGGCACCCATCAACCCCAGAATGAGGCACAGCGGGCAGCTGGGGATAGAGCCCGTGGCATCCCAGAGGGTGCTGCCCAGGCATGTCCTGGCACTCTTCTACCTGGATGCCCATGCCACTCAGAGAGGGGCACCATGACTGGCTGTCCTGCTCGAGGAAGGAGGTACCCCAGCAGCACCTCATTCTGTGGTTGGGACGCATTTCCCTGGGATCCAAGGGGCTGTCAGCCCTGGGGGAGGCCCAGGTGAAGGAGCCCACTCGTGGGCCCGGCCCGCAGTGCCCCCACTGTCCCTGGAGGCCCCCTGTGCTCCAGGTGGCCCGGCAGGCTCACGCTCCACAGGGAGCTTCAGGAAGCCCCAGGAGATGAGTATGCAGGGCCCAGGGCCTTGGAGCACAGCCAGGCCTTCTCCATCCACTGAGGAACACTTCTTCCTTTGACTACAAACAATCCCTACTTTCTCCTAAATTTCTGTGGGAAAATAAACTCTTGAGTACGTGACACCAAGTGGCATGAGGCCCCACAGGGTGCACCAGACCCGAAGCCGCGGGTTCCAGGGGGCTCCTGATGCAGGAGGAATGTGACAGTGGAGAAGGCGTGTGCTCCTCAAGGAAGAAGGGGACGGGAATGGGAACAGAGGCACACGCAGGCCACAGCCCCCTACCCCCTGCCCAGCCTCAGGCCTGTCTGTGGACAGCTGCATCCGCCCGGATAACCCAGGCCCTGCTGCGGTCACAGGGAGCCCTGAAATCACAAGGCTGTTATCTTAGTTTATGTTTCCTCAAAAACAGACACTGAGCCAAAGGCTGGAGGGCAAAGCTCACGGGTTGGGGGCGGATTCGGGGAAGCGCAGGGAAGAGGGAGGAGGAGGCCAAGGAGGCCTCAGTGCAGGAACAGCTGCTGGGGACCCTCTGCAAGGCTGCAGGGGACGCCATGGTGTCCTCTGAGTTATTTCTCTTTCATTAGTACAGATTGCCCCTAGAAGGGCATTAGCCTCCCTGACTCCAGCCTTCCCCACAGGCTGGACTCCATGCTGGTGTCCACAGGTGACCTCGAGGTGGGCGAAGATGTGCACACAGGGCCCAGCTGTGTCTGCTGCAGTCGGCTTGTGCGTATCACAAGCTGACGCGACATGAAGCCCTTCAGAGTCCCCTCAAGTAAAGGCTTGGGGAAGTGAGCTCCCACCGACACATGGGCGGCCATTGCTGCATCCTTCATTCCCCATCATACAGATAAGAGAGACAGGGTGGTAGGGGTGGGGGAGAGAAAGGGGAGAGAAAGGGAGAGAGCGGGGGAAAGAAGGAAGAGAGAGAGCAAGAGACAGAGAAAGACGGAGAGAGAAGGGAGAGAGAGCAAGAGAGAGGGGGAAGAGAAGCAGAGACAGAGATGGAGACAGAGACGGAAACAGAGGCAGAGACAGAGATGGAGATGGAGACAGAGACAGAGATGGACTCAGAGAGATAGACAGAGAGTGAGGATGATGAATAGCGAACAGCTGCCAGGTGAGGTTTTGCAGAATACATGCAACAGGCAGGCTCTAAATGGCTGAAAGTCTGCTTGTTTGGGGCTATTTTTAAAACAATTGAATGTATAAAAATCTGAGTTTGGTGCCAGTGGGCTCTTGAACTAATGAGCTCAGCCTGCAGGGAAGAAATAAGTGACCCAAGGGCCAGTCCCCAGAGGCCATCTCTGGCTCGTTTAGGTAACGACCACTCGTCCTTGCCCTCAGCATTCAGGTGGGCCTGGCCCACACTGGGTGAGAAGCAGGGGCCACCGGAAGAGATGGGCGGCCTCCTTGGAGGCTGAAATCATCCCCAGGCCCATCTGGGCTCCGTGGGCCTCTGGACACACAGGCACACATGGGTGCTACAGCCAGGGACAGTGGTATGGACAGCAAGTCTGCGCCCCGGTGGTGGCAGAAAATCATTTCCTTTATTTGATTCTCATTCACTGACTTCTTTTCTTTGGTCATGGGAAAGCCCAAAGCCCTGAGTTGACTGGATTCTCTGAGCAGAAGTGGACGCCGGCATCCAAGCTGGGTGTTGTCTGGAGTCCCCCGTTTCCCCAACTCAGGCTCCCAGGCCTCAGGGTTAACACAAAGCAAGGAGCCCAGCAGGGAAGGGCTGTCCCAGGCCACGAGGGTACCCAGTGCATGTTCGGATGCTTCCACTACGCCCTTCAGGGGCAGGCGGGAGCACACGGGCCCAGAGAATCCTCATAAGACTGTTCAGACCAGGCCAGGCTCGCCTGCCTCTGCACCCAGGGCGTGCAGGCTGGCAGCCAGGAGGCCCAGGTCAGGCGGTGGCCACCCGCCCGGGTCGCCCAGCATTGGAGGGAAGGGACAGCCACGGTGCACCCCGACCCGCGGTCTGCCTGTGTGCTTCAGGGGACAAGGAGGCCTTGGAGGGCCGTTTCCGAGACCAGGCTGCAGGTCCTTCACCCTGAATGCCAGGGATGAGCTCACAGGAAGAGAGCTGGGTCTTCCCTGGGCTCCCTGCTTTAAAGGGCACCCCCAGGCACCTGCCAAAGGAGAGCTTTATCCCTCCAGGGAAAACCAAGTTGCACCCCCGGAAAGCACGCCGCCCCCTCCTGCAGCTCCCTCCACCCGGCTGGCCCTCCAGGGCTTCCGCGCAGCCCGGCCCGGTTCTCCAGCGCGGAGCCGCGTTCCTTTTGCTATGCAACAGTGCCACCTGGTGGCCAGCCCGCGCAACAGCCTCCTGGAAAGGGAGCTCTGGAACCAAGGCCCCTGCGTGGAATTTTGATTTTTTTTAAAAAAATGACTGAGCCATTAAAGGTGCCCACGTTGAATTCAACAGTGAAGAGTGACGTTCCTGACGCCGCGCTTTGGAAAGCAGCTCAGGGGCGCTGATGCCGGCAGAAACGTGGCCAGCGCGGTTCCTGAGTGGGAAAGGCTAACCCCACTGCCAGGCCCACGGCTTTGCCAAGCGACACGTGGCGGTTTATGCAGAAGGAAGGTTCATGGAATATGAGCGGTTTGTCTCTGGTTTTTCCTTTAGAGTCTGTGCGCATATAATTTTTTAAACAGCCCACAGAGTGCACGCTTTGGGCGGTGATTGTCCAAGATTCGGTTAAAGTGACAAAAACGACAAAGTCCTTCCTCATCTCAAGGTCCAGACGGGGGCAGGCGGGGGATCCTGAATGTTCCCTGTCACTTCTCGCTAGGCGTCGGTTCTTTCTCGATGGCCAACGTGGGTCTCTGCTGCCAGGGTGAGGAGGAGGGTCACTCCAGCCTGGGCATCCGTTAGTTGGTGCCTGGCGGGGTTTCCGTCTCGATCTCATGTAGTTCAGGCCTGCGACTCCACGCACACCTTTCAAAGGCAGCAGAGACAAGCAGCGTCTGATGCCTCCGGGGGCATGCGGTGGCAAAGCCAGTGAGCCTGCATTCATCAGGGTCGGCTCCAGTGGACGGGGTGTGCTGTCCCATGCCTGGGGGAGCCCAGGCTCCAAGGTGGCTTCAGAGAGGTACTCAGGAGGGTGACGCTTTGGTGTGAATGCATCCCATCCGAAATTCCTGCAATGAAATGTAACAGGCCGGGCCTTTGGGAGGGGAGTAGGCGGTGAGGAAGGCCTCCTCTCATGCGAATGGGATTAAGACTCCTCTGAAAAAGGCTCCATGCAGCATTAGCAATGTCCCAGCTTCTGGCTCCTAAACTTCTCCTTACACAGAGCACTTGAACATGGACATAATTCAGCCAAGATCTTTGCCATTTTGCAACAAGGTCGGTCTTTCCTCTAGCGTCCAGTAAGATATTCCTCACTTCTGGCTGGGTGGGGTGGCTCACGCCTGTAATCCCAGGACTTTGGGAGGCTGAGGTGGGAGGATCACTTGAGCCCAGGATTTCAGACCAGTGTGGGCAACATGACGAAACCCCAAAAGACAGAGAGAGAAGAGAAAGGGAGAAGAGAAGCAGAGACAGACAGTGGGGATTATGAATAAAGAACAGCTGCCATGTGAGGTGGCAGGGCGGGGTAGGGCAGCCTGCAGTCCCAGCTATTTAGGAGGCTGAGGTGAAAGAATCATTTGAGCCCAGGAGGCTGAGGCTGCAGTGAGCTGAGATCTCGCCACTGCACTCCAGCCTGGGTGACAGAGCCAGACCCTGTCTCAAAGAAAAAAAAATCCTCACTTCTAAGACCCCATCAGAATAGTCTTCACTCTCCATATTTCTACTAACTTTCTGTTCACAACCATTTAAGTGTGAGGAGAACTGGGCTTTTCCGCAGCACCCTCTTCCGAGGACCTGCCAGAATCACCCTTAGTGGTGATTCTCTGTGGTCATGAGAATCTAGGCTGCTTCTAGCATGCACCTTCCAAATCCTCCAGCCTCTACATTACCCAGTTCCAAAGCTGCTTCCACAGTTGTAGGTATTTGTTATAGCAACAGCCTCACTGCTGGATGTGCCCTTCTGCTGCCTCCCACTTGAGGACACAGCGTTCACCTCCTCTGAAGGTCACAGCCAAGGGCACCAGCTATGAAGCAGACTGGGGCCCTCACCAGACACGAACCTACCAGTGCCTCGATCTTGGACTTCCCAGCCTCCACGACTATGAGAAATCAGTGTTGTCCTGTATACATCCCCCAGTCTCAGGGATTGCATTACAGCAGCGCAAACAGCCAGCAACAATGACATAGGTGCCCTTCTCAGCCAGTATGCAGGAGAGCTGGAGAAAAGCCAGCTGTGGACCTGCAGCTAAAGGAGCCAGAAAAAACGGCAAAGGGAAGAAAGAGGAGGAATCCGGGGCAGGCAGGAGACGCCACGGGTGATGCAGGCCCCAGGCAGGAACCTCTGGGTGTGGAGGTTCTAATCCTGGCACCCTCGGGCCCCGAGCACCCCAGGGTCCTGGTCCAGCACATCCACCGTGGGGGTGAGCTTGAGTGTGGGACTCCTTTCAGGAAGCACAAGGGACACCGCAGAAATCTGCTCTTTACGCTCCAACCTTCTCTCATGCTGGAGACAGCAAGGCCATTTATGGAGAGATTCGCAAACCAGTCCTAGCATGCCCCCATCCCTTCAGGACAGGACGTCCCCATGTGTCAGAGTTGCTGGAGCAGTTCAGACAGCTCTTTGACACAGAAGAGGGATGGAGTGCCACAGCGCCCTGCAGGCACAGGGAGGTCATGAGCTTCACGTCACCTAGGTTGGGCCACAGTGCCAGGCTGTTTGGCCAAACGCCAGTCTGAATGTTGCTGTGAAGGTCATTTAATCAAAGTCATTTTAGATCAGTAGGCTTTGAGTGAAACAGATGTCCCTCTGACAATGTGGGTGGGCCTCATCCAGTCAGAGGAAGGCAGGTGGGCCTCACCCAATCAGGTGAAGGTCTTAAAAGGAAAAGACTGAGTTCCCACAAGAAGGAAGGAATTCTCCCTTCAGGCTGTAGACTGCAACAGCAGTTCCTGTGGGAATGACCAGCCTCCTGCCTGCCCTGTGAGTTTTGGAGTTGCCAACCTCTACAATAGCACGGGATAATCCTTTGAAATAAATCTCTCTATGTCTCTGCTCTCTCTCTCTTTTTACATATACATGCATGTGGATATAGATGAGTGTGTACAGAGATAGAAATATCTAGCTATAGAGATAGATATCTGTCTGTGTCTATATAGGTACATACAGATAGATAGATATAATAAATATTTATATTCATATTAATATTATTTAATATTTAATGCATAATTCATAATCTTTTTATTTATATTATTCATATTTCCTATACTTAGCATATATTATTATATACTATATGTATTATTTTGTATATTTTTATTAATGTATGTGTATATGTTACTCATATTAATTTATATATTAATTTTTTTTTGAGATGGAGTCTCGCTCTGTCACTCAGGCTAGAGTGCAGTGGTGCAATCTTGGCTCACTGCAACCTCCACTCCCAGGTTCAAGCGATTCTCCTGCCTCAGCCTCCTGAGAAGCTGGGATTACAGGCATGTGCCAGTGCACCCGGCTAATTTTTGTGTTTTTAGTACAGACAGGGTTTCACCATGTTGGCCAGGCTGGTCTTGAACTCCTGACCTCAAGTGATCCACCAGCCTTGGCCTCCCAGACTGCTGGGATTACAGACTTGAGCCACTGCCTCCGACCTTCAATTTATATATTAATATTAACAAGATCTTAAAGATGATTCTGTGGGTGTACATAACATGGTAAATACAGGTGTGTGCTTGTGAGTGAGAGCACGCAAGACGTGCCCTCGGCCTGGTCTTCCCTCCAGCAGCCTTGGCTGTGGCTGGAAGGAGCCACTCCAGGATCCAGGGAAGCCCTTGTTTGGCCACTGCCTGCACCCCTCACCATATGCACCTTTTACTGAGTGCCGTGGAGCACCTGCCACCTGGAGCCACACAGACAAATCAGGAGCCGGCGCTGGCTCGGTGATCTGTGATTAGCTTTGTGGCTCAGATGCTCTTCCTGAACGATGGGCTCTCTGCTCACAAAATGAGAAAGACGTCTTTCTCGTGGCGCCATTCCTCCCGATTCCGTGTCACCTCGGAGGCCCTAAATCATCCCTGCTTCCTTTGCTCTTCGAATGAGCAGACAGCAGGACGCACACGCATCCCTGAACCTGGGCGCTTTATGCTGAGAGCGCCACACAGGTTATTTTTCCTCTTTATGTCATCTCCTACGGTCCTGCTGATAATTTAAAATTTAAAATTGTACTTATCAATAATAAGATATATCCCTGTCCCAGGCCCTCCCCTGCCTCTCTGGATGGATAATTCTTCAGTTACCACGGGAACCCTGAACGTGGAAGAAGACCTTGGACCCAGATCCTGCTCCACACCATCACTCACCCCGCGGTGAGCAGCAGAAGGGCCTTTGAGAGGGTCGCCTCTTCTGTCGCTGTTCCGGTGGGGGAGGGGCGCAGACCCCTTTCCTGGGGACAGGAGGCCGTGGGCATCAGCAGCAGGCAGGAGGGACCACCTCTTTCTCCCCGCCATGCAAACAGCCACACTCGCCACTGCCCAGGTCCTCCTCCGGCTGCCACTGTAAACTGAGGCAGCTGCTGCTTCCCCCCAAACTGTCCCCCAGCCAGGGCTCGGCCCGCAGTGGGACCCTGCGGGCCATCTGACCGCGCTCAGCTTCTCATCCGCCCGAGATGCCAGGCTCCGGAGGCACCATCCCTCACGGGGACTCCGCGGTCTTGGAAAGGCCGCTGTCCTGCTTCGGGAAGGCCGGGTGGCTGCGCCCTCTGGCCGGTGAGAAGCTCAGTGCGGGCCGGGCCGCCTCCCCGCCTTCAGGAGCATTTGCCATTCCTGCATTACCTAGGACTGCAAAGGTCAAACTATGTCTGTTTGAAAGGTAGCCAAAATCTCAAGCTAAAAGATGATCATTCAGGATGCTTTTACATTCAAACATCTTAAGTGACGCTCTAGTCTCCCACTGAAATCCGTCCAGGTCTGCGGAGAGGCCCTGCAGACAGCCTAGAGCAGTGACACCCTCCAGGCCGCGTCTCCATGCGGGAGTCCGTAGCCACCTTTACCAAACACGGAAGACCTCCAGCGGCTGCTGCTGCTTTGTGTGTGTGCAACACCGGGACCCTTTGCTATTTTCCTTCGTGCTTTCCTTTCTTTTCTTTTCTTTTCTTTTCTTTTCTTTTCTTTTCTTTCTTTTCTTTTCTTTTCTTTTTTTTTTTTTTTTTTTTTTTTTTTTTGAGACGGAGTCTTGCTCTGTCGCCCAGGCTGGTGTGCAGTGGGGCCATCTCGGCTCACTGCAAGCTCCGCCTCCTGGGTTCACGCGATTCTCCTGCCTCAGCCTCCAGAGTAGCTGGGATTGCAGGCGCCCGCCACCACGCCCACCTAATTTTTTTGTATTTTTAGTAGAGACGGGGTTTCGCCGTGGTCTCAATCTCCTGACCTCGTGATCCGCCCGCCTCGGCCTCCCAAAGTGCTGGGATGACAGGCGTGAGCCACCGCGCCCGGCCGTGCCTTCCTTTCTTGTTTAGCCACTAACATGTATTACTTTCATAATTCAAAAAATTGTAAGTGCAAGAATTCCAAGTTACTGTGTGTCCAAGGCATGAAGCAAACCCAAAAGCTGCAACCTCTTTCCCTGCCGCAAAACCTCATTGCTGTAGTCCCCCTGAATAAAGTCTGTCTCACTGCCTAAAAAGAAAGAAAGAAAGAAAGAAAAACAAGATGGGGCAAAGTACAGAATCTGTGTTATTTCCATTTACAAAGCATCATTGTCCCAAGAGAAAACATTATTAAACTAGACTATTTTCACCATAGAGGCAGTAAAACTTGCTTTTAGGTATGAGAAATAGTTCTCATTAGGAGTGAGAGTTGGTAAAAGATAATCAGAAATGGCTCTATGTTACGCCCTCCTGGCAAGAAACAGCACCTTCTACCACAGCTGTCAATCTTCTTGTGCCAAGAGGGCTCCCATCCGTGCCAGGTCTCAGCACACAGGTCTGCTCTGCGTCCTAGAAAATGCAAAGAACCGGCTGGGTGCAGTGGGTCACACCTGTAATCCCAGCACTTTGGGAGGCCGAGGCAGGCGGATCATGAGGTCAGGAGACTGAGACCATCCTGGCCAACATGGTGAAACCCTGTCTCTACTAAAAATACAAAAATTATTCACGTGTGGTGGCGCTCGCCTGTAATCCCAGCTACTCAGGAGGCTGAGGCAGGAGAATCGCTTGAACCCGGGAGGCGGAGGTTGCAGTGAGCCGAGATCACACCGCTGCACTCCAGCCTGGGCCACAGAGCGAGACTCCGTCTCAAAAAAAAAAGAAAAGAAAAGAAAAAAGAAAATGCAAAGAACTTTCCACAACCCACAGGTGGGCCCCTCTCTGGAAAGGTGGTCGCATTGGAAAGCGGTGCTGTGGAGAGGCTGGTTCTCAGGATGAGCTAGATTGTAAATATTTCTGCTTAAAACAAATACCTCTAAGATACAAAGTTTAAATATAATGTCATCTAAAGTTCCAAAAGTCACTTTAGTGAAAAGTGTTTTGGTCTTTACATCTTAGTGCAAACGGTGCTGAAATGCATCCTCTGGTGACATCTCTCAGCCTCCTTCCGCAGCCAGGCAGCTCAGAGGCCAAGGTGGGCTGACTGAAGGATTTCCAGAAGGAGAAGGAGTGTTGAGAACAGCTCATCTTGAAATCCATCGCCCACCTTTTAGAAAGTGATAAGAAATTAGGATCTTTCTTTTTTTTTTTTTTTTTTGAGACCAAGTCTCACTCTTGTCTCCCAGCCTGGAGTGCAGTGGTGTGATCTTGGCTCACTGCAACCTCCACCTTCCAGGTTCAAGGGATTCTCCTGCCTCAGCCTCCCGAGTAGCTGGGATTACGGGTGCCTGCCACCATGCCCAGCTAATTTTTGTATTTTTATTAGAGATGGGGTTTCACCATGTTGGTGCTGGTCTGAAACTCCTGACCTCAGGTGATCTGCCTGCCTCGGCCTCCCAAAGTGCTGGGATTACAGGCGTGAGCCACCTCACCTGAGAAACTATGATCTTTTGTAGGGAGGAGATGTTACCATTGACACACTCACCGAATGTTCATTATACTCACAGGCGCACACAGTATTTCAGGCTGCTATCATTTGTCAATCCTGAAGTATTGCTTCAAAATCAATGAACAATCTTGGTGATGACGGGCAAGCATCTACTGTCCAACTCTATGGCTTGACTAACTGACCACTTTCCTCAATATCAAGGGACTCAGGTTTCGATATTTTAATACAAGCTGTAAGAGTTTAGAAAATGTCATTAGACCCCAGCATCAATAATGGGTCCAGGAAACACAGCTCACCAGTGAAAAGCAGGCCAGTGGCCCCTGTTCTCTTGTCAAATTTAGAATAACGGGTTTGGACCAGGTGCCCGCACTGACGATGCAGACCTCGGCTGGTTATGGAAGCCCACGGTCAGGGGAGCTCTTTCCAGAGGAGTCAGCAGTGCTGAACTGCCTGAGACAGGAACCGCAGGCCCTTGGCACCCTCAGACACTGGGGACTGAGAGGGGCTCAGAGGGTGATGCCCTGGGCGACTGGCGGGTGGGGACTGCCCCTCCTGAAGGGACCAAGGTTCCACATGTTCCCCCTAAAAGAGGAAGTCCCAGGAGCACAGGTGTTGAGGCTCCTGTGGATTAAAAGCCCCACCGTGTTACACGGGCAGGTGGCTCCTGTTTTCTGGACGGCTGGGCACAGTGGACTTGACCACCGGAAACCCCCAGGCAGGAGGAAGCCCAGCAGTCCTCAGGCCCTAGGCCAGGGTGGGTGGTGGAGGTAACAGAGAGCCCGGGGACTGCTCCGTGGGCGTTCCTGCCTGCAGCCTTCCCTACTGGCCCACCACCCCCTGTCCTGCTGTGTCACTCAGGAAAGGGGTGAGCGACGGGCCAAGGGGAGGAAGCCTCCAGCAGAAGCCGGAGGTGTTGGTGGAGCCCACTCTGCATGGCCGTGCCCAGAGACCCCAGCCCCTCTGCTGCTCTGCAGAAGCGCTGGCCAGAGAGATGGAGCAGGGAGGGGTATCATTTTCTCTACACCACAGCCTCCTAGTGGATTCCCCGTGGCAGCCAGGGGTGTCCCCTCCCAGGCACTGAAGCTGGCGCATGTGGGGAGACACAGGTGTCCAGGTGTCCTATGGGGGTCCCTGGAGCACCTGCCTCATTCCGCCCGGGTCCACCCCACACTCTGCTATCCCTGAGGGTCACTCACATCATGGTGAATGGGTCCCAGAGCCTCGGTTTCAGGGTGGGTGCCTTAAAACCTTGGCACCCTGGACCTCACCACCCTGTCGCCGAGCTGGGCCGGGCTCCGTCATGTCTCACTCCTACCCCCACACCCCTCTGGACAATGCTCATGCAACAAAGCAGCGCCCCGGGGTTCCCTGTGACTCTGGGGAAGGGGAGAGTCCTACACCTTTTGCACCTGTAGGGACCAGCCCTAGAGGGTCTGTGGGTTTTTCTCCCCATGTGTGGAGACGAGAGATCATAGAAATAAAGACACAAGACAAAGAGATAAAAGAAAAGACAGCTGAGCCCGGGGGACCACTACCACCAAGACGCAGGGACAGGTAGTGGCCCCAAATGCCAGGCTGTGCTGTTATTTATTGGATACAAGACAAGCGGGCAGGGTAAGGAGTGTGAGCCGTCTGCAATGATAGGTAAGGTCACGTGGGTCACGCATCCGCTGGACAGGCGGCCCTTCCCTGCCTGGCAGCCGAGGCGGAGAGAGAGGAGACAGCTTACGCCATTATTTCTGCATATCAGAGACTTTTAGTACTTTCACTGATTTGCTACTGCTATCTAGAAGGCAGAGCCAGGTGTACAGGATGGAACCTGAAGGAGGACTAGGAGCGTGACCGCTGAAGCACAGCATCACAGGGAGACGGTTAGGCCTCCGGATAACTGCGGGCGAGCCTGACTCATGTCAGGCCCTCCACAAGAGGTGGAGGAGCAGAGTCTTCTCCAAACTCCCCCGGGGCAAGGGAGACTCCCTTTCCCGGTCTGCTAAGTAACGGGTGCCTTTTCTAGGCACTGAAGTTACCGCCAGACCACAGTCCGCTAGGTAACAGGCGTCTTCCCAGGCGCTGGCGTTACCTCTAGACCAAAGAGCCCTCGGGTGGCCCTGTCTGGGCATAACAGAAGGCTCGCACTCTTGTCTTCTGGTCACCCCTCACTATGTCCCCTCAGCTCCTATCTCTGTATGGCCTGGTTTTTCCTAGGTTATGATTATACAGTGAGGATTATTATAATATTGGAATAAAGAGTAATTGCTACAAACTAATGATTAATAATGTTCGTATATAATCATATCTATGATCTATATCTAGTATAACTATTCTTATTGTATATATTTTCTTCATTACACTGGAAGAGCTCGTGCCCTCGGTCTCTTGCCTCGGCACCTGGGCGGCTTGCCGCCCACATGCACCCCACCCCGTCTTGCCAGAGACTGCAGCCTCTGGGGTGAACCTCCCACCTGGGTATCAGGCCCCTGCTGGTGACAATGTGAAGGTGGTTGGGGGTGCCGGGAGACAGGAGCTGAATTGTGGGTGAGGATCCCCCCCAACTGGGAGAGCTCGCAGCCCTGGCAGTTCCCTGATCCTCAGGAGTCCCCTCTGCTTGTCGGGCATCTCGGGGGTTCTTTCTGCTGCTGTTTCCCCAACCTGGTGGTGGAAGGCCTGGCACAGCGGCTCCAGGTCACATGGGCAGGAAAACAGGACAGAGGAGCAGCCACCAGTGCAGCTGTGCCTGCGGCCGGACACACTGACCACCCCAATGTCCAGCGCTGGGGCGGGTCTCTCTGTGCTGTGGGTGGGAGCGTCGAAACGCGGAAGGGGCTCCTCTCCTGGGTGCCAGGTCGGGGCTGCCCCGCAGCGCCCGCCAGACCTCCCTCTCTGAACCTGTGGGCACTGGGGGTCCTCAGCCACTGAAGGGAGAGCCAGGAGTCCTGTCACTTCCCCCGTGCCCATCCCCAGCACTTTTGGAGGGACCTGGAGAAGGAGGGGAGGGGCCCGGCCACAGGGCAGTGGTGCAGCCCCTGGAGTCTCAGCGGTTGCCCTGCCTGCAGCAAGGGTGCTGGGGCTACTGGTGCCTCCCCAGCCTGTCCTGGACTCCGGTGATGTGCTGCCCCAGAAACACACGTGGAGGACCCCAGGAGGAGCCCCATCTTGCAGCCCATGGTAAATGGGGCAGATGGGGTCACGGCGCTGCCGACCCCCAGCTCGGGGGTCCAGGGTGCTGCCTCAGCTCCCCTGGGAGGGAGGGAAGGAGGGAACAGGTCCGTCCCGGCGGTCCCCACCCTCCTGAGAGCGAGTTGCTGCCGGTTCATGCCCAGGGTCAGGGTCGGGGTCAGGGTGGACGTGGGCACAGCCGCAGTGGCAGATTCTGCCTCTCTGAAACCTGGGCCCAGGGGTGCGAGACACCCCTCAACCCCCTACCCCCCACCGTGCCTCTGAGCTGCTGGATATGAGCCTATTGCTTCGTGTCGGGGAAGAAGCAGGAGAGAATTATCTGATCCATGAGGAACAACCAGGGAAGAGCCAGGACAGACCCCGGGCCTCCTGCCAGTGCCCTAAGGAAGACCCCTCCCCAGCTGCGGAGCGGAGGCCAGGTCCTCGGTCCCGGTGGGGAGCGAGAGGCAGCAGTGGGTAAACGCCAGTGGAGGGGGCGGGCCAGGGGGCCCAGGCTGGAGAGAACTTTGAAGGCAGCTTTCCAGAGCCCCAAAACCTCCATCAGGTAAGGGTGGTCTGGGGTGGAGGTGGTCTGGGGTGGAGGTGGTCTGGGGTGGGATGGGCTGGGGTGGAGGTGGTTTGGTTGGAGGTGGTCTGGGGTGGAGGTGGTTTGGGGTGGGGTGGTCTGGGGTGGAGTGGTCTTGGGTGGGATGGGCTGGGGTGGAGGTGGTTTGGTTGGAGGTGGTCTGGGGTGGGATGGTCTGAGGTTGGAGGTGGTCTGGTGTTGGAGATGGTATGGGGTGGGGTGGTCTCGGGTGGAGGTGGTTTGGGGTGGAGTGGTCTGGGGTGGGATGGGCTGGGGTGGAGGTGGTTTGGTTGGAGGTGGTCTGGTGTTGGAGATGGTATGGGGTGGAGGTGGTCTCGGGTGGAGGTGGTCTGGGGTGGAGATGGTCTGGGGTGGAGTGGTCTGGGGTGGAAGTGGTCTGGGGTGGGATGGTCTGAGGGTGGGGGTGGTCTGGGGATGGGTGATCTAGGGGTGGAGGACATCTGCGGTGGAGGTGGCCTGAGGTGGGGTGGTCTCGGGTGCAAGTGGTCTGGGGTGCGGTGGCCTGGGGGTGAGGTTGTCTGGGGTGAAGGTAGTCTGGGGTGGAGGTGGTCTGGGGTAGGGTGGTCTGGGGTGGAGGTGGTCTGGGGTGGAGGTGGTCTGGGGTGTGATGGTCTGAGGTTGGAGGTGGTCTCAAGTGGAGGTGGTCTGGTGTTGGAGGTGGTATGGGGTGGGGTGGTCTCGGGTGGAGGTGGTCTGGGAGTGGAGGTGGTCTGGGCTGGAAGTGGTTTGTTTGCCTGCATTCCAGCTGAAAACAAGTTCAGACAACTTCAAGGCTGGGATGAGATGAGACAGAACGAGGCCCTTTCATAATTTCATCTAAACACGGACAAATCAAGATCCCGGTGCCAGCCATGAAATGCCAAACCTCCCCTTCTCTCTGCTAACAGGAGCTGGGCCTTGCCTGGGGTCAGACTTTTGCCAGCTGGTCATGCGGGCTCCAGCTTTCTGACAGCCTCCAACCCGGGGTGACCCCCAACCACCCAGCCACAGCCCAGTCCTACAGAGGGTCTTCCTGACGCTCCTCCTGCGACCCCGCGGTGCCCGTGGTGTGTGTGGCCACGTGGTGAGTCGTAGCCCAACCTTTCAACCACAGGCAGCTCCTGGGGCTCTGGCTGGACAGAGACGCCAGGGTCAAGAGGCAGGTGAAGGCTGAGGGTGCTCGGGAGTGGCCAGGGACGGTTCTGAGCATGGCAGTTCTTCCCCACTTCCCCAGGTACCGGCAGGAGTTACTACAGCCACTTTCCACGTGTCTGGGACTCCCCCACGCGTGACCAACTCCCCAGGAAAATGAGATGGCTACAGGCCTCAATCAATCCATTAAAGAAAAGTTTCAGGAAATAGAAACATTATTAACCACAAGCAGAGGGCTGAGGAACTAAGAAATAGCTCTGGATAAGAAGACACGCAGGGCCCAAGCTGCAGGTCCAGCGAGAGGGACGACAGTGGGCGAAGTTCCGAGAAGCCCCTTCCCTGAGGCTCCCACTCCTGTGGGAAGATGGAAGTGGCCCGGGCCGGTGGGGGAGCCCGGCGGGATGCCAGGGCTGCACTGGGCACTGCAGGGGAGCTAGGGCCGGGGGGGGCTCCATGCGAGATGAAAGCTGCCCACCGCTGGCACAGGACTAAGGGCTGTGCACAGCACGGGAAGACCCTCCCTTTAAGAGTTTCTCCCGATGCCCTCTTCCCCCTGCAGCCCTCCTCTGCTCCCCGAGTTCCAAACACACCAGGACGGAGCCTGTTTGAGCCTGGAGCCCTCTGCATTGCTCTGCTGCAGGCTATAAAGCAAAATGCAAAACGCAACGTGCATCCCGTCCAGTTCACGTATTTCTACCATGTTTGGGTGTTTTTAAGGGTCCCGCTTCATTTTTATCCTAAAGCCAGTGGCAGCCACTCAATCTTTGGAGACTGGGGCTGTCGCCTGCATCCGCGGTTGGAGTTTGCCAGACACCTGGCGCCTTGGGCCACCTCTGGGCTCCAGAACCTGCAACCCTGGGCACACGGCTCTCCCGCCGTCTTGCCACAGTGCCCCCTGGCGGCCCTGCTGAGTCAAGCCGGCTTCCTGTCTTCCCAGACTGGGCTCTTCCCTGAAACCCGGGAGGGAAAGGTGAGACTTTCAGCCCCTCTGCCCAGAGCTGCTCAGGATGGCTTGGAGCCCTGCACGTATTTGGCAAATATTTACTGTGTGTGCACTATGTGCCTGGCACTGTCATTGAACCAGAGGGTAGAACAATGACCAAAACCAGGTACACCTGTTCTCAGGGCTCCAACCTTCTGGGGAGGGATGGACACAGCAAAGGGGTGTCTGTGAGGTGACACAGTGAAGGGGCGTCTGTGAGGTGACACGTCGAAGGAACGCAAGCAAGGAGACGGAAAGAGGGAGCTGCTAGTTTACACGGGCGCTGGCGAACATAAACGTTTGTGTTTAAGTACAAAGAAAATGGTTGCAGCTGTGCAGGCCTCGGGGGTTCACACTGGGACGATGACCACGGCTGCAGCCTGGTGCCCCCCAGCTTGGGGAAAAGAAGGAAATGAAGAGCAGGGTGCAAGCTCAGATCGAGACGGCCCAAACCCAAGAAGCCAAAAGTGTATTGGGGTGCAAGCTATGCTTTACGCTCTTATGCATTCTTCTTCCATTTGTAAAAAAGTTTGGACATGCAGAGAATCTGCGTTTGGTGCCTTTCAAATCGAGGGAATAAAAGGTCCCGCCTCCACGGGCTGGGAGAGCCTCACACACAACACACAAGGTGATGACTGATTTCTCCTTTTCTGCAAGGAATTTCCTCACTTTCTCTTCCCAGCTCAGGAATGAGCCTTAGGAAGAGGCAGAGGTCGAACCATTTGGTTCAAGCAAGGCCCGGGGTCCGAGAGGGAGGCCTAGCTGGAGGAGATTGGGCGTTGGGAGGGGTGGGGGAGACACCGCAGGTGACCGGAGCCCCCTCCTCAGCACAGCCCCTAGCTCAGGCCCCTGAAGCTCTCTGGGTGGAGGCTGCAATCGTTACTATAAAACCATTGTCTTAGAGAGCAGGCGCCTTCCGCCCCTGGCATGGTGCCGAATAGAGATGTGATTTCGCTTTAGATATGAACGTGCACATTTGCAGGAAAACCTAATTATGGGCGTGCCTGTGTTTATACTGTATGAAGGGCTTCTCCATCTGTCGCCGTTCTATTGTTACTGTATCAGGCATTGATGGTTTATTAATACCTTTTCCGCAACATGGAGAAAACAGATGATGTTTTCCCCCGTGTCTGTCATTACTACGGTGAGTGTTTTATTGTTGGTTTGGTTTTTTGTTGTTGTTTTTCTTGAGACGCCCAAGCTAGAGTGCTATGGCGTGATCTGGGCTCACTGCAACCTCTGCCTCCTGGGTTCAAGCAGTTCTCCTGCCTCAGCCTGCCGAATAGCTGGGATTACAAGCACCTGCCACCACGCCTGGCTAATTTTTGTATTTTTAGTAGAGACAGGGTTTTGCAATGTTGGCCAGGCTTGTCTTGAACTCTTGACTTCAGGTGATCCACCTGCCTCAGCCTCCCAAAGTGCTGGGATTACAAGCATGAGCCACCACATGCAGCCTCATTTATGTCTGGTATTATTTACAATATCAGGCACATTTGCTTTCTTGATGTCAACCCTTCGTTGCCACGATGCATCATTGTGCAAATCTGATGCTGGGTCTGATTTGCCAATCTCTTGTTTATTTGTCAGCAGCCTGTGGTGGAGCCCAGCCCAGGGTCGGGGGCGAGAGTGTGGCAGGGTCAGGTGAGGACCCGGGAGGGGTCCGAGGAGCTGGGCCCTGGAGAGGGAGAGAGATAGGCCAGACACAGAAATGGTGGGACTCCTGGTTCAAAAGGTAGCAAAAGGCTGGGTGTGGTGGCTCACACCTGTAACCCCAGCACTTTAGGAGGCTGAGGTGGGCAGATCACGAGGTCAGGAGTTCGAGACCAGCCTAGCCAAAATGGTGAAACCCTGTCTCTACCAAAAATACAAAAATTAATCAGGGGTGGTGGCGTGTGCCTGTAATCCCAGCTATTCCGGACACTGAGGCAGGAGAATTGCTTGAACCTAGGAGGTGGAAGTTGCCGTGAGCCAAGATTGTGCCAGTGCACTCCAGCCTGGGGGAAATAGCAAGACTCTGTCTTGGGACAAAAAAAAAGCAGCAAAAAACCACAGTGAAAGCTTTCCCCTTTAGGAATGATTTTATCACTTACACAATAAATAGGGGTGATAGTGGTGCCAAGTAACAACACCAATTTACAAACTACAAAACAATAATTTTTGGATTCAGAATTTTATATAATAAATAATATTTTATTAATAGGATGTTTATGATTTTTCCAATTTTTTCTGCAAATTCATTTATTAGATCATCAAAATGGATACTTCAGAAATTTCATTTTCGGTTTTGACATAACTGAAAGTTATTTCAGTCTTTTTTGGCAAATGCAAGATCTCAAATAATTTTTGATGACCTTTGAGAAGAATCTTTGTGCTGATACAGCTGTTATTGGAGCAGTAAAGGTATCTTACAGGCTGTGACAACATTAGGATTAGTTTCTGATAAATTGTTTTAAATGATAAATGTCAGCGCATGTAGACCTGGTGATTCTTGTGGAGAAATTTTTTTTAAAAAAATTAATTCTTCAAAGAAATCAGTTTCATGGGAGTCTAAATTATTTTTTAATAAGCTTTATTTTTGGAATTGTTTTAGATTTACAGAAAAATTGCAAAGCAAGTTTCCATACACCTTACACCCAGCTTCCCCCATTATTAGTATCTTACTTCAGTATGGTATGTTTCTTACAATTAGAGAACCAATATTGGGCCAGGCGTGGTAGCTCACACCTGTAATCCCAGCACTTTGGGAGCCTGAGGCGGAAGGATCACTTGAGGTCAGGAGTTGGAGACCAGCCTGGCCAACATGGTGAAACCCTGTCTCTACTAAAATACAAAAATTAGCTGGACGTCGTGGCTGGCGCCTGTAATCCCAGCTACTCAGGAGGCTAAGGCAGGAGAATCGCTTGAACCCAAGAGGTGGAGGTTGCAGTGAACTGAGATCATACCACTGCACTCCTGCCTGGGCCACAGAACAAGACTCTGTCTGAAGAAAAAACTAAACTAAACTAAACTAAAAACTAAATAATGACCAAGTACGGTGGCTCACGCCTGTTATCCCAGCACTTTGGG
The DNA here is from genome assembly GCF_000001405.40 of Homo sapiens. NCBI lineage: Eukaryota > Metazoa > Chordata > Mammalia > Primates > Hominidae > Homo > Homo sapiens. Next base: position 1,637,135 of record NC_000011.10, on the reverse strand, counting down.
AGGCTGAAGCAGGCGGATCACTTGAGGTCAAGAGTTCGAGACCAGCCTGGCCAACATGGCAAAACCCCGTCTCTACTAAAAATACAAAAATTAGCCAGGCGTGGTGGTGGACCCCTGTAATCCCAACTATGCAGCAGGCTGAAGGAGGAGAACTGCTTGAACCTGAGAGACAGATGTTGCAGTGAGCCGAGATCACGCCACTGTACTCTAGCCTGGGTGACAGAGCGAGACTCCATCTCAAAAAAAAAATTAAAATAAAATAAAATAGAGAACCAATATTGATACATTATTATTAACTAAAGTCCACACTTTGTTCTTCTCTCATTAGCATTTACGTGCTGGTCCGTTTCTGTCCCAGGGCCCCACCCAGGGTCCCACGTGACATTCCCTTGTCCGTCTCCCTGGGCTCCTCTGGGCGGTGACCGTTTCCCAGGCTCTCCTTGTTGGTGGTGACCTGGAGGGTTCAGAGGACTGCTCAGGTGTTTGTAGGGTGTCCCTTATTAGGATCTGTCTGGTGTTTTCACGATTAGACGGGGCTGTGGATGTGGGAAGGAAGAGCACAGAGGGAGATGCCCTTCTCGTCACCCCATGCTGAGGGCCTGTCCTGTTGGCATGGCTCGTCGTGCCTCGCGGGCTATGCTGCCCCCGTCTCCTGGCTGTGTTTGTGTCTTTCAGGATTCCCCACGGAAAGATGCTCCTGAATTCCCCTGTCCCGTGCTGCATTCTCAGAAGGAGGTCCCAGTGCTGCCTGCACTTAAGGGGTGAGGGCTACACAGAATTAGTGGGAACTCTTCTGCATGGGGGACTTGCCTATCCACTCCCATTTATTTATTTACTTTTATTTATTTACTTCTTTTGGAGACGGAGTCTCGCTCTATTGCCCAGGCTAGAGTGCAGTGGTGCGATCTCGGCTCACTGTAACCTCTGCCTCCCGAGTTCAAGTGATCCTCCTTTATTTATTTACTAAATCACTTATTTCTATCAGTCATGTTCATGGATATCTATTTTACAGTTCGGGTTAGAGTCAATGCTACTCTCTCTATTTATTGTGTTGATCGAATTGTTCTATTTGTAACCCCCAGGAGCGCTTTCTTTTGGCTCACGTGTCCCTACAACGTGCTTCTGATACTTTCCATCACTGCATGTATCGGGGCTTTGCTTTGTTTTCTTTTAGATTTTTTTTTTCTGGAGCTACAAGATGCTCCAGACTCACCTTTATCTTTTTTGCCTCAGTCCTAGAAGTTGCCATGTCTCCAAGGGTCCCTGGTCCTTGGGTTGGAGCCTGGTATTCAACCTCCTGCTGCTGTGGGGTGCCATAGGTTTGGGGCCCTCTTGAGGCAGGAGAGGTTGTCAAGGAAGTGGCCATCTCCTCGCAGCAACCGTAGTGACCACTGGGCCAAGGCAACAAGCCTCCCCATTCATGTTGTCATTGAGCTCATTCGAACAAAGCTATCTCAGGAGGGAATTTCCCCCGTAGAGAGCATGCACATTTTGATTTTACCTGTCCTCACTCTGACCCTTTGCTCCTTATAATAGTATAAAGCACATCCCTGGGTGGAGATTTAAGATGCTAATGAGACATGAATGGTATGAACAAGCGTGTACAGCTACTGCACACATGCACCCAGAGGACCACCCAGAACATGCTTCCTAGCAACACCTCTTCCCAGCTCCTTAGGAATAATCATGGAAGAGTCCCATAAAGGGAGCCTCCCTCAGGCCGGTCTCTGCTTCTCATCCTTGTGAGCAGCCCGCCCTGCACCCTGTCTCGCCCAGGGCATCCTGTCTGTTCTGCACCTCACTTCCACAACATTCTTTCTCCTTTGCAATGAATTCCTCTGTGCTGCATCTCCTGTGTGTCTTGTTTAAATTATTTTAAACTAAGAAGACAAGAACCGAGGTCTCACAACAGCTGTCAACACTCTCCACTGACAGAGCAACAGGACATACGTGTGCATCCTAACCACGTCTGCACACATCTGCAGGTGTTTGTGTGTGACCATCTGTGTCTGTACGAAGCTGAGCGTGAGTTCCTAATGAGATCTCCACCTCTAATCCATCACCGTGGGCATCATTGCAACCTCACCCTCCCTGATTCAAGCAATTCTCCTGCCTCAGCCTCCTGAGTAGCTAGGACTACAGGCGTGCGCCACCACACTCAGCTAATTTTTGTATTTTTAGTAGAGATGGGGTTTCGCCATGTTAGCCAGGCTGGTCTCAAACTCCTGACCTCAGATGATCCGCTTGCCTTGGCCTCCCAAAGTGCTGGGATTACAGGCATGAGCCACTGTGCCTGCCCTGTCTTACCCTTTAATCATCAGTTCACCTGAAGCTTTATTTGAAAATAGTATTCTTTTCCATCAACTACAATGTTCTTTACTTTTTGGTTTTTGAGGCAGGGTCTTACTTGGTTGCCCAGGCTAGAGTGCAGGGGTACAATCATGGCTCACTGCAGCCTCAGCTTCCTGGGCTCAAGCAATCTTCCCTCCTCAGCCTCCCAAGTAGCTGGGACTACAGGTGCACACCACCGGGCCCGGCTAATTTATTTTTATTTTTCATGGAGACCAGGTCTCACTATGTTGCCCAGGCTGGTCTCCAACTCCTGGGCTCAAGTGATCCTCCTGCCTCAGCCTCCCAAAGTGCTGGGGTTACAGGCAAGAGCCACTGTGCCCAGCCATTTCCTTTACATTTAATTTCTAAGTTTGTCTTGTGGATGTTTGCTTTGCAATGTTGCAGCCGTTTTCCAAATCTAAAGGTTCAAAAGTGTTTGAGGAATTCTAATAACCCCCTGGTTTGCTCTATGCTAACGTCCATATACACAGTTTCATTCTGTAACAATTTACTGTGTACCGCCTGAGCTTGGCAGCTCCTTTCCTAGCCCTGGACTGGGAAGCACATATTTAGCAGGTGCTGGGGAACCAAGCTCTGGGGACAGACAGACCAGCCAGCTGCCCACCCTGGGCTGCTGCTGACATGCGCAGGGTCTCTCCTCCCCGTGAGCCGCAGCTGCCATGACTGCCCTTCTACCGCTGCCAACTCCTTCCTGGGCCCCGGTTCCAGCCCAGCCTCCCCCTGGTGCCCTGGACTGCCCTCAGATACACACCACGCAGCCAGGTCTGTGCTGCCCACCGTGCCCAGGGCCCTGCATGCACACGCGTGCACACTGCCCCTGGTGCAACCCCTGTCGTGTGCACACTCCCCTGTCCCACCAGATTTGCCCCCAAAGCCCAAGCTGATAAACAAAGTTATTTAGAATTTCTCTTTTTTTTCTTTTTTTTTTTGGAGACGGAGTCTCACTCTGTCGCCCAGGCTGGCGCGCAGTGGCACCATCTCTGCTCACTGCAACCTCTGCCTCCCGGGTTCAAGCAATTCTCCTGCCTCAGCCTCCTGAGTAGCTGGGACCACAGGCGCCCGCCACCTCGCCCAGCTAATTTTTTTGTATTTTAGTAGAGATGGGGTTTCACCATGTTGCCCAGACTGGTTTCAGACTCCTGACCTCAGGCGATTCACCCACCTCGGCCTCCCAAAGTGCTGGGATTACAGGCATGAGCCACCACGCCCAGCAGAGAATTTCAAGACAGTGACAGCAAGGCATGAAGCCTTCTAAGTGTGGGAACTTGTGTGTTTGTGGGAGCTGCATGCCCATGCAGCAGGCTCTGGGACTGAGGCAGGAAAATACGGTCTGGAGGCAGGGAACATAAGGCGGATTCGCACTTCAGCTATGACAGGACATGTCCTCCCCATGGGCACACAGCGAACAAATGACTTTGTAACTTCATTCTCTTCATTTACATAGGGCGGACCTCCAGTACAGGGTATTTAAACTCACAAAAACTCTTTAACGGGGCCCTTATAATAGTATAAAGCACATCTCTGGGTGGAGATTTAAGATGCTAATGAGACATGAATGGTATGAACAAGCGTGTACAGCTACTGCACACATGCACCCAGAGGACCACCCAGAACATGCTTCCTAGCAACACCTCTTCCCAGCTCCTTAGGAATAATCATGGAAGAGTCCCATAAAGGGAGCCTCCCTCAGGCCGGTCTCTGCTTCTCATCCTTGTGAGCAGCCCGCCCTGCACCCTGTCTCGCCCAGGGCATCCTGTCTGTTCTGCACCTCACTTCCACAACATTCTTTCTCCTTTGCAATGAATTCCGCTCGGCTGCTCCCACACTGTGGAGTGCACTTTCCTTCTCAATAAATCCCAGCTTTTGCTCTCCTCGCTTTATTTGTGCGTTTTGTCCAATTCTTTGTTTGAGAAGCCAAGATCCTGGACACCCTCCCTGGGTACAGTAACAGGGCTACAGAAGCCTTAGTGGGGGGATAATTGAGGGGGGAAAAGGCAGGAAGTAGGCGAGCCCCACCCACAGAGTCTCCACCCCCTCCTCCGGTCCTGTCTACACTGCATGAGCTAGAAGATAAAAATGTCAATTCCAAGGCCAGGGTGAGAATGAGGTCCTGCCAATCGAATGCCTTTCCCCAGGTCTGGAAGGGAAGGCAGGCAGAGGCCCATGCCAGGGCTCAAGTGCTGCTGCGCATGAGGGCGAGCTGTGCACCTGTGGCTTCCGCTGCAGCTGGTCACCTGCTTCCCCAGAGAAAGGCTTGGGTAGACGCACACCCCAGTGCTGTCACCAGCCTGTGGACGCCCTGAGGTGGCTGTGGCAGAGGTGGCGGTGAGGTGGCTCCCTGTCCCTGGACCACATGGCAGGTGCACTGGAGCTCAGGGTTCCAGGACAGCTTGGAAACCTGAGGTCTCCAGGGGCCCCTGCTGTGGACAGCTGGAGTCCTTCCAGGAAGTCCAGGTCCCAGAGCTGCCATCGAGAACATAAGCTTCTGATTTCCACTCTAGATCCCCCCGACAGAAAATACCCTGAATGACTGCTTTTCCTGCTCTGACTGAGCCACCGCTTGTACTCGCTTCCTGGGGCAGCCCTAACAAAGGACCACAAATGACAGAAACATCCCTCTCCCAATCCTGGGGGCCAGAAGTCTGAGATGCAGGGGTGGGCAGGGCTGGTTCCTTCTGGGGCTGCAACAGAGCCTCTGTTCTGGTCTCTTCTAGCTTCTGGGTCTTGCTGGCAACCCTTGGTCCTCTGTGACTTATAGAAGCATCACCCCAACCTCTACCTTCATCTTCACGTAACGTCCTAATGTCCATCAATGACAGACTGGATAAAGAAAATGTGGTACTTATACACCATGGAATACTGTGCAGCCATCAAAAAGAATGAGATCATGTCCTTTGCAGGGACATGAATGGAGCTGGAGGTCAATATCCTTCACAAACTAATGCAGGAACAGAAAACCAAATATCGCGTGTTCCCACTTATGAGTCAGACCTGAGCACTGAGTACATAGGAACACAAGGGAACAACAGCACTGTGGTGCATTTGGCGGGGGTGGCGGGGGCAGGAGGAGGGTGAGGATCAAAAAGTCACCTATTGGGTACTATGCTCATTACCTGGTTGATGAAATAATCTATACACCAAACCCCCATGACATGCAATTCATCTATATGGCAAGCCTGCACATGCAGCCCTGAACCCAAAATAAAAGCTGAAAGAAAGCTTGTCTCCAGGCTAGGTTGCCTTAGAAGGCACTGGGCATTTGGGCTCCCCCAGCTCTGGAATTTTTTTTTGGAGGTGGGGATCTATTCAACTCCCGGCTGCCTTCGAGCTTGTGTCCCGCAGCTGGCGTTGTGTGCAGTCCTGCCTTCTCCTGTCTGGTTTTTCAAGGCCCTGTGAGATTGCAGATAAGCCCAAGCTCCTCCGCATCTCCACGTCTGGCTCCTGCATGCACTAGGGGCTTCTTAGGGCCTGATGTACCGCACAGCTCAGCATACAGACCCTTCCTCATCCTTCCGCTGAAGTGGCCTGGCCCTGAGCTTCCCTCCCTCCCACGGGACGGCAGTGCCTCCACGGCTGACACCACCGCCCTCACCACCTTTCCCTCTCCCCACCTCTCCCCACATACCAGACTGTGAGCTTGGATTTACTCTGCTCTGTCATCTCTGGAGCCCAACACAACAAGGGGCCCAGAGCAGAAAGCTATAGACGTTAGTTCTGTGCATGAAGACATGGACCATGACATGAAAGATGCTGAGGGGAGAGAAATGGGAACAGGCCCAGGGGTGGAGGCAAGAAGATGGTGCTTCTGGGAATGAGAGAGAGGTGGGAAGGAGAGAACCACAAGACAGTGAGCTTTGTGCTTAGAGACTTTGTTTATTTAGAGGGTCAGGATTCAGTCTTGATATACAGACAGCCAGAGAGATTGAGGGTCGATCACACTCCTGAAAGAAGGAGCAGCTGTCAGGGTCTAAGGGGTCTGATCTGCCTCTGGGGCCTCAGTGGGCCGCTTTGGATCTTAAATGAGTGAGGAGCAGGGAGAGGAAGTTCAGGAGAAGTAGTAGGCAATGAGCCAGAAGGGGTCCTCAGTCAGTTTCGGGAGCACTGGTGTGGAGTGGATGAAGCCAGTGAGGACACAGTGGAGACAGTGGAGCACCAGAGAACCCAGGGCAAGGAAGCTGGGCAGCCGGGCCCTTCACCAGTCAGGCCACCTGCAGTCTGCAGTCAGAGCCTCAGATCTTACACTGGCAGCACACGGGGACACAGCAGCTGGACTGGCAGCAGCAGGGCTTGTAGCAGCTGGATTGGCAGCAGGATGATCCACAGCCTGAGAAGCAGCTACAGGGCTTACAGCAGCTGGACTGGCAGCAGTAGGGCTTACAGCAGCTGGACTGGCAGCAGTAAGGCTTACAGCAGCTGGACTGGCAGCAGGATGACCCACAGCCTGAGGAGCAGCAGCAGGGCTTGCAGCAGCTGGACTGGGAGCAGCCATAAGAACCACAGCCCCCCTTGGACCCCCCACAGGAGCCACAGCCCCCCTTGGACCCCCCACAGGAGCCACAGCCCCCCTTGGACCCCCCACAGGAGCCACAGCCCCCCTTGGACCCCCCACAGGAGCCACAGGCCCCCTTGGACACCCCACAGGAGACACAGCCTCTCTTGGAGCCCCCGCAAGAGCCACAGCCCCCTTTGCCACAGCTGGAGCAGGAACAAGCTGGCACACAGCAGCACATGGGCTTGCAGCAGCAGACAGGCACACAGCAGCCGGAGCCACATCCCCCACAGCCCGCACAGCCGGAGCCACAGCCCCCACAGCCTCCACAGCCGGAGCCACAGCCCCCACAGCCAGAGCCACAGCCTCCACAGCCGGAGCCACAGCCCCCACAGCCGGAGCCACGGCCTCCACAGCCGGAGCCACAGCCTCCGGAGCAGCCACAGCAGCCCATGGTTCTGGTGGATTGAGGGTGGAGCAGGTAGAGGAGCAGGTGAGAGGGAGGTGCAGGTGTGGAGCCCCCTGAGCCCGGGCTCTTTATATCCCTGTCCAGGGTCAGGTGAGAGGCTGGGCACACTGTCACTTCCTGGTTCCTGCTTGTGCCACTGGTCCCAGTATTCTCTTCTGCTTTACATTTTTATAAATAACTCCTGTTTTCCTCGCACTTTTCTCGAATGTGCTGTCAGGTCTGTGATGGAAGCGGCCCCTCAGTAAACACTGGCCCCGCGGTGAGTTTCCCTTTCCATGTGACAAGAAGGAAGCGATGGGCAGGCAGTGGCTCGCTCAGAGGCCTTGGTCTTGCCGAGGGTGATTTTGAGCCCAGGACTCCTGGCTTGCTCCCGGGAAGATTCCTCTGCGGGAGCATCGTGTCTTGCTTGGGACGTGCCTAGGCCCTACACCTTCACGGTCCACAGCAGCTCCTGGCCCGCGGGCTGTTTCCAAGGGTCCCAGGACCTGGGGCTTCAGCCCTCAGCTCAGCAGGGTCGTTTTCGGTGTAAGACTTTGTTGGAAGGTTTGCAGTGTTGACTGAGACGGGGATTTTAAGCGCTTATTCTGGAGCTTGCTGCGTGCTCCCCATGGAAAGTGTTCTCCTGTGATAACCGCGGTCTCTTCCAGGGCTTTCAGACCACTCGGGTGGCAGGGCTGACAGATACAGTACAGGATGCCTGCTGGAACTTGAATTTCAGATCATCGAAGGCTGCCTTTTGAGGAAGGAAATCCAAGCATTGCAAGGGGCAGACACTGCCTCTGCGCTGGGTCAGGACCCAGATCGCATTGTCTCCTGCAGCGGTTCCTCCTGCCGCCGCACGGTGTCGCTGTGAAGCGGGTTCCCCCACTGCGTGGCCGGCCCAGGGGCTCCCGGACAGCGGCACAGGCTGATGGCAGAGGCCCTTTCAGGGCCAGTGAGCGGAAGAGGATGCCCTGTCTGGGTGCCCGCCTGCTCCGGGTCCCGGGCTCAGCCTGGGAAGCAGCAACTACATTCGGGTGCAGGCCCACTGGATGCTAAAGAAAGCCGGTGGAGAGCAGGGAACCGGATGGCCATTTGCCCCCGTGACCACAATACCTGTGAGTGCCCCGAGCCCAGTCAACAGGCCTCAGGCCACGGTGTAAACACCAGCTGGCACTCGGTGACTCTTGCCGTGTATGCTGGAGCCCCACTCTGTTCTGGGGCAGGGGACTGTATCTCAGGGAGGAACAGAAAACCCATTAGGAGAGAGCCGCCTTGTGTTGGCTGTCCCCACCAGAGGCGGCATCCTCCAGCTCTGGAACAGAGGCAACAGATACATTTGCTTCCTGATACATTCGCATCCAGCGCCTGATACATTCGCATCCAGCGCCTGATACGTTCGCATCCAGCGCCTGATACATTCGCATCCAGCGCCTGATACATTCGCATCCAGCGCCTGATACATTCGCATCCAGTGCCTGATACATTTGCATCCAGCGCCTGATACATTTGTCCCAGTGCTTGATACATTTGCTTCCAGTACCTCGTATATTTGCCTCCAGCCCCTGAAGTAATGTATCAACACCCGCGCTGACTCCTAGTGACACCCTTGGATCAGCTCCTTCCCTCGGGTACAAGAGGACTTTTCCTTTTGTACTTTGGGAACATCTTCCCTTTCATGGGCCTTTGTTCTTCGTGGTCCATTGATGACCTTCGGGTTCGCTGAATTGGGCAAAGAGGATCATCAGAGGGCCTCTTACAATGCTCTGATGGAACAATCAACATGGCAGTGGTCTCACCCTGTCCCGTGGGGCACCCCACGATTATGTAGCTTTTGAGCAAATGCCCCCTGAAATGTGTGTATTATATAAGGTGCATATGCTCCTGTCTAGTCATTTGCTATTTTAATTTTAGTTAATTTTAATTTTTTTCACCTTTTCAGCGTAAAGCAGACATGAGTATGTTGTAGACTTTGCTCCTGTGCTCCACATTAGGAACTACCTCTGCAGACCCATTCTTAACTACTGTGGGTTCGTAGATTCCTCTGTGGAATTTTACAGAGCCTCTCTTTAAACAAGTCTACAAACATGCACAAAAACACACAACTTTACATAAAACTGTGCAGTATCCAGACAGGATCTGATGTCCACCTGTATCTGTAGGCTCCAGATCAAGAACCCAACAGAAAAGGGGGCACCAGGTAAGAGAGAGCTGGAAGGATTTCTCCTCCTAAAACGAGCTAGGCTGACCCCACAGATTTTCACTCCTCCACCACCTGAAACCACACTCAGATGAGAGGAAGGCTCAGGGGCGGTTTTTCCTGGGATAGTAAAGTGCTGGCTGATGCCGCACAGCAGAGAAGGCTCCAGCAGAAGGACTTGCAGAAGAAGCAACAAGGAGAAGGCCAGCAGCACAGTATGTTTCTCGCGACGAAGACGGCAGACAGCATGATGGCACGGGGCTTGGAGGCTAGGACATGAAGGGTGGTACAACACTTGCCTCTCTCTCTGTCTCTCTCTGTCTCTCTGTCTCTCTCTCTCTCTCTCTCTCAGTACTACTCCTTCTGGGTGAAGCCAGATCCTGTGCCAATAGCAGCCCTGTGGAGAGGCCTGCAGGTGAGAAGCTGAGGCCTCCCACCCACAAGCCAAGGCATGTACCATCCTGGAAGTGGGTCCAATACCAGCCGAGCCTTCAGGGGATGCAGCCTCAGACCCCCAGCCAGAACCACCCAGGAACATTTGGGGCCTGACAGAGAAGAATGAAAAGGGCTGTGTGTGGGTGCTCACATCTGCAATCCCAGCATTTTGGGAGGCTGAGGTGGGAGGATCACTTGAGCCCAGGAGTTTGAGACCAGTCTGGGTAACATAGTGATATCTCATCTCTACAAAAATGTACAAAAATTAGCTGGGCCTGTGAGCGCACACCTGTAGTCCCAGCTACTCGGGAGGCTGAGGTGGGAGGATTTCTTGAGCCCAGGAGGTCGAGGCTGCAGGGAGCTATGATTGCACCACTGCACTCCAGCCTGGGTGACAGAGCTTGACTCTGTCTCAAAAAAGAAAAAAAAGAAAAAAGAAAAAGGTAAGGCCAGTAAAACACAAGAAAATTTTAACTTCATTTCGTTATTAACAAATACACACAATTTCTGAATCAAATATTAAAGACTCCAATATGATTATTTAAAAATAGCAAGTCATAAGTAGGGTTTGTTCCAAGAATGTTAAGATGGCTCACCGTCAGGAAATGTATCATTGTAACTCATTACAAAAGTGCCTTGAGGGAGAGAATTCACACGTCCACCTCAGCAGGTGTAACAATTAGCTATGGCGTGCCTGACCATGAGCTGAGGGACAGAAGTGTCTTCTTCAAATTGATAATTTCCGGAAGGAAGTATGAGGTTCTCGTGAAGGTAAATGTGCTGTATATAAAGAAGAAATGAAGGGTAGGATGCTCATGACTCGCTGGGGGTACAGGAAGGAGGCGGATCTGAAACACTGGACGGCACTCAGGTTGACACAGGAGATGCTAGTCTGAGGGGAGCACCTGCCTCTGTGAGGGGCCAGGGGAAGATAGTGGCTGATCTCAGACTGCGTTAAACATGCATGTTAAAATGTTCACAGTCACCACTGGGGAAAAGTAGAAACAAAAACATCAGTGCAAACCAGCAGAAAAAGAGGAGAAAGGAAGAAAGAAGCTTCAGCAAGTCCATAGAAGCAAGAAAAGAGAATCTAAAAGCCTACGAAAAGGAAAATATAAAAATAAGAAAAGTATGGAAACAGTAGCACCCACGAGATGGTAGAGACAGTGCTGGCCCACGGGTGTGGTGAGGGGCCAGGATCGCCGCCCACCAGGGAGACAGCAGCCCAGCCACAATGCAGGGCCATTTTCAAGAGCACCCGAGGGCAGCAACCACCACCTTCTTTTGGCACGAGGAACCGGTTTTGTAGAGGAAAATTTTTCCACGGACCCAGGGGGTGGGTGGGGGCTGGTTTCAGGATGAAACTCTTCCATCTCAGATCATTAGGGATTAGTTAGATTCTCGTAAGGAGCACGCACCCTAGATCCCTCGCGTGCGCACTTGACAGTAGGGTTCTGGCTCCTATGAGAATCGAATGTGGCGGCTGAAGGGACGGGAGGTGCAGCTCAGGAGGTCATGCTTGCACGCCTTCCACTCACCTCCTGCTGTGTGGCCTGGTTCCTAACAGGCCATGGACTGTGGCCTGAGGGTTGGGGACCCCTGCCCTAGGTCACCGGGTCCTTCCATGGCTCTAACCCCCACCCACCTGGAGGTTGTGGAAGGGGCCTGAGGAGGTGGAGAGCAGAGATGTCATCAGGTTAATTTTTCTCTCTGGGAATGCAGGTGGGCTCCGTAACTCACCATCGCCCGTGTAGTTAATTACTCAATGTTGGTCTTCATTCTACTGTCCTCAGCCCTTCCTGCCTTGCCTATCCCTGCCTCACTCCTTTAATTGGAATGAATCCCAATTGTGTAGGGTCCATATGATTTTCCCGAGTCCCAGGTGCTGTCGTCTTAGATTTCTGCCATTTTGGAGGCTGTGTTCCTGTTTTCTTCTATTTGAAGGACGTTTTGTCACCATGTTCTTGGGTCATGTTTTGGTTTTGTCCTTTTTGGAGAAATTGATCCCCTATCTTTGGGTTTATGACCTCTCCGAGGAGCATCTAGGAGCAGCTAGCTATGAGCACCCTCCTCAGCCCTGACAGCCACGGCAGACTGGCCAGGGATTTGCAGAAGCGGCAATGTTGATTCAGCCTTTGGAGTTCTGTCACCAAACCACCACGGGCTCAGTACTCAGCATTCCGCCTTCATTCTTTCCTGGAGCATGTTACGCTCTTTGGGGCTAAACTTTCAGATCTTCCTGCGGGTCATGGTGCATTTTTCTGGCCTTTGAATCTGCTTTCTGCTCCATTTGTTAAAGCCTCCACTGCTTACACCGATGCTGCAGCTTTCCTGTCCTCCCCGTTCGCCAGCCTCTCTCTGGCTGATTCCACGGCTTTGTGCTTTAGCCACACTGTGAGCATCTCGCGCCCTTCTCGGATGCCAGCGACCCAAGTCCCAGCCACCTCCGTTCTGCCCCTCACTCTTCCTAATCACCGACTCGAACTGTAATGACTTCTGGTGCTCATTTATTCCCTGAGGCCTCCGCTCTTCCTTTTAAAACTTACTCTATAGGCCAGACGCAGAGGCTCACGCCTGTAATCCCAGCACTTTGGGAGGCCAAGGTGGGCGGATCACTTGAGCTCAGGAGTTTGAGAACAGCCTGGCCAACATGGTGAAACCCTGTCTCTACTAAAAAAAACAAAAATTAGTGGGGTGTGGTGGCACGTGCCTGTAATCTCAGCTACTTCAGAGGCTGAGGCAGGAGAATCAGTTGAACCTGGGAGGCAGAGTTTGCAGTGAGCTGAGATCACATCATTGCACTCCAGCCTGGGTGAAAGAGCAAAACTCCGTCTCAAAAAATAAACAAATAAACAAAATAAAACTTACTCTATAATTTTACCATCTCAACTGAGAGCCCTATTAAAGTTAGTATGCCATATTTGTAATTTGCTGCCATATTTGTTATTATTTGTTGCATAACTCAACCATTTGCAGGAAATCTACTTTTGTCTCCCGGATGACAAGTTTGCTTAGAAAGGTTTGTCTCCTTCCTTTCCTCCTCCTTTTGTTTTTTAAGGTTTGTTTTCATAGCTGTTACAGAATCTCATGTTACCTCTCTTGGGTTTGGCCAATCCTGTCTAGATCTTCTACCTATGTTGAAACAAAATGGGATGCTCCTGGTTCCCTTTACCCAGCACCTGAGGGCGGAGCTGCCAAGCTCTGGTGAGCACCTGGGGTGCGTGATGGTCTGCTCATGTCCAGTGCGGCCTCGCGCAGGGCTGGTGGGGGACAGCTTTGTTAGGATGCCTGGGCTCTGTGCTCACAATCCAGGTCTTATGAAGTGTCCCCATCCCAGCCTCACCGCGCCTAGTCGGGAGGCGTGAACTGTTGCCACACAGGGCTGCATCCTCTGACCCAGTGTGTTCCCTAGGAAGAAGCCATTTTCAGCACAGCAGGCACTTCCCTCTCTGTGGGTTTCTCTCAGTCCCCTGCCCCACAGCTCCCATTAGCAATGGGAACGACGGAACCTATAACCCCTCTCTCGCCTCTTCCAGATAAGACAAGGCCTTTATCCCAAGCTTGAAAGACATTCTTTTTTTTTTTTTTCTTTTTTTTTTTTTTGAGATGGAGTCTTGCTCTGTCGCCCAGGCTGGAGTGCAGTGGCACGATCTCGGCTCACTGCAAGCTCCGCCTGCCGGGTTCACGCCATTCTCCTGCCTCAGCCTCCCAAGGAGCTGGGACTACAGGCGTCTGCCACCACGCCCGGCTAATTTTTTTTTGTATTTTTAGTAGAGACGGGGTTTCACCATGTTAGCCAGGATGGTCTCGATCTCCTGACCTCGTGATCCGCCCGCCTGGGCCTCCCAAAGTGCTGGGATGACAGGCGTGAGCCAGCGCGCCCGGCTGAAAGACATTCATTTTTATACCATCTAATAATGTTGGCGAGGCTAAAAATGACAATTAAGACAAAGTGAGAATGGCTTTTAAAAACGTCAGAAATTAAACTCAAGTACATGCCTGTGGAAAAACAAAGTACACTGTTTGAACACAAGGGATTTGTTCTCTCAATATCCAAATAACTTTTAAAGCAGTAATGAGAAGTCAAAAAGGTATAAATTTTTTTTTTTTTTTTTTGAGACGGAGTCTTGCTCTGTCGCCCAGGCTGGAGTGCAGTGGCATGATCTCGGCTCACTGCAAGCTCCACCTCCCAGGTTCACACCATTCTCCTGCCTCAGCCTCCTGAGTAGCTGGAACTACAGGCGCCCGCCACCACGCCCGGCTAACTTTTTGTACTTTTAGTAGAGACGGGGTTTCACCATGTTAGCCAGGATGTTCTCGATCTCCTGACCTCGTGATTCGCCCACCTTGGTCTCCCAAAGTGCTGGGATTATAGGTGTGAGCCACTGTGCCTGGCCAATAAAAAAGTATATAATTTATATTGGAGTAAAAGAATCACCCTCACTAATAGTTAATTGAAGAGATTAACAACAGGATGATAAATGAGATCCCCCATCCACCCATGAAATTCCTGAGATTTTTAACATAAACAATACTCACCACGTGAGGCTGTGTATGCAGCAGCCAGGAGTCCTGAGCACCCCACGACCTGAGGCTGGCGGAGGAGAGATTCACTGCAGTGCACCAATGTGTTAAGACAGAACCAAGATACAACGTTGGTTCCTCAATTAGCCTCTTTAATTATATGGATGAAAGCTTAGTTTTTAAAAAATTATCTTCACACAAAGTTCACAGTTTCAAAGAAAAATATAATGCCATAGGTGGGAAGAAAAGATGGGAAGAAAACAACCAAAATGATCTTTGTAGAAAACCCATCCTCTGCCCATCACATGAGGAAAACAGAAGGCAGGTGATCAGTTCAGTACAAGGTCCAGTTCCAAGGAGGAAGTGACTACATTTAGAAACATAAGCAGGTGGGTGTTGGATCAGGCCAATGAGAACCCGAAGTCCAGCAAACAAATAATCACATACCCAGGAAGTGCTGGGAATGATGGAGTGACCAAGGTCTCAGAGCAACCCTACCCAGGGATATAAGGGGGTCCAGGCTCAGGGGGCTCCACACCTGCACCTCCATCTCATCTGCTCCTCTACCTGCTCCACCCTCAATCCACCAGAACCATGGGCTGCTGTGGCTGCTCTGGAGGCTGTGGCTCCGGCTGTGGGGGCTGTGGCTCCGGCTGTGGGGGCTGTGGCTCTGGCTGTGGGGGCTGTGGCTCCGGCTGTGGGGGCTGTGGCTCCGGCTGTGGGGGCTGTGGCTCCAGCTGCTGTGTGCCCATCTGCTGCTGCAAACCTGTGTGCTGCTGTGTGCCAGCCTGTTCCTGCTCCAGCTGTGGCTCCTGTGGGGGCTCCAAGGGGGGCTATGGCTCTTGTGGGGGTTCCAAGGGGGGCTGTGTCTCCTGTGGGGGTTCCAAGGGGGGCTGTGGCTCCTGTGGGGGCTCCAAGGGGGGCTGTGGCTCCTGTGGGGGTTCCAAGGGGGGCTGTGGCTCCTGTGGGGGCTCCAAAGGAGGCTGTGGCTCTTGTGGCTGCTCCCAGTGCAGCTGCTGTAAGCCCTGCTGCTTCTCTTCAGGCTGTGGGTCATCCTGCTGCCAGTCCAGCTGCTGTAAGCCCTGCTGCTCCTCCTCAGGTTGTGGGTCATCCTGCTGCCAGTCCAGCTGCTGCAAGCCCTACTGCTGCCAGTCCAGCTGCTGTAAGCCCTGCTGCTCCTCCTCAGGTTGTGGGTCATCCTGCTGCCAGTCCAGTTGCTGCAATCCCTGCTGCTCCCAGTCTAGTTGCTGTGTCCCTGTGTGCTGCCAGTGTAAGATCTGAGGCTCTGGACTCAGGCCTCATGTGAGTCCTGCTAATCCTGTCTTCCAAAGCTGTGACCTGTCCTTCATTGTTGAGCCCCAAATCATTGCTCAGGGTCCATTCCCTGCTGTAGAACGATGCCATATCTGGCTGCCTTTTCCTAAGAAGAGTCCACCCTAATTAATGTCCATTGTCTCTCCTAACAAATTCTCTCCCCAAGTCAACTGCAATTGCAGCTGAATCACCCCTCACCCACTAGCCTCGCCTTTGCTCATCTTTTCAGAGGCCTGAGCTCCTGAACCCACTTGCAGTCCTGTCTTTTCCAGCTGGAGCAGCTGGGCATAAGCGTCCCACCTGCAACAAGGTGGGCGTTTAAGAGGCTTCCTTGGAGTGGCTTTGCATGTCCAACACTCTGCTGTATCTTTTTTTTTTTTTTTTTTTTTTTGAGATGGAGTCTCGCACTGTCACCCAGGCTGGAGTGCAGTGGCACCATCTCGGCTCACTGCAAGCTCCGCCTCCCGGGTTCACTCCATTCTCCTGCCTCAGCCTCCCCAGTAGCTGGGACTACAGGTGCCCGCCACCACGCCCGGCTAATTTTTTTTTTATTATTATTAGTAGAGACAGGGTTTCACCATGTTAACCAGGATCACACTGCTTTATCTTAAACAGAAAGTTGCAAACTAATAAAAATACCATGCCGACAAACTGAAACACATATCTTGCTGATTTCTCTGTTGTTCGGTGTCATTACTATGGCTATGGCTATTGTTTTCTTATTCTTGTTATATTTCGGACTCCGTGAGTCTGATGGTGATGTTGCTGGAAGGTGCTAGGATGGGGCTGGCTGTCTCCGCTGCCTCTCGTCCGTCTCAAAAAAAGAAAAAAAAAAAGGTAAGAGTCAAACCTGGAGAAACTCTGTATAGACAGACTTGAAACAATCTGAACACCAATTTCTTAACTGGACTGATACACATCAAATATGTTTAAACTAGGAGTGAGTAATCATACGCACACACATACATACACAAATAATAATAGAGATACTATGCAAACTGTAAAATTTAGTTGCCTTTAGAGGATTCTAGGAATCAAGTCATTATTTCGAAGATGACTATATAAAGGAAAATAATCAGGCACTTATTCTATCTCTGATAGAGAAACTCTATCTTACGGTAACCAAAAAATTAGAGGAAGTATTCCAGTTTATAAATAAAGAAGAAATCGTAGAATTAGAAGCTAACCATTTTGTAACCCCTAATGAAATAATGGGGCTATCAAATTTACTGCATGCAGCCAAATCAGTGCTTAGAGAAAAATTTATAGCCTTAAATGCATATGTTGGAGTAAAAAAAAAAAAAAAGCTTAAGCTCATTTAGGCAAAAACCTATCTATAGGACTGGCAGCATTGCCACACAGAGCCCAGAATGGGGTGGTAATTAGGGCTATTTGTAGGCATCCTGGTTCTCCTCTCCTTCTGGGAACAGGTTGGATGGCAGGTGGTAGGGTGGCCCTTCCATGAGCCCTCTCTAAGTCAGGTGTGGCCATGTGATTTGCTTGCGTCAGTGGGAAGAAGTTTGAAGCACCTGCTGCAGTCTTCTGCATTCTCCGTTTCTTCTCCTACCATGACCACCAACATTCCAAGCAGTGGCTGCTGCTTCCGACTGAGTCCCAGAGTGACGAAGCACAGAGCAGAGTCACCAGCTGACGTGCAGTGGCCTGGGATATGAACAGGAAGTAAGCCTGTGTCGTGTGAAGTCACTGAAACGTGGGGGTGGCGCGTGTGAGCAGCGTAATTGGTCTATCCTGGTTGACCCAGAAACCTACCAGAACAAAAACATAGCATTGTGGGCCTGGTTTATTGGTCAGAGGGTGGGTGGAAAGGAAAGTTATTAGAGGTGAGAAAGGTAGTTATTATGTGTTTGGTAAGACTGTCCCAGATCGTGTATCCCTGAGGGAAGAGTTCAGAAAACACAATGCCACTCCCACGTGGGTCGTTGTGGCTGCATTTATCAAAGCATTACAAGAACAGGGTGAGCTCGAAAGAACCGGCTGATTTGCCAGCCAGGAGGAAAGTTCTAGAAAGCCTGGAGAAACCTGGGGAGCTACAGAGTTCTCAGTTCTGCCTGGTAAATGGTAAGACTTAGAAGGCTTTTGAGCAGCAAAGAACAATTGAAGCTCAAATGAAAGGAATTTTTTTTTTTTCTTTTTTTTATTTGAGACGGAGTCTCACTCTGTTGCCCAGGCTGGAGTGTAGTGGCACGATCTCGGCTCACTGCAAGCTCTGCCTCCCAGGTTCACACCATTCTCCTACCTCAGCCTCCCAAGTAGCTGGGACTACAGGCGCCCACCACCACGACTGGCTAATTTTTTTTTTCTGTATTTTTAGTAGAGATGAGGTTTCACCGTGTTAGCCAGGATGGTCTCGATCTTCTGACCTCATGATCCGCCTGCCTCAGCCTCCCAAAGTCCTGGGATTACAGGCATGAGCCACCGTGCTCGGCTAAAAGGAACCCTTTTTAAGGGTACACTTTGATGAGGTTCCATGAGAACAGACCACACTGAGGTAGGGAGTTGGTAGCTGCCTCCAGCCTGGCCAGTGGGGCAGGAGGGGCTGCTGTGGGGTCAGTGGGTCCGGAAGAAGACGCCGGAAACTTCTCCCCCCATGGCTCACTTGGCGTTCTCTTTGCTTGGCCTGTGGCTCCTGTGGGTAAATTCATGTCCTGCTGTGTGATGAAGAGGTTTCTGCAGGGAAGAGGGGGAGGTGTTTGGCCCAGGCAGGACCCAGTGACCTGCAGATCAAAGATGGCCTCACTACCACGGTAATGGGCACCAGAGAAGAGCCTGCCGCCAGCCATTCGTTGGAAACAGGCCCAACAGAACCAATGCTGTCTGTGCTTGTGGTGTGGGGGTAGAAGAGAAAGAGAAAGAAACCCAAAACCTTCCTTAATAATGAACAGATGTCACATGATTGTTAGCAAGATTTAAGACATAGTTGTAACTCTCCATGAAATCAACAAAGAGAAAATCACGTGTTGGACATTTTATGCATAATTTTTTGATAAAATCATAGGATTGCCTGCTGCAACATCCTTCATTTCACAGTTGGCCGTGACAGAATGACGCTGAAGGGAGTCGCGTAGCAAAAACAACTGAGCTCCTTCTCATCCTTCACGGACGCCTCTCTTTGAGGTCAACTCACCCCATTGGGAAGCCTCTATCTTGCCTCCTTGACCAGCTTCTCTTTCAGGGTGAACCGCCTGATCTTCACCGTGGTGGCCTTGCCTGGCTCCCAGCAGATGTTCTCCAATGTCACTTTCAGTGACATCACAGAATCCTACGTTTCTTTTCTTGCAAGCATTGCAATTTTACTTAAAATCTGCATCGTAAATATGACTGTGGAAAATGTATTTAAGAGAGCTGGTTCTGCAAAGACATGAAAGACATTTGGGAGGGGGTGTGTGGGAATAAGTGATATTGTTAAGTAAACGAGCTGCTTGAGTGGAGAACACTTTTGGAAGTGGTCAGCTTGGCCCCATCTGTGCTAAAAATACAAAAAAAGAAAAAATTAGCCAGATGTGGTGGTGGGCGCCTGTAGTCCCAGCTACTCGGGAGGCTGAGGCAGGAGAATGGTGTTAACCCAGGAGGCGGAGCTTGCAGTGAGCCGAGATGGTGCCACTGCACTCCAGCCTGGGTGACAGAGCAAGACTCTGTCTCAAAAAAAAAAGAAGTAGTCAGCTTGGGCTTGGCTCACTCCTGTAATCCCAGTACTTTGGGAGGTTAAGGAAGAAGGAACACTTTAGCTCAGGAGTTCAAGACCAACCTGGGTGACATAGCAAGACCCCGTCTCTGCAGAAAAATGAAAGAATTAGCTGGGCATGGTGGTGCACACCTGCAGTCCCAGCTAATGGGGAGGCTAAGGTGGAAGAATCTCTTGAGCCTGGGAGGTTGAGGCTACAGTGAGTTATGATTGCACTGCTACACTCCAGCCTGGGTGACAGAGTGAGACCCTGTCTCAAATAAATAAAAAATAAATAAATAAATGACATTGTCAGCTTGTTTACTTGTTTGTGATTATTTTCTTTTTTACCTTCCTCTTCTTGTTTTTAATAGAGATAGAGTCTCACTGTGTTGCCCAGGCTGGTCTCGAACTCCTGGGCTCAAGGGATCCTCCTGCCTCAGTCTCTCGAGTAGCTGGTACTACAGGCATGCACCACTGCCACTAGTGAATATTTTGAAGGCCTGATGATTTACAATGAGCACAGGGAGACCCTGTATGGAGCCTAGAGATGTTGGCTGGTTGTGGAGTGGTCACCGAGGGAGCATCTTAGCATGAATCTCTGGTCAGAGTGATCGGGGAACCAGACTCAGTCTGGAAACAAGCAGGGGACACCTTCAGCTTACAGACAGCAGATTGTGGAGTTGCTCAACTTCCATAATTGCAGGGTCCAATTCTTCAGAATCATCTATGTATCTATCTATGTATCTATTTATCTATGTATCTATCGATCATCTAGGTATCTCTGTATCCATCTATGTAAGTATGTAAGTACCTATCTATGTATCTATGTATCCATCTATGTATGCATGTACGTATGTATCTATGTATCTATTTACGTATCTATCGATCATCTACGTATCTCTATATCCATCTATGTATGTATGTAAGTACCTATCTATGTATCCATCTATGTATGTATGTATCTATCTATGTATCTATGTATCCATCTATGTATGTATGTGTGTATGTATGTATGTCTGTATCTAGCTAGCTAGCTACGTATCTATGTATCCATGTATGTATCCATGTGTGTATCTATGTATCTATGTACCTATCTATCTATCTATCTATCTATCTATGTAGGGACAGAGCCAGCCCAGTGCAGAGCCCTGGCTTCCTTTCTGTGCCACCAGCCACTCCACCTCAGTCTCCATTGCTTAATTCTCCTCCTCCAGGCCCTGAGCACTGGGCGGTGCCAGGTTCAGCCGGGGGGTCTCTATCTCACCTGCGACCTCCTCCATGTCTCTCACAACACCTTCCCCTCTAGGTTCCACACTCACAGGCCCAGGTGCCTGCTTCTCATGGACATCTGGCCTTTCAAACTAAGCACATCCCAGACTGAACTCCTCCTCCTTCCCCTGGAACCAACGCCTTCCCAGCCTTCCCCATTGTAGTTCACAGCAGCTCCATCCTTCCCAGGGCTCAGGATAGAAGCCTGGGCATCCTCTTGACTCCTCTTCCACCCTCCACATCCAATCCAACAGCAAATCTCCAAGGTTCTACCTTGGAAAAGTATTTGGAATCTGATTCGCCAATTGCCTAATTGGTGATTTATCCAATGACCGCCTTCACTGCCACCACCCGATATTGACAGCACCTCGTGCATTCCAGCTACTCTCCCACACACTTTATAAACATGACTCCCTGAGTATCTGTGAGGTATGCACTCTTTTTTCAATTTAACTTTTTATATTCGGGTGATTGTAGATTCACCTGCAGTTACTCATAAGAAGTTACTCGTAAGAAGTTACTCGTAAGAAGACACAAAGGGGATCTCATGTACCCTTTCCCATGTCCCCGGTGACAGCATCTGGAATGCAGGTAACATAACAACACAGTGATATTGACCTTGGCACGGTCACAATACAGATCATTTCTCTAGCAAGGACCCCACGCGTTGCCCTGATGCAGCCCCCACATTTCCCTCCTGTTCTCCATTTCTGTAATTTTGTCATTTCGAGAATGCTCCATGAATGGAAACACACAGTGTGTAACCTTTTAAGACTGGCTTTTCCTACCCAGCATGATTCTCTGGAGATTCATCTGGGTCATCGAGCGTCTGTCATTCCTGCCATTTCATGGCTGAGACGTGTCCCCTGGCAGAGGTGAACCAGTGTGTTTCCCCTTCACCCATCAAGGGACATGTGGGTGTCTCCAGCATTTGGTGATCATGAATAAGCCTCCTATTAACATTTGTGGACAGGTTTTCCGTGTGCACATGTCTCTGGGATAAATGCCCAGGAGTGAGATTGCTGTGTTGAATGGCGGTTGTGTGGTTAGTTTTTTTCATAAGCTGCCAACCTATCTTCCAGAGTGGCTGTACCATTTTGCATTCCCACCATCAACATACGAGTGGCCCAGCTTCTCTGCCTTTTGCCAGCATTTGGTGTCGCTGCTATTTTTTTGTTAAGCCATTCTCATAGGGGCATCATGATATCGCATTACTGGTTAGTTTGTCTTTCCTAAAGTCTGAGGATGTCAAACTTCCTCTCACATCCTTATTTGCCACTGTACGTCCTCTTCAGAGAATTGTCTCTTCAAGTCTTTTGCCCATTTTTGGATCGGATTGTTTTTGTGTTTATGTATGATTTGCTGTTGTGTTTTGAGAGTTCTTTACATGGTCTAGATTTGTATATTCCAGTCCTTTGTCAGATATGTGGTTTGTAAATATTTTGGTTAGGGTGCAAAGTTATTTTATTTATTATTTATTTACTATTATTTTTAGACAGGTTCTCACTTTGTTGCCCAGGCTGGAGTGCAGTGGTGCAATAATGGCTCACCGTCCCCTTGATCTTCCAGGCTCAAGTGATCCTCCCAACTCAGCCTCCCAAGTAGCTGGGACCACAGGTGCACATCAGTATGCCTTTTTTTTTTTTTTTTTTGTAGAGATGGGGTCTCCCTAAGTTGCCTAGACTGGTCTCAAAATCCTGGACTCAAGTGATCCTCCCGCCTTGGCCTCTTACAGTGTTGAGATTACAGGCATGAGCCACCATGCCTGTAAGCCAAAATTCTTTTTAATATACTGCTGAATTCTATTATGAATAGTATATTTTTCTTTTCCTCTGTCACAGCAACTGGCTGCCTGGGTTATGGAATAAGAGGCAGAGCCCCAGGTGTCTTGTGGTGGTGGGAGGTGTGGGTTGACTCAGCTACTGAGATCTTGGTGTGGTTTGTTGCTGCAGCACAACCCAGGCCATCCTGACTGACACTGGGTGACCGAGGGGCTGGAAAAGAAAACATGCCGAGAAAGGCAGTTTCCACACGAATACACAAAAATCTATACTGCATTAATCAGGGTTCTCCAGAGACACAGAACCAGTGGGAGATTAGGTACATAGGTAGATTAGATAGATAGATAGATGCATACATACATAGATAATAGATACATAAATGGATAGATAGATACAAAGATAGATAATAGACATATAGATACATAGATGGATATATATAGAGATACATAGATGATAGATAGATACATAGACACATAGATACATACATAGGTAGATACATACATAAATAAATAGATGATAGGTAGATAGATAGCTACATAGACAGATACATAGTTAGATAGCTACATAGATAGATACATACTTACATAGATACACAGATAGATACATGGATACATAGATACAAAGATAGATACATAGATGGATAGATACATATATAGATACATAGATGATAGATACATGCATAGATAAATAGATACATAGCTACATAGTTACATAGATAGATAGATAGATAGATACATACATACATACATACACACAGAGAGAGATACACAGATACACAGATGATTATGAAGAATTGGCCCATGCGATTCTGGAGGCTGAGCAGCTCCATGATCTGCTGTCTGTAAGCTGAAGACCTAGGAAAGCCGGCGGGGTCATTCTGTTCAAGTCCAAAGGCCCGAGAACCAGGGAGCTGACGGTGTGAGTGTAAGTCCGAGGGCAGGAGACCGATGTGCCAGCTGGAGCGGTCAGGCAGAAAGGGACTTCCTCCACGTTTTGATCTATTCGGGCCCTCAGTGGATCAGAGGAAGCCACCCACATTGGGGAGGGCGTCTGCTTTCCTGAGTCCACTGATCCCAATGCTGGTCTCATCCAGAAACTGCCCTCACCGACCACCAAGAAATAACATTCAGCCAAATATCCGGGCACCCTGGGATCCAGCCAAATTGACACATAAAATTAACCATCACATATACCTGATTCAAGATTTTAAAACAGATGACAAAAGTTTTCAACTTTTACAGAAAAATATATCATGATCTCAGAGAAGTATTTCCTAAATAAGGCCCCAAATACTCTAATTCTAAAGGAAGAGGTGGGTGAATTGATAAGTTAAAATTAAACACTCAAGGATTCTCATTTAACAAGGGAAGGCCTCGCGAGAATGAAAAGATGAACCAAGGAGGATCTTGCAACATAAAAGCTGACCACACGATAGTTTGCTGAGTAAATGACGAGTAATGGGAGCAGCACACCAACATGGCACATGGATACATATGTAACAAACCTGCCCGTTGTGCACATGTACCCTAAAACTTAAAGTATAATAATAATAAAATAAAATAAAATAAAATAAAATAAAATAAAGCTGACCGTGGCTCAGCATTTGAAAACCCAAAGAGCTCACACCAATTAGCAAGCAAAGAAAACAACTAAACAGAGGAACCAACTCATAGACATCAGCAGGCATTTTATAAAAGAGGAAAGACAGGTCGGGCGCAGTGGCTCACACTTGTAATCCCAGCACTTTGGGAGGCCGAGGCGGGCAGATCACGAGGTCAGGAGATCGAGACCACGGTGAAACCCCGTCTCTACTAAAAATACAAAAAAAAAAAAAAAAAAATTAGCAGGGCGTGGTGGCGGGCGCCTATAGTCCCAGCTACTCAGAGAGGCTGAGGCAGGAGAATGGCGTGAACCCGGGAGGCGGAGCTTGCAGTGAGCCGAGATCGGGCCACTGCATCCAGCCTGGGTGACAGAGCGAGACTCCGTCTCAAAAAAAAAAAAAAAAGAAAGAAAGAAAAGAAAAGAGGAAAGACAAAGACTTGGTGGGTGCAGTTACCTTTGTTCCCACGGGCTCCATAGTCTGGTGATGGGGGTGGGGGCTGGAGTGAGCAGGCATTTCCCAGTCTTAGAACTCCAGCTTCAGCCTTCAGCCTTCTCCAATTGCCCACATGGCACAGGGGCTCTCTCCAGGGTCTTTCCCGTGCCTCAGCTGTCTATTGCAACAGCAACGGGTTTTTTGGTATTTGAGATGATCAAGTTGGTTCTAAAATTTAGCTGGAGAAGTAAAGGAATTGGAAACAAACAAAACAATCTTTAAAAAGAAGAATGAAGTTGGAGTCTCACAATACTTAACTTCAAAACCTCCCATAATGTCACAGTGACGCTGTGTTTGCATTAGGAAGCGGCATACAGACCTGCGGAGCGGGACACAGGAAGAAACTCGCCATCGTGTCGGCTGATTCTCATTAAAAACACCAGTGATTTCAGTGGGATAAGCACGGTTTGTTTGTTTGTTTGTTTGTTTATATCGAGACAGAGTCTCACTCTGTCACCCAGGCTGGAGCGCAGTGCTGCAGTCTCGGCTCACCGCAGCCTCTACCTCCCGGGTTAAAGCGATTCTCCTGCCTCAGTCCCCTGAGTAGCTGGGATTACAGGCGCCCCCCACCATGTCTGGCTAATTTTTGTATTTTTGGTAGAGACAGGGTTTTGCCATGTTGGCCAGGCTGGTCTTGCACTCCTGACCTCAGGTGATCTGCCCTCCTTGGCCTCCCAAAGTGCTGGGATTCCAGGCGTGAGCCACTGCGCCTGGCCAGGAAGGTCTTTTTATCAAATGCTGCTGAAACAATTGGATGAAAATGTGAAAAAATGGATCTCAACTCCTACCTCACATTACACGCAAAAATTAGCTTGAGATCCATCATAGAACTAAATATAGAAACTAAAACTCTAATGCTTCTAAAGGAAATGCTAGGAAAAAGGGTTTTCAAAGAGGTCACAAGAAAGCACTAGCTGTCAAAACAAATGTTAACGTGGACTTCAAAATCAAAAACATTTCCATATAAAAAGTTCAGATAACAATAAGGCAAGTCAAATACTAGAAAATTATATACAATATATATATTCTACATATATATATTATATACACACATATACACATGTATATGAAATATATATGTAAATATATATACGTACATATGGCAAAGCACTTCACATATTCATTCTTGATATAGAATTTATGAAGAGTTCCAACAACTCAATAACAAAAAGACAAAAAAAAATCACAATAAAATGGGCAAACAATTTTAGCAAAACTTTTTAACAAGAAAGATGTGCAAATGTCCAATAAGTGCAAGAAAGAATCCTTGCGAACATTAGTCATCAGAGAAACACAGGTCAAAATGCACACGAGATGCGATTTTACACCCATCCGATGCCTCACATTTGAAAAGCCGCTGGCTGGTACTGACAGGCCTGGGGCAGCGGACACTCTCAGGCATTGCTGGGGAGGGGGAAAGCAGCATGAGCATTTGGAAAGCTGTCTGTTTCTTAGCAAGTTAAGCATACACTACTCTATGGTCTAGCAAGGCCAGTCCTCAATATTTGACCAAAAAATTAAAACTAAAAACATGAATACGGAAGGACTGGAAGGCATGATTATGTGTTATTCATCATCGCCCCAAACTGTGAACGATTCAAATATGTATGAACGTGAGAACGGGGGAACGCAGTGGAGAATATTTTTACATGGAATAAGGGGGGCCCCACCCCTCATATTTTCTTATGCCCAATTTCTGTCTCCAAAGAAAAAAGAAGTAAAAACTAAATCCACAGGCAGACAGCCCGGTGCCACACCCTGGGCCTGGTAGTTAAAGATTGACCCCTGACCTAATCGGTTATATTATCTATAGATTCCAGACATTGTATGGAAAAGCATTGTGAAAATCCCTGTCCTGTCCTGTTCCGTTCTGATTGCCGGTGCATGCAGCCCCCAGTCACGTACCCCCTGCTTGCTCAATCGATCACGACCCTCTCACACAGACCCCCTTAGAGTTGTAAGCCCTTAAAAGGGACAGGAATTGCTCACTTGGGGAGCTTGGTTTTTGGAGACCTGAGTCTGCCAATGCTCCCAGCTGAATAAAGCCCTTTCCTTCTACAATTCAGTGTCTGAGGGGTTCTTGTCTGCGGCTCGCCCTGCTACAGAAACACTATGCGGTGATTACAAAAGAAGAAGAAGGCCAGGCGTGGTGGCTCATGCCTGTAATCCCAGCACATTGGGAGGCTGGGGCAGGTGGATCGCTTGAGCCCAGGAGGTCGAGGCTGCAGTGAGCCATGAGCGCACCACTCTGCACTCCAGCCTGGGTGACAGAGCAAGACCCTGTCTCAAAAAAAAAAAAAAAAAAAAAAAAAGAAGAAGAGCAAATCATTGACACACAGAATAACATCGTGAGGGAAAGAAACCAGAGTACATTTTTAATGATTTCATTTTTGCAACATTCAACAACAGGCACAACTGGTCAGCAGAGCTGTGCCTGGAGCGATGGGCAGGAAGGGAAGGCGGCGAAAGGGAAACTTCTGGGGGTGAAGCAGTTGGTCATGGTTGGAGTGATGGGCACACGAGTACATGTTTAGCGGAACTCATGGAATTGTACACTCAAAATATGTGCAGAGCCCAGGAGACCAAGGCTGCAGTGAGCTAGGATCACACCACTGCCCTCCAGCCCGGGCGACAGAATGCGACCCCGTCTCAAAAAAAAAAAAAAAAAAATGCAGCCCAAGCCTGGTGGCTCATGCCTGTAATCCCAACACTTTGGGAGGCCAAGGCAGGTGGATCACCTGAGGTCAGGGGTTCGAGACCAGCCTGGCGAACATAGTGAAACCCCGTCTCTACTAAAAATACAAAATTAGCTGGGTGTGGTGGTGGGTGCCTGTAATCCCAGCTACTTGGGAGGCTGAGGCAGGAGAATTGCTTGAACTCGGGAGGCAGAGGTTGTAGTGAGCTGAAATTGCATCACTGCACTCCAGCCTGGGTGACAGAGGGAGACTCAGAAAAAAAATTTTTTTTCACTGCATGTAAATTTTACCTTAATAAAAAATTAAAATTTGGCTGGGTGCAGTGGCTCACACCTGTAATCCCAGCACTTTGGGAGACTGAGGCGGGTGGTTCACCTGAGGTCAGGAGTTCGAAACCAGCCTGCCCAACATGGTGAAACTCTGTCTTCACTAAAAATACAAAAAAATTAGCCAGGCCTGGTGGTGGGCGCCTGTAATTCCAGCTACTGGGGAGGCTGAGGCAGGAAAATTGCTTGAACCCAGGAGGCAGAGATTGCAGTGAGCCGAGATTGCGTCACTGCACTTTAGCCCTGGTGACAAGAGCGATACTCCTTCTCAAAAAAAAAATATTAAAATTAATCTTTTAGAAAATAAAAGTGTGTTAGAGAGGTTGGCTAATCAAAATTTTTGTAGCCTTCAAGAAGAATAAACTTGAAGAATATCCATTGATTTGTAGAATTTTTACAAAGAATTAATAGAGGAAAACTCAAAAGCATTAGAAAGGGTCCTGTTCCTCTGTTCCCTCTGTGAGCCCAGCTTGCCTGAAGGGAACGTGGGTCTAATCCGTGTCTGGAGGAGTGAGCCAAACCGCAGGAGGAAGAGGTAAGAAAGACAAAGGAGAACCAGGGCCACACTCAAATCCATGCTCTTCAAAACTTTGTTTTACAGATTTGACAAAATATTTATACTTGAAGTTTTTAAGCGGTGGAACCTATAGACAGCCTTTCTTTCAGCTTATTTTTTTAATTTTTATTTTATTTTATTTTTTACCAAATGACCATCCTTGATATAAACACCAATGCCAGGGGGTGGAGGGTCTGCATCGCTGAGGAGAGCCCTGAGCACCAAGGACAATGGTCCACCCTTCGGCCAAGCAACCACCGCCTCCCAGGCTCCTGGGACACCCACTGGAGAGGGAGCCCAGTGTCTTCTAACAAAGGGAAACACCTATGAGGAAGAGGCCAAATTTAGAAACCAAGGAAAGGACAGCTTGGCTTGAGCTGATGGTGGCTCATGGGATTGTGGAGAGATTAAAAATAACACTTGTGCATGTGAAATAGCAGAAACAACAACAGAAGTATTCACGTGTTCAGTATAAACACCTGGGCAGGAATATAAAGAGCCCGGGCTCAGAGAACTCCACACCTGCACACCTCCCTCTCACCTGCTCCTCTACCTGCTCCACCCTCAACCCACCAGAACCATGGGCTGCTCTGGCTGCTCTGGAGGCTGTGGCTCCAGCTGTGGGGGCTGTGGCTCCAGCTGTGGGGGCTGTGGCTCCGGCTATGGGGGCTGTGGCTCCGGCTGCTGTGTACCTGTCTGCTGCTGCAAGCCCGTGTGCTGCTGTGTGCCAGCCTGTTCCTGCTCCAGCTGTGGCTCCTGTGGGGGCTCCAAGGGGGTCTGTGGCTCTTGTGGGGGCTGCAAGGGGGGCTGTGGCTCCTGTGGAGGCTCCAAGGGGGGCTGTGGCTCCAGCTGCTGTGTGCCCGTCTGCTGCTCCTCCAGCTGTGGCTCCTGTGGGGGTTCCAAGGGGGTCTGTGGATTTCGTGGGGGCTCCAAGGGGGGCTGCGGTTCTTGTGGCTGCTCCCAGTGCAGCTGCTATAAGCCCTGCTGCTGCTCCTCAGGCTGTGGGTCATCCTGCTGCCAGTCCAGCTGCTGCAAGCCCAGCTGCTCCCAGTCCAGCTGCTGTAAGCCCTGCTGTTCCCAGTCCAGCTGCTGTAAGCCCTGCTGCTGCTCCTCAGGCTGTGGGTCATCCTGCTGCCAGTCCAGCTGCTGCAAACCCTGCTGTTCCCAGTCCAGCTGCTGTAAGCCCTGCTGCTGCTCCTCAGGCTGTGGGTCATCCTGCTGCCAGTCCAGCTGCTGCAAGCCCTGCTCCTCCCAGTCCAGCTGCTGTGTCCCAATTTGCTGCCAGTGCAAGATCTGAGGCTCTGCCCACAAACCTCAGTGGGTCCTACAGATCCGGGCTCTCCAGGAATGATTGCAGCTGTGTCCTGAATTCCTGAAGCACGTCTCTGAATCTGTCCTCCTCTGGACTAAGGCAGCCTAGCGTCCAGGGCTCAGTACTCAGCCGCTCAGCCTCTGAGGTCATGAGGGCTTCTGGCATGCTGGGTCCTGCCCATCAACCCTCCCGGAATCCCGTCTTCCTTTCCTGACCCCACCACTTCAACCTTCTCAGGGCTTCAAGATCCCACATCCCTGGGCCCCTCCTGTGAGCCTGCTGGAAACACGCTGACACTGGAATCCTCCGACCTGCTGCCGCCTCTCCCCGGTCCCCGCAACCTCCTGGCTCCTCCCCGCTTCGTCTTCATCCTGCCTGAGCTGCCACCGCTCCGATTGCTTTTGGAGTTGACCTAGAGGACTCGGAATTATTGGAGACCCCAGGATCCTCTCCTGAGGAGGAGGGGCGCCCAGTCTCCTCTTCTACCTCCGACCTGGCCCTGTTTCTTTCCCCAGGGCTTCGCCTTGTAAGTGCCTAGGCTAGATCTTCTAAATAAATACGATCTGCACCTCCCACGAGTTTGCATTGTGATTCTTTTGTTTCAACTTCTGTGTGATTAGAGAAATGTACACTTTCCACAGAGTTGCACTCCCAGGCATTTGGGAACCCCCCGTACCCTGCTGTGTGAGTTTGCTAGGGCTGCTCCACAAACCGTGTGGCTTAAGCAACAGGAGTGGATTGTCTCACAGTCTGGAGTCCGGAATCCGCCATCGAGGTGCCTCAGGGCCGGGTCCTCCTGAGGCCTCCCTCCGTGGCTTACTGATGCCGCCATCCCTATATCCTCACGTACTCATCCCTCTGTGTGTGTCTGCGTCCTCATCTCTTTGCATAAGGACACAGATTAGACTAGGGCCCACCCTACTCCATTAGGTCCATGTTTGAACTAATCACCCCTGTAAAGACCTATCTTCAAATAAGGTGCCATTCTGAGATACTGCGTTGAGGACTCCAACATATGAACCAGGGGGCACAACTCAGCCGTGGCATCCACTTGGCTTGGGGCGTCTCCGTCTTTCCCATCTTCCAGGATACAGAATTGGGAGGCCCCTTGGGCTTCTCTCCCCCACAAGTCGCCAAATCCCTCAGCATCTCCTGGAAGGCTTCCTACAGACATCTATTTCCTGCCTCCTTGTGACACCTCCCTACACAGACTTCTGATTCAGGTGCCCACCTGTCCCTTCCCTGCTGCCTCTGTCAGCTGGGGCTGCCAGAACAAAACCCACAGAGTAAGCCTGGAAGACGGAACAACAGACACCATTTCTCCCAGTTCCGGAGGCTGGAGGGCCTAGACCAAAGTCCAGCATGTTCGACTCATGGGGAGGGAAGGCAGGAGCTGGCGGAGGAGGAGGTGGGCTGCAAGGCTGGAGCCCCCAGACCCAGGCGTCTGTAACAGCAGAGCGCTGGAGGCTGCTCGGGAAGCCACCGTCTCACAGGATGGTAGGCAGTGAGTGCCTGGCGGAACTGCGACAAGAAAGTGAAAACTCAACAACACGGAAGTTTCAGAAATTGCTTCTGAGTTTCTGTTTCGGTAGTAAGGTTGACTAGACACTATTCACAACCCTGAAACTTCTAAAAGGACATGGTGAAACCCCGTCTCCACTAAAAATACAAAAATTAGCCAGGCATGGTGGTGGGCGCCTGTATCCCAGCTACTTGGGAGGCTGACGAAAGAGAATTGCTTGAACCCAGGAGGCGGAGGTTGCAGCGAGCCTAGATCGCACCACTGCATTCCAGCCTGGGCGACAGAGCTAGACTCTTTCTCTAAATAAATAAATAAATAAATACATAAGTAAGTAAATAAATAAAGCTTTAAAGTGCTATGTTTAAAGCATATATATTTTTTTTAAGTCACTGAGCTGTTGAAAAACTAAATAATCCTCAGAGCCAACAAGCAAGAGAGAGCTGGACCCACAGAGGAAGGTGAAAGTCAAAAACGGCCTCCACCCCATGGCTGGACCAGAAAGAGGCCCTGTCTGTTTTCTTCCACCTGTGTTATTGGAAAAAAATATTTGACAAGGAAACATACACCAAACCCAGCTCTTTTGTTTAAAAGCCAATTGCAAAAACACAGAACGAGTGACCTGGTTTAATGGTGGCTAAGAACGATAGAAAAAGGGCCTGGTCTATCTGAGTTAAATTTGAGCTCAGGATGAGGCTAGGGTGTGGTGTTGCTGCCGAAATCCACTCTGTGGTCTGAGGGTGGATTCGTAGCCACACGGTGTCCAACTCAGGGGTGAATGAGCCCCTCCCCATCAGCCCATGCTAGTTCCTTTAATGGACTTTTTTTTCAGAGCAGTTTTAGGTTCACAGCAAAATTGAGAGGAGTGGGCCACAACATCCCCCGTGCTCTACAATGAGAGCACTTCCTCAGAGCCCAAGACAGTAGGCCACTCTCTGGGGGTCCCCAGGGGCTCAGGGTGTGGCTGGCCTGTCCCCAGCTCAGGAGAGACCAGGAGTTGTCTAACAGTTCCTTCATTGGAAGTCTCTGTGGATGCCTCCCACGGACCTGAATGTTGAGGGCCCATGATTTCTACAGTACATTGAGGAGCCGGGATGCAGGGCCCCTATTTCCTCTATGTGTGCCCTGGACACCCCAGGCACAGGGGACAGGCCTGGCCCTGCAACCCCACCAGGGTCCTGACACCAGGCTTGGCCTGGCCTTGTGATGAGCAAGAGAAGAGGCAGGTCCAGAGACACCTCCTGCACGGGATCGCCTGCTTCCGACCCCCATGACAGGCAGTGGCCAGCATGGTGTGGAAGGGGCCAGGATGGCACACGGCAGGCTGCCCTGTAGCCCCAGATGGCTCCTGGCCTCAGGAAATTAATATCCACTGGAAAACTCATCACTTGGAGGCTGCCAGAGGGAAGGGTGAGTGTCACGTTCCTGCAGCCATGGCCAGCCAGCAGCATGCCCTGTGGCCTCTGGCCCAACCTGTGGGACAGGGACCCCAGACAGGGCACAAGTCCCAGTCCCAGAGGGTCCTGGCCTGATGCTAACCCAAGCCCTGTCAAGGGAAGGGCATCAGGGGCGCCATGGGCACCCAGCAGCAGCCAGGAGGATCACACAGGGGACTGAGCCTTCTGTGGCAGTGGCCGGACCCAGAACTTAGCCAAAAGCAGGGCAAGCCTCCTGGATCAGAGCGGGTGCTGCTGCCTGTGCATGCCCAGCAAGGCTGAGCCAGTGATGCTACCAGGGTCCATGAGGCAAGGGTGGGGCAGGAGCAGGCTGACCAGCCGCCAACCTCGTCCACTCCAGGAGGCAGGGATGGCCAAGCTCCCACGCCCTCGTGGCCGCCACCTGACCACCGATGGGGCAGAGGCCTGAGGCCAAGCAGTCAGTGCTGGGGCCCTGCTTCCAAGGTCTACAAACTGCTCCAGTCCGGAGGGCCAAAGATAATTGGGCACGTGAGGGCCCAGGAGGTCAGTTCCCTACGTCTGCCATCCTTGGCAGGTGCATTTCATGGTCAGAAAAAGTCAAGAAAGGTGACACCTCTCAGGTGTTATTATGAAGGACTCTCCCAAGACACATCTTTTTTTACATTTATTTTTATTGTACATATTCATGGTGGACAACATGGTGCTGTGGTAAACATGTACACTACTGAAATGATGGCTGCAATTAATATCTCCAACACCTTCCATGGTTCCTTTTTGTATGTGTGTGTATAAGTGTGTGTGCATGGGTGTGTTTGGATAAGTGTGTGTATGAGTGTGTATGCATGTGTATGAGTGTGTGTGTTTGTATGATTATGTGTGTATGAGTGTGTGTAAGGTGTGTTTTTAATTGTGTGTGAGACTGTGTGTATGTATGTATGTGTATGAGGGTGAGTGTGTGTGTGTATGTGTGTGTATGAGGGTAAGTATGTGTGTACGATGTTAGTGTGTGTGTATGTGTGTGTGGTAGGAGCACCTGGAGTCTTCTCTCAGCACACCTGCCACACACAACACCTGACTGTCACCTGTAGTCCTTGCACTGTGCACTGGACTGCTCGGCTCCCTCTCCTACACAACCGCAAGCCCTTGACCTCCTCCTCCCCCTTTCCTTCTTCCTCCAGACCCTGGTAACTACTGTTCTATTCTATGTTTCTATGTATTTGACTTTTTCAAAATGTGGAATATATGCATACATCTATACGTGTATATATGGAATATTCTTCAGCTTTCAAAAGAAGGAGATCTGGTTACTTACAACAACATGTACAAATCTGGAGGACATTACACAGGGTGAAAAGAGGCAGACACAGAAAGACAGACATCACACGCTCTCCCTCACACATGGAGTCTACAGGAGTGAAACTCACAGAAGCACAGAGTGCAAGCATGGGAACCAGAGGCAGGGAAAGGGGAAATGAGGAGGTGCTGGCCCAGGGGTCCAAAGCTTCAGTTCTTCAAGATAAATAAGGCTTGGAGACCCAATGCATAGCAAAGTGACCACAGGTAACAACACGGTGTTTATTATGTACTTAAAACGTACTGAGAGGGTAGATCCTACATGTTCTCACCACCAAGAAAAGAGAGAGAGAGAGAGAGAGCTATGTGAAGTGGCAGATGTCTTAATTATCTTGACTGTGGTGATTATTTCACAATGTAGACATATATGAGATCATCGAATTGTATGTCTTAAATATACACAATTAAAAAACAATAAAAGCCACCCCCAGTGCCAGGCCCCACAGGCACCCCCACCCAACCCTCCTACTTGCACATACAATGTATAAAAAATAGATGCGCATACACAATTGGGTATTGCTACCAATTCGGATTTTATTATCCACATTTCTTTGCAACTTAATTCTTTTCACTAGAACTTGTATCATGGTTGCCTCTCCTAGGAAGTAGATCTGGGTATAAGTCTATGTTTCTTTACGCGCATGCGTATTCATATATGTGGAGTTTTTCCACAAGTAGGATCACACATACTGGACTCACTTTTCACTGTCATTTGCTTTTTGTTGATTCCTACACACCTTCCCCACTCCACCCAGCCACTGTCCTACGTACCCCAGGCACACACTCAACATATGTGTAAAAGATATTTTTATTGCTTGCTACTAAAATAGGATCCTACAGGGCTCATTTCTCTGCATCTACATTTCACACTAGCCAGAGCCTTGAGGAAATTTCTCCAAGTCCACTGGTACAGGTGTAATCTTATTTTTTAGTGGGTATGACTTTTAGTATTAATTTTCAATTTGCTAGGATTCTTTTTCTGACACTGTAAATAATAGATCATACACATATATGTATACACGAATATGTTTACGTTTAATCTTTTTTCAGTAATTTCAAGACTAATTGTATTGATATGACCTAATTTTATTAGATATTGTTTTCAAAAAAACTGTAATAAATTGTATCCCCAGAACAATGTATGAGTACCTTTTCCCCCAATTTCACTAGCAATAGGTGTTATTATTCTTGTTAATTTTGGTCAGTCTAGTAGATATAAAATGTTGCAGGTAGCCACTAACTGAGTCCACTAGCGTGGGCAGAAAAGGAATTTACCAAGACAGTTGTAGGTAAGGAAAGGCAGATTTATTAGAGAATGTAGGAAAATACGTTGCAAGAATGGAAAGGGCAGGTCAGCAAGGGAGGAGCTGGCTGCCAGGAGACAAAGGCTTGCTGGGGATTTTATAGGATGGTGCTTGTGCCGGAGAGGGTTACATGCAGTGCTGATAATGCCAAGGTTTCAGTGAGCTAATTTGCATTTTTCTATCAACTGAGGTCATAAGTTGAGTGCAGGAAGATTGTGAGTTATGTGAGTTATTTGCATAGGAGGGCTAAGTCCTGCACCAGGAAGAAAGGCAGACTTGTAGTTCATCTGCCTTCTCTTTTTGCTTTCCCTTGGTCCAACCAACCTGGCTCCTTTTCCATCATTAGGACTCCACAGAAAAGATCCCGTGTATCTGACTACCAGTGAGTCTGATTTACTTTTTATATTTTTAATTGCACACTTCCATTTGTTTATCAGAGAATCATCTTTTTAAAAACTTGGTTGTTTGTATTCTACTTGTCAATTTGTAAGAGCTACTAATGTTTTATAGATTTTTTTTTTGAGACAGGGTCTCGCTCGGTTGTTGGAGTGCAGTGGCACAATGTCAGCTTACTACAACCTCTGCCTCCTTGGTTCAAGCAATTCTTCCACCTCAGCCTCCCAAGTAGCTGTGATTACAGGCATGCACCACCGTGCCCAGCTAGTTTTTATATTTTTAGTAGAGATGAGGTTTCACCATGTTGGCCTGGCTGGTCTTGAACTCTTGGCCTCATGTGATCCACCTGCCTTGGGCTCCCAAATTGCTGGGATTATAGGCATGAGCCATCGTGCTCGGCCAGTGTTTTATAGATTATAGAACTAATAAATGAATCCAGCAAGTTTTCAGAATACAGGACCAATATATAAAAATCAATTGTATTTCTACTCACTTGCAACTCTGAAAGTGACAAAACACTGTTGAAAGAAACTAAAGAAGATCTAAAACATCCCAGATTTGTTGTGGACTGAATATTCATGTTCTTTCAAATTCATATGTTGAATCCATCACTCCCATTGTGGTTGTATATGGAGACGAGTTCTCCAAGGAAGAAATTAAGGTTACGTAAGGTCATAAGGGCTTCCACAGGATTTGCATCTTCATAAGAAGAGACACCAGGGAGCATTTGCCTCTGTCTCGCTCTCTCTTTCTCTCTCTCTCTCTCTCTCTCTCTTCCTCCCTCCAACTCTTTCTCTCTCCACACACAAAGGAAAGGCCATGTGAGCAAAGAGTGGGAAAGCGGCCATCTGCAACCAAAGGAGAGAGCCCTCACCAGAAACAAAAGTTGCTTGCACCCGATCTTGGACTTCTGAATTGTGAGAAAATAAATGCCTGTTGTTGGGCCACCAAATCCGTGGTATTTTGTTATGGCAGCCCAAAAGCAGACTGATGTTCATGTATCAGGAGACTTAACATTTTTCAGATGGCAATACCCCCAAAATTGATCTACAGAGTCTATGCAATCTCTATCAGGAAAGCAGCTGGCTTCTTTGTAGAAATTCACAGGCTGATTTTAAAGTTCATGTGGAATCTCAAGGGACCCGGAATAGCTAAAACAAGGTTAAAAAGAAGAACAATGTTGGAGGGCTCACACTTGCCAATTTGAAAACTTACTACAAAGCTGCAGTCATCAGGGCAGTTTAGCACTGTTGTTAGAATAAATGTATAAACCAGTGGAATAGAATTGAGAGCCAGAAATAAACCCTCATGTAGATGACCAACTGATTTTTGACAGGGTGCCAGATCATTCAATGGAGGAAGAGCAGTACTTCAACAAATGATGCTGGGAAACTAGACATCCACATGCACAGGAATGAGCTGGACCCCTACTTCACACCACATACACTAATTAATTTAAAATGGGTCAAAAGGCCTACATTTAAGAGTCAAATCTATAAAACTATTAAAAGAAAACATGACCTTGGATTCGGTGTGGATTCATAGATAGGACACCAAAAGCACCAGCAACAAAAGAGAAATACAAATACATTGGATGCCATCAAAAGTTAAATATTTTTGCACCAAAGGACGCTATCAACAAAGTGAAAGAACAGTCTACATAATAAAGGAAGAAAAGATTTACAAATCAGATATCTGATAAGCATCTAGTATCTAGAGTATATAAAGAACTTTTTCTTCAACTTTTATTTTAGAATCAGGCAGTACATGTGCAGGTTTTTCACATGGGTATATTGTGTGATGCTGAGGTTTGGAGTATGAATGAATCCATCACCAAAATAGTGACTGTGGTACCCAGTAGTTTTTCAGTCCTTGCCCCCTTGCTCTCTCCTCTTGTTCCCCAGTATTCAGCCTTTGCCCCCTCCCTCCCTTCCTCCCTCCTCTTGTTCCCCAGTGTCTATGGTTTTCATCTTTATGTCCATGTGGACTCAAAGTTTAGCTCTCACTTATAAGTGAGAATATGTGGTATTTGGTTTTCTGCTTCTGCATTAGTTCCCTTAGGATAACGGCCTCCAGCTTCATCCATACTGCTGCAAAAGATATGACTTCGTTCTTTTTTGCAGCTGTGTAGTATTCCATGGTGTATATGTACCACATTTTCTTTATCCAATCCACCATTGATGGGCACCTGGGTTGATTCCACATCTTTGCTTTTGTGAATAGCACTGCAATTAACATATGGATGCATGTGTCTTTTTGGTAGATTGATTTATTTTCCTTTGGGTATATACCCAATCATGAGATTGCTGGGTCAAATAGTAGTTCAATTCTTAGCTCTTTGAGAAATCTCCAAACTGCTCTCCGTGGTGGCTGAATTCATTTACATTCCCACCGACAGTGTACAAGTGTTCCCTTCTCTCTCAAGCTTTGCCAGCATCTGATTTTAGGTTTTTTTGTTTTGTTTTGTTTTTTACTTTTTATCAAAAGCCATTCTGACTGATATGAGATGGTATCTCGTGGTGGTTTCGATTTACATTCCCCGAATAGTTAGTGATGTGGAGCATTTTTTCATATAGTTGTTGGCCAGTGTTGAAGGAGGGGCCTGCAGGGAGGTGTCTGGGTCATGGGGGTGGATCCCTCATGAGTGACTTAGTGCCACCCCCTTGGCGATGAGTGTGTTCACTCAGATCTGGTTGTTCACAAGTGTGTGGCTCCTCCTCACCCCTTGCTCCCACTCTCACCATGTGGTGTGCCTGTTCCTGCTTCGCCTTCCACCGTGAGGAAAACTCCCTGAGGGCCTCCCCAGAAGCTGAGCAGAGGTGGGTGCCATGCTTGTGCAGCCTGCAGAACCATGAGCCATTCTAACCTCTTTCCTTTATAAATTACCCAGCCTCAAGTATTTCTTTAGAGCAATGCAAAGAATGGTCTAACACACCCGGAAAGCTGAGACTGGCATGAGTATAAAGATCGTGGATAATTTTGAAATCTAAAAATGTAAAATTAATATTATTGAGGGAGTCAACACAGGAAAGATGAGAGCACGTGGGCAGAGGCTGTTGCCCATTGGTCACATGTGGTCAGCAGAGAGCAGGTGACCAGCACCCTGGAGCTTTGCAGGAAGAACCAGACAGCCTGGAGCTGAGGTTTTAATTGTAGGGGCCAAAACAAATGGGGAAAAAGACAAATTTAGAAAACAAAGAAAGTAGATGCTCAACTGAGCCAGAAGGAAGTCACTAGCAAAGAGGAAAAAAATAGAGCTCTGGAAAAATAGTGTAAACAGTCACAAGAAAGGGACCCTGTGTCATGCCTGACATCTGGACAGGTATATAAAGAGCCCAGGCTCAGGGAGCTCCACACCTGCACCTCCCTCTCACCTGCTCCTCTACCTGCTCCACCCTCAATCCACCAGAACCATGGGCTGCTGTGGCTGCTCCAGAGGCTGTGGCTCCGGCTGTGGGGGCTGTGGCTCCAGCTGTGGGGGTTGTGGCTCTGGCTGTGGGGGCTGTGGCTCCGGCCGTGGGGGCTGTGGCTCTGGCTGTGGGGGCTGCAGCTCCAGCTGTGGGGGATGTGGCTCCAGATGTTATGTGCCTGTCTGCTGCTGCAAGCCCGTGTGCTCCTGGGTGCCAGCCTGTTCCTGCACCAGCTGTGGCTCCTGTGGGGGCTCCAAGGGGGGCTGTGGCTCCTGTGGGGGCTCCAAGGGGGGCTGTGGCTCCTGTGGGGGTTCCAAGGGGGGCTGTGGTTCTTGTGGCTGCTCCCAGTCCAGCTGTTGTAAGCCCTGTTGCTGCTCCTCAGGCTGTGGATCATCCTGCTGCCAGTCCAGCTGCTGCAAGCCCTGCTGCTGCCAGTCCAGCTGCTGTGTCCCCGTGTGCTGCCAGTCCAGCTGCTGCAAGCCCTGTTGCTGCCAGTCCAACTGTTGTGTCCCTGTGTGCTGCCAGTGTAAGATCTGAGGCTCTGGACCCAGACCTTCAGGTTTCTCCTGTTTGGTGAAAGCATTTCTTATGGTTCCCTGAGTCAGTTCGTCCCACACATCCTCCCTGAGGCACCTGCACCTGCTCTAGCTCACCATCCATGCACACACCTCCTTCCATGGCTCAGCTCTCCTCTGGGCCCTGCCTTCAGCCTCCTCACTCCAGAAACGTGTGTTTCCCTGATGCGGGAGGTGTCCTCGCCTGGACGCAGGCACCCAGCCGACTGCCACGATGTTCCCTGCACTTGGGTGTGGACCATCTTCTTCTTCTCCCTGGGCTGACTGAGATGCAAGGTCTGACCCCACAAGGCCAGGCCGACGTTTCTGAGTGATCACTAAGAACCAGCTTCTCAACCACCATCAGGACCCTGGATCCTCCTGGGCCGCTGCCTGTTCTCCTGTGGCCCAAGTGTGACCAGGAAGGTCTCTTTCCTTCCTGTTGTCTCCATCTGTTTAAAAAAAAATAACAAAATAATGAATGAATTTCCTTGCAATAAAGCCTCTCATGTCTGTAAATCAACTGTATACTTGGTGCAATTCTGTCCAACCCCTTTCCTGTGCGGTGACCGATTCTGTGTTCTGATCTGTCAGCTAAGCTGGGAAACGCCTGCCAGCAGGCCTGGTACATTCACAAAAAAGCCTGCCATTCCCTTCTGTCCTCCTCTCGGCCTCAAATATCTTCACAGTCTCTGCTTGCAGGAGAAGAGGGCTCAGCCCGGGGAGGATTCGGCATTCAATGCCCGCCCTAGAGGCGCAGAGGGGCAGGCGGGCCCTGAGTCCTGACGACCAGCCAAGCAGGGCCTTGCACAAGACCCATGGCTTCCAGCTTCCCGCTCTCCTCTGGGGCCTCGGAAGGACCCCAGGCAGGGCAAGGTCGGAGGAGGGAGGAGTGAAGCACCGCTGAGCTCCAGCGCGGTCTGATTCAAACACTCAATTAGCCTTTTACAATCATGAGGTCAACGGCTTTCCATAACTAAAGGTAACCAGGAAGTTACAGAATGGCCCAAGGTGTCCTCGGAGCTCAGTCTCCCGGCAGGAAAGGGGAGTTCCTGGGAAATGACACATTTGGGGACCCTGAGCCAAGTCCATCTGTTTCATGGTGACGTGCCACCACGCTGAGCCTGTTCTCTGACCAGTGTCACAGGCAAGGCTTTAGAAATCACGCACTGGGGAGGAGGGGACGAGAGTGATCTGAGGATGATCTCCAGACAAGCGAACCTGGAGGGAAAAGGTGGAGGGAAGAGAGCACACAGGGAGCGCTGGTGAGAAATGAGCTCCCACAGAACACCCACAGATCTAAGCGACTGCTGATAATGCCAGGGAAGAGCAGAGTGGGAATTTCCAGGACAAATTTCTGAGAGAAAAGAGATGCAATGTAAGGAAAAATGAAATAATCTAGAAATAAAGGCTTAGATTAATTCAGCCACTTTTAGGAGAGGGAATAAAAGTGTGTCAAAGGTGCATCTTGCTAGGGGACATGGCTATCGTTAGTTTCACGACGTTAAAAGGAAATGCTGCTTAAGACAGTTTACTCAAAAATCCAAACTGGGAAACTCCAGAAGGTGGCAGCAGACATGAACGCAGAGTTCATTACATTTGGGCCCTGTACATTCCCACAGCCCACAGGACACCGAGCAACTCGGTAACAAAACCAAAAATGCATGCTGGAGACTTATAACAAAACCAGGTAAGCCAGGCATGGTAGCGCAAACCTGCAGCCCCAGCTACTTGGGAGACTGAGGCAGGAGGATGGCTTGAGCCTAGGAGTCTGAGGCTGCAGTGAGCTGTGATCGCACCACTGAACTCCAGCCTGGGCAATATAAAGTGAGATGGTGTCTTAAGAAAAAGCAGGTGAACCTAAAAGTACAAGAAGGTGGGGATAAATTTCCAAGAGCCACAGTCCCCCAGGGTTTCAGTGTCTGTGCAGGAGAAAGCGAAGAAACATCTAACAGAGACGAAAACAGGGGAACCTCAAAAGAGCCAACAGGTGTGTGCTGGAAAAGCGCAGCATGAATTTTGGATTTGGCTCCTGAAATGGGGAAGGTTTTCCTCCCTCTAGTGGTGAGTGGGTGCAAGGGCCCTCGGTAAGTCCCTAGAGGCAATGGAAGAAAGCTAGGAAGCCTGCCGTGAAACAGATCACAGTGGTAGCCTACTGTTTCCAAAGGAGCTAATGAACAATGAAAGGAAATGATACCAGACATAAATAAGGCCGGGCGCGGTGGCTCACACCTGTAATCCCAGCACTTTGGGAGGTGAGGCAGGAGGATCACTTGAGGCCAGGAGTTCAAAACCAGCCTGGGCAACATAGTGAGACCCCCACCTCTACAAAACATTTTAAAAACTAAGTGGGTATGGTGGTGTGTGTCTTTAATCCCAGCTGCTAGGGAAGTTGAGGCGGGAGGATTGCTTGAGCCTAGGAGGTTGAGGCTGCAGTGAGCTATGATCCTGCCACTGCACTCCAGCCTGGGCAACAGAGTGAAACCCCATCTCAAAAAAAGAGACATAAATGAACAACAAAAGTCATAAATAGAAGAATTGCTAAATGAGGGGACATCACTTAAGAGAAAATTAGAGTTAAAAGAAATCACTCTAGAAATAAAGTCTAAAGTGGGACAAACGTATGAGTAAAAAAGTACAATAAATTTTAAAAACCAAAAAGAAATGAAGAACTAAAAAGGA
This sequence comes from Homo sapiens, assembly GCF_000001405.40. NCBI lineage: Eukaryota > Metazoa > Chordata > Mammalia > Primates > Hominidae > Homo > Homo sapiens. Next base: position 1,595,017 of record NC_000011.10, on the reverse strand, counting down.
TTCAAGAGACAATGACAAAAATTGAAAAGAAGCAAAGAAGATCCAAGACTCCTAACCAAAGTCATGTATGACAGTCAAACAATTACATAAAAAACTAGAATAAAAAAGCACTAATCAAAAAGAACAGAAGAGAAAAAGAAATATAGATCAGGTGATGCAATAGAAAATTCAGACTAAGAACATAGGTTTTAAACCCAAATATTTCAGTAATTATTTCACAAGTAAATGGACAAAATGCTCTAGTTTACATATAAAGATTGCTAGACAAGTTTTCTTAAAAAATGTATAACTAGATGTAAAGTCAAAAGTTGCATCTAAAACATAAGGATTCAAAAATGTAAAAAAAAAAAAAGAAGGGGGGGTAGAAAAAGACATAACATGCAAAGCAAGCTATACTAATAGTAGGCAAAATAAAAACAAAGGCCTGGCTGGGTGCAGTGGCTCACACCTGTAATCCCAGCACTTTGGGAGTCTGAGGCGCACAGATCACCTGAGGTCGGAAGTTTGAGACCAGCCTGACCAACGTGGTGAAACCCAATCTCTACTAAAACTAACAAAAAAAATAGCTGGGCATGGTGGGGCACGCCTGTAATCCCAGCTACTCAGGAGGCTGAGGGAGAAGAATCGCTTGAACCCAGGAGGCAGAGGTTGCAGTGAGCCAAGATCACGCCACTGCACTCCAGCCTGGGCAACCAGAGTGAGACTCCATCTCAAAAAATATATATATACATATATATATATATGCATGCATCATATATGTGCTGAGAATTTTATAGATCACAATCCTCAGCTAATGAATCCTATATAGACATTGTTTTTATTTAACTTTTTTCTCCTTCATTATCCCAAGTCCCATCATCCTCTCCACCCATAGGCATCCATCCTTGCAGGTATCTTTCCAATTCATCTTCCATAAGTTATTTACAAACATTTGCATATAATCATGACAAATATGTAGCATTTTTCAATGTGTATGTATTTGGTTTTGGTTTTGTTTTTGAGACAGGTCTTGCTCTGTCACCCAAGCTGGAGATAGAGTGCAACGGTGCAATCTCAGCTCACTGCAACCTCCACATCCCGGGCTCAAACGATCCTCCTGCCTCAGCCTCCCAAGTAGCTGGGACTACAGTCGCACCTCCACACCTGGCTAATTTTTGTATTTTTTGTAGAGATAGGGTTTCACCACGTTGCCCAGGCTGGTCTCGAACTCCTGGACTCAAGTAATCCACCTGCCTGGCCCTCCCAAAGTGCTGGGATTACAGACGTGAGCCACTGTGTCCAGCCTTGTGTATGTTATTTAAATTCATGATGGTTATAAATTCTGTTCTGTTTCTTGCGTTTTAAGCAAATCTGGTGCTTTTGGCATGTATTGCTACATGAAAATACAATGCATTATTTCTGGCCACTGAAGTGTGTTCCACTAGATTCCTGCCCCCCATTTCCCACATCCATCACCCTTTTTTGAGCTCTTTGCTGCCATATAATCCACCATGATGAATATCCTCATTGCTCAGCATAACACCCAGGAGTGGTGAACCTAGTGAATGAGTTTTCAATGATCAATGAGTGGGATGCTGAAATGGGGAGCCTGGGAGAACAGATTTCTTTTCCTTTTTTTTTTGAGATACAGTCTCATTCTGTCGCCCAGGTTGGAGTGCAGTGGCACGATCTCAGCTCACTGCAAGCTCTGCCTCCTGAGTTCACGCCATTCTCCTGCCTCAGCCTCCTGAGTAGCTGGGACTACAGGCACCCGCCACCACGCCCGGATAATTTTTTGTATTTTTAGTAGAGATGGGTTTTCACTGTGTTAACCAGGATGGTCTCCATCTCCTGACCTTGTGATCTGCCCACCTTGGCCTCCCAAAGTGCTGGAATTACAGGCGTGAGCCACTACACCCGGCCCCAGATTTCTTGAGAAGTATCTGTTTTGGAAGGAAGGCGACTGAGGTGTTGATCAGTGCCATATCTACATCTTCTTCATCAATATGGAATGATGCTTTCATGATCTAAAAAGGCAATAGCCATAGAATGAATGTGCTTCCCAGAATCAAAAGGCCATACCAAAAAAAAAAAATGCAGTTTATAACAACCAAAAATATTGCTCCTCCTCAAGGCTGTGTACAGAGCTAGTATATTTGTGTGATGGATGGATCCCATTACACTGTATGTGCTTGAAAGGCAGAAGTCACGTAACGACTCCCGCTGTATGCTGCAGGTAAGCACATAGCTGCTCACGCCTCTCACTAAATACCACGCGCTAAATGTAACATATCAGTAAGACTGCAGGTGTTTCCATTCTCTTCAAAAACCAGGGGCGTTTTGTTTTCATTGCTTAACTCTGATTAAAAATAAGGTTGAAGGTCTTTTCGCGTCCTCACTAGCCATCTGTGGGTGGTCTATTCCTATGCTTTGCCCACTTCTCCACTAGGTCTCCTGCCCTCTTCTGTTGATTTTCAGGGTTCCTGTCTAGACATTAGCTTCTAGGGGTTATAAATATGGCAAATGGCAAATATCTTCTCCCAGTTGATCAATCTTCTTTTTTTTTGAGACGGAGTTTCACCTTGCTGCCCAGGCGGGAGTGCAATGGTGCAATCTCGGCTCACTGCAACCTCCACCTCCCAGGTTTAAGCAATTCTCCTGCCTCAGCATCCCGAGTAGCTGGGATTACAGGCATGCACTACCACACCTGGCTAATTTTGTATTTTTAGTATAGATGGGGTTTTACCACGTTGGTCAGGCTGGTCTCGAACGCCTGACATCAGGTGATCTGCCCACCTCGGCCTCCCAAAGTGCTGGGATTACAGGGGTGACCCACCACACTTGGCCCCAATCATCTTTTAATGGTTTTTTTGTGGGGTGATATCCAGACATATATCAGTAATTTTGATGTGGTTAAATACAGCATTTTCCTAATTACTGTTTATGTTCTGGGGATCATATTTAAGAATTCATTTCCTGACCCCAAGATAATAAACACAATCTCCTATATTATCTTCCACTCTTTTTATATTTTCCTTTCACTTTTACATATCCTTTTAGGTCTTCAATCCATGTGGATTATAGAGGGTGTGAGGTAGGCATCTAATTTTAATTCTCTGCATAGAGTGAGCCATCTTCCCCATTCAATTTGTTAAAGATTAAAGCTCCTCTGGCTGGGCACGGTGGCTCACGCCTGTAATCCCAGCACTTTGGGAGGCTGAGGCAGGTGGACCACCTGAGGTCAGGAGTTCGAGACCAGCTTGACCAACACGGAGACACCCCGTCTCTACTAAAATACAAAATTAGCCAGTGTGGTGGTGCATGCCTGTAATCCCAGCTACTCGGGAGGCTAAAGCAGGAGAATTGCTTGTACCCGGGAGGTGGAGGTTGTGGTGAGCCAAGATCGTGCCATTGCACTCCAGCCTGGGCAATAAGAGTGAAACTCTATCTCAAAAAAAAAAAAAAAAAAAATTAAAGCTCTGCAATAGATGGGTCTTTTCTGGGTTCCTGTTCTGTACTTCTAACTATTTATCCATTCATGTGCTAGTAGCAAACTGTTTTAACAACGAAGACTTTATTATGCCTTAATATCAGGCAGAGACTACCCCTTCTGAATATTATTCAGGAGTGTCTCAGTTATTCACAAGTTTGCACATAAATTTTAGATCTATGGAATAATTTTCAGAATTAAATCCTTCTGGAATTTTAATTGAATAAAATCCATTGAATGTATGAATATAAGAAACTGAACTTTTTATAATGTTAAGACTTTCCACCCATGAACATGATATATTTCTCCACTTATGACGGTCTTCTTTTATTTATTTATTTTTTTGAGATGGAGTCTCACTCTGTTGCCCAAGTTGGAGTGTAGTGGCAAGATCTCAGCTCACTGCAACCTCCGCTCCTGGGTTCAAGCCATTCTCCTGCCTCAGCCTCCCAAGTAGCTGGGATTACAGGCATGCACCACCACACCCAGCTAATTTTTGTATTTTTAGTAGAGACAGAGTTTCATCATGTTGGCCAGGCTGGTCTTGAACTCCTGGCCTCAGGTGATCCACCCACCTTAGCCACCCAAAGTGCAGGGATTACAGGTGTGAGCCACCACGCCTGGCCAGATTGTGGACTTTTAAATAGACAAACTGTATATGCACATTTATCTCAATAAAACGGTTTTCTTTTTTTAAAAAAGACACATGGGGGCCAGGCGCAGTGGTTCACGCCTGTAATCCCAGCACTTTGGGCAGCCAAGGCAGGCGGATCATGAGGTCAGGAGTTTGAGACCAGCCTGGCCAGCATGGTGAAACCCCTTCTCTACTAAAAATACAAAAAATAAAATAAAATAAAATAGCTGGGCATGGTGACAGGCGCCTGTAATCCCAGCTACTTGGGAGGTTGAGGTAGAAGAATCACTTGACTCCGGGAGTTGGAGGTTGCAGTGAACCAAGATCTTGCCACTGCACTCCAGCCTAGGCAACAGAACAGGGCTCTGTCTTAAAAAAAAAAAAAAAAAAAAAGACATATGGGGACATGTAGTAGATTTGACATTTGTCCAACTAGAGATGAGAGAGACTCGGGAGAGGTGAGACAGGGAGAGTCTCCCAAGGTTGAAACTGGAACCCTCGGTCCAGGAAGGACATGGCATGAAGCAGGTGGGAGAACCAAATGTGCAAGCCAGCTTCCACAGCAGACATGGAAGGCCAGGGACTCCAGCCTGCACAGCAGACACAGAAGGCCAGGCAGCTCCAGCTTCCACAGTAGACACGGAAGACCAGGACTCCAGCTTTCACAGCGGACACAGAAGGCCAGAGACTCCAGCTTCCACAGCAGACTCAGAAGGCTGGGGACTCCAGCGGAGGGGCAGAGAAAGTGACAGCAGCAACAGACGAAACAGCCGCCAGTGACACCTTTCAAGCACTGAGGAATTTTGTGCCAACCAAAGCATTATTCAAAAGTGAGGGCAGGCCAGGCATAGTGGCTCACGTCTGTAATCCCAGCACTTTGGGAGGCCAAGGTGGGAGGGTTGCTTGAGCCAAGGAACTCTAGACCAGCTTGGGCAACTTAGAGAGACCCCATCTCTACACAGAAATTAAAATTAGCTGAGTGTGATGGTGTGCCTTTGTCATCCCAGCTGCTGGGGAGGCTGAGGAGAAAGGATGGCTTGAGCCCAGGAGCAGGAAACAAGCCACCTCCATGTGAAAATGCAGGCTGTCTACTGATGAATGCTCGGGAGGAGCAGGAAACAAGCCACCTCCATGTGAAAATGCAGGCTGTCTACTGATGAATGCTCGGGAGGAGCAGGAAACAAGCCACCTCCATGTGAAAATGCAGGCTGTCTACTGATGAATGCTCGGGAGGAGCAGGAAACAAGCCACCTCCATGTGAAAATGCAGGCTGTCTACTGATGAATGCTCGGGAGGAGCAGGAAACAAGCCACCTCCATGTGAAAATGCAGGCTGTCTACTGATGAATGCTCAGGAGGAGCAGGAAACAAGCCACCTCCATGTAAAAATGCAGACTGTCTACTGATGAATGCTTGTGAGGGAACTTCCGGAGGATGTTTTCAGGAAGAAGGAAGCTGAGCCCGGAAGGAAGAAGTATGGTGTAAGCAAGAACCACGCCTAGAGTTGTTGGTGGATGTGTGGCAAGTTTAAGCAAATACTGACTATAAATAAACAATGATGAGCAATGTGAGAGGAGCTAAGACGCTGGAGAAACTCCCACAGCTGACACCGGAGGGGCTGGGCAGGGGAAGAAGCTGTCCCCAGCTCCCTGCACAACTCTCAGCAGGGGAGGAATAGAGGGCCATCACGTGTAGACAACATTTGTTTAAAAATACACATGAAATGCATAAGGTTGCTGCTAAAAACAGGAATAGTGTATATAACTTCTAAGTCAGTCAAAGCAAAACAAAATAAAAACAAAAACAGAACCTTAAAAACTCCATCTAAAAGAAGAGGGGAAGGAAGCACTACCACAGGATGGTGAAATGCAAAGGGTGGTGGGAAGCAGCCCACGTATGTCAGAAATCACAGCAAACCCCACAGGCTTAGCTCATCGGGTAAAGAACAGAGACCCCAAAATATGGGAGCTTTTAAAGCAGCCCCACAGTAGTTACCTCACCCAGAAGCTTGCAGAAAGGCTGAAAGAAGCTGAATGAAAATGACTGCAGAAAAGGGAGGGAGGGAGGGAGGGAAGGAAGGAGGGACAGATAGAAAGCCCAGATGGCAGTGACTCTCTATCGCACGCCTCCTGGCCTGACAGTCCACGTCCAGCAGACAGTCACGCACCCCAGCACCCGCATGTTTAGAAAGTGCAAAAAGAACAATGGAGAAAATAAAGATATGAGCAGAACTAAATAAAAATGTTTAACACATACAACAAACAGAATCAACAAAATCAAAAGCTGGTCTTTCAAAAGACAAAGAAAATCAACAATATTTAGCAAAACCAATGAGGAAAAAAAGGGTCGGGCAGGAGAAAGAGCATGTATAACCTGAAGCAGGGATGAAAAACGGCAAATAGGCTGGGCACGGTGGCTCACGCCTGTAATCCCAGCACCGTGGGAGGCCAAGGCAGGTGGATCACCTGAAGCCAGGAGTTCGAGACCAGGCTGGCCAACATGGCAAAACCCTATCTCTACTAAAAATACAAAAATTAGCCAGGCATGATAGCAGGTGCCTATAATCCCAGCTACTCGGGAGGCTAAGGCAGGAGAATTACTTGAACCCGGGAGGCAGAGGTTGTGGTGAGCCGAGATCACACCACTGTACTCCAGCCTGGGTGACAGAGTGAGACCCTGCCATAAAAAAAAAAGAAAGAAAAGAAAGCAAATAATGACAAATTTAGCAGCTATTAAAAATAACAGGCTACTAAGCCAGGCGTGGTGGCACACGGTAGGGATTTGTAGTAGTCAAATGTGGTAGTCTGTAGTAGTCCCAGCTACTTCAGAGGCTGAGGACCACTTGAGGCCAGGCGTGAGTTCGAGACTGCAGTGAGCTATGATGGTGCCTGTGAACGGCCACTGCACCCCAGCCTGGACAACATAGCAAGATCCCATCTTCAAAAACAGAGGCAACTATGAAAAGTACATCCCAATAAATTTGAAAAACTTAGAATAAATGACATCTATGTTAAGAAGAAACACAGGAGGATGAGGCAGGAGAATTGCTTGAACTCGGAGGCAGAGGTTGCAGTGAGCCGAGATCACACCACTGCACTCCAGCCTGCGCAACAGAGCGAGACTCTGTCTCAAAAAAAAAAAAAAAAAAAAGAAGAAGAAGAAGAAGAAGAAACAAAAGGCTGGGCGCTGTGGCTCTCGCCTGTAATCCCAGCACTTTGGGAGGCTGAGGCAGGTGGATCATGAGGTCAGGAGACCAGCCTGGCCAACACGGTGAAACCCTGTCTCTACTAAAAATACAAAAATTAGCTGGGTGTGGTGGCACGTGCCTGTAATCCCAGGGGAGACTGAAGCAGGAGAATTGCTCAAACCAGGGAGTCAGAGGCTGCAGTGAGCCGAGACCATGCCACTGCACTCCAGCCTGGCAACAGAGCAAGACTCCATCTCAAAATAAAAGAATCCAGAAAATTCAAAGAACTTCAGACACCAATAAAAATAATAATGATCTTGGCCAGGTGTGGTGGCTCACACCTGTAATCCCAGCACTCTGGGAGGCCGAGGTGGGTGGATCACTTGAGGTCAGGAGTTCAAGACCAGCCTGACCAACATGGTGAAACCTTGACTCTACTAAAAATACAAAAATTAGCCAGGTGTGGTAGCACATGCCCGTAATCCCAGATACTCGGGAGGCTGAGGCAGGAGAATTGCTCGAGCATGGAAAGCGGAGGTTGCAGTGAGCCGAAATCGCACCATTGCGCTACAGCCTGGGAGACAGAGCAAGACTCTCCATCTCAAAAATTAATAATAATAACTATCTCAATTTTGTAAAGTGGGCCAAGGACGTGAAATTAACGAGACTCTAATGACAGGTGACCATATGGAAAGAGGCACAGCATGGCTAGTAACCAGGAAGAGGGAATATTAAACCACAGTGTGTAACACTGTGTTACACACCCACATGAAGGGTGTAAGTTGACAGTTGCAAGTTTTGGTGGGGGTGCCAGGAAACAGGAGCTCTCTGGCAATGCTGGTTGGACAGCAGCTGGCTGGGGGGATCCCTTGGGAAGACAGCTTGGTAACAAGAACCTCCTGACTTTCAGGCACCCACACCTGCAGGAGGGGTTTTGGGCAAGAAAGTTGCAGCTTGCTTGAAATAGCAACAAAAAGGAAACAAAAGGTCCATCAACAAGTAAATGGATAAGTCAATGTATATTTAGAAATCAGAGAAAACAAATAAATTAAAACCATATGTATCCCTAGAGAAAATCTCTTTAGCCTAACACCTATTTTTTTCAAAAGCAATTTACAGAAAGAGAAATACAGTGTAATACCCATTACATAAAGTTTTCAGCATGTAAAATTTTTTTTTCTTTTTTCTTTTCTTTTTTTTTTTTTTTTTTTGAGATAGAGTCTCACTCTGTTGCCCAGGCTGGAGTGCAATGGCGTGATTTCAGCTCACTGCAACCACTGCCTCCCAGGTTCAAGCGATTCTCCTGCCTCAGCCTCCCGAATAGCTGGGATTACAGGCACATGCCACCATACCTGGTTAATTTTTGTATTTTTAGTAAAGACGAGGTTTCACCATGTTAGTGAGGCTGGTCTCAAACTCCTGGACTCAAATGATCCGCCCACCTCAGCCTCCCAAAGTGCTGAAATTACAGGTGTGAGCCACCGCGCCTGGCCACAAAACATTTTTAAAGGAACATACATATTAAGTAGGAGTGTGAGGACCTTCATGAGAGTGGTGAATTCCAAATTCAAGAAATTATTAGGGTGGGACAGAAACAATATGGAGAGATGGAGGAACAGAGACTTCATTTATTTATGCCATTTTTTCCCAAGTTGAGTAGGGTTTTTTTTTACATTTTTTAAATATATTACTCTTTATACCATCGTTCAACTAAAATAGATCACTTTTTTTTTTTTTTTGAGACAGAGTCCCGCTCTGTTGCCCACACTAGAGTGCAGTGGTGTGATCTCTGCTCACTGCAACCTTCACCTCTGGGTTCAAGCCATTCTCCTGCCTCAGCCTCCCAAGTAGCTGGAGTTACAAGCATGCACCACCATGCCTGGCTAATTTTTGTATTTTTAGTAGAGATGGGGTTTTGCCATGTTGGGCAGGCTGGTCTCCAACTCCTGACCTCAAATGATCCACCTGCCTCGGCCTCCCAAAGTGCTGGGATTACAGATGTGAGCCACCACACCCAGTTAATTTTTGTGTTTTTAGTAGACACGAGATTTCACCATTTTGGCCAGGCTGGTCTCCAACCCCTCACCTCAAGTGATCCACCTGCCTAGGCCTCCCAAAGTGCTGAGATTACAGGTGTGAGCCACCATGCCCAGCCTAAAATAGATGCTTTTGTAAATCCAGTGTGACTCTGGAGTCAACAGGGAGAGGCTAGACCCTTGGGGGCCTCCATTAAGTCTGGACACAGATTCAGCAAGAGAGCAGCAGCCCACTGAGCAGCCCATACACCAAGGGGCGGATTTCTAGAGGAAACAAGAAAAAGGGGCCCTAAAAATGGCACAAACAGGAACCAGGAAATGTGTGCCCAGCCTCACACATGACCCTGGGCAGGGATATAAAGGGTCCAGGCTCAGGGAGCTCCACACCTGCACCTCCCTCTCACCTGCTCCTCTACCTGCTCCACCCTCAATCCACCAGAACCATGGGCTGTTGCGGCTGCTCCGGAGGCTGTGGCTCCAGCTGTGGGGGCTGTGGCTCCGGCTGTGGGGGCTGTGGCTCCGGCTGTGGGGGCTGTGGCTCTGGCTGTGGAGGTTCTGGCTCCAGCTGCTGTGTGCCCGTCTGCTGCTGCAAGCCCGTGTGCTGCCGTGTGCCAACCTGTTCCTGCTCCAGCTGTGGCAAAGGGGGCTGTGGCTCTTCTGGGGGCTCCAAGGGGGGCTGTGGCTCCTGTGGAGGCTGCAAGGGGGGCTGTGGCTCTTGTGGGGGATCCAAGGGGGGTTGTGGCTCCTGTGGGGGCTCCAAGGGGGGCTGTGGCTCTTGTGGGGGATCCAAGGGTGGCTGTGGTTCCGGCTGTGGGGGATGTGGCTCCAGCTGCTGTGTGCCTGTCTGCTGCTGCAAGCCCATGTGCTGCTGTGTGCCAGCTTGTTCCTGCTCCAGCTGTGGCAAAGGGGGCTGTGGCTCCTGTGGGTGCTCCAAGGGGGCCTGTGGTTCTTGTGGGGGCTCCAAGGGGGGCTGTGGCTCCTGTGGAGGCTGCAAGGGGGGCTGCGGTTCTTGTGGGGGATCCAAGGGGGGTTGTGGCTCCGGCTGTGGGGGCTGTGGCTCCGGCTGCGGTGTGCCCGTGTGTTGCTGTTCCTGTTCCAGTTGTGGCTCTTGCGCGGGGTCTAAGGGAGGCTGCGGGTCATCCTGCTCCCAGTGCAGTTGCTGTAAGCCCTGCTGCTGTTCCTCAGGCTGTGGGTCATCCTGTTGCCAATCCAGCTGCTGCAAGCCCTGCTGCTCCCAGTCCAGTTGCTGTGTCCCCGTGTGCTGCCAGTGCAAGATCTGATTTCTGGCTTTGCAGGACTCTTACCATGGCCAGGCATTCCTGCCCAGCCTTTACCTCCTTTTCCTGGCACCCAGTGAGCCAGACTCTCCTTCCCCACCCACTACCCTATCTCCCACCCTCCTGCCTTGCCAAGCATGAACACTTCTCTTTGACCTTCTACCAAGAAATGCCATGGGCCCATGCATCCAAGAAGAATGACTTTCAAGGCCTCCCTTCCAGGCATCTGGAGACCAGCCCCCCACCGCCCCAGCCACCTGCAGCAAATGCCTATCCGCAAGCCCTGCCTGCTGGCACCACATCCAGCACGGACAGCCCTGCAGGACAGCCCAGGGTGCTTGCTCACTCTGCAGTCACTAGGAGTTCAGATCTCTGTCCTTTAAACATCCAATAAACCGCTCACCCCAGCACCCCATAGCTGTCTTGGTATATTTATGTTTATTTCCCTCTCGAGGCAGGTGGGGGGCATCTGTGGCTACACTGGGTCCCCTGGGAACCACACACACACACACACACACACACACACACACACACACCGGCCCTGAACCAAACCGGAGCAGGCAGGTGGGCGCCCTGGCCAGCAGGGATCCTGGATACATGGTGGCGGTCAGAGGCAGGAGCACCAGCAGCCACCTGGCTCAGCCCCTTGCCGTGCAGCCTCTACCACACCCTCTCAGCATCTGGCTCAGGGCGGGGGTGCCTTGCCTTGATCAGGCAAAAGCAATCACTAGGGGGTCATCATGGCCTGTTACCACGCGGTCTTATTCTCTTTGGGCTGATGTAACAGAACACCATGGACTGGCATGTACAACAGAAGTGTATTTCTCAGGGTTCTGGAAGCTGGCAGTCTGAATTAAAGATGCCGGCGGCCAGGTGCGGTGGCTCATGCCTGTAATCCCAGCACTTTGGGAGGCCGAGGGGGGCGGATCACCAGGTCAGGAGATTGAGACCATCCTGGCTAACACGGTGAAACCCCCCTCTCTACTAAAAATACAAAAATTTAGCCGGGCATGGTGGCAGGCGCCTGTAGTCCCAGCTACTCAGGAGACTGAGGCAGGAGAATGGTGTGAACCCGGGAGGCGGAGGCTGCAGTGAGCCGAGATCGCGCCACTGCACTCCAGCCTGGGCTACAGAGCAAGATTCCGTCTCAAAAAAAACAAAAAACAAACAAAAAAAGCCAGAAGAATGCAAATATGACATTCCAGAGGGGATGTATATGGAAGGTCAGCAATCCCATTGCAGCAACCAGAGAAGGCCACATTAATTACAGAACTCAGATGGTAAAATAAATAAATAAATAAATAAATAAATAAATAAATAAATAACTTCAGGAAATCCTACCGTATGTATCTTACCACAATTTTTTTTTTCTGAGATGGAGTCTCACTCTGTTGCCCAGGCTGGAGTGCAGTAGTGTGATCTCCACTCACTGCAACCTCTGCCTCCTGGGTTCAAGCTATTCTCCTGCCTCAGCCTCCTGAGTTTCTGGGACTACAGGCATGAGCCACCATGCCCAGCTAATTTTGTTTTGTTTGTATTTTTAGTAGAGATGGGGTTTCACCATGTTGGCCAGGCTGGTCTCAAACTCCTGACCTCAAGTGATCTACCTGCCTCACCCTCCCAAAGTGCTGGGATTATAGGCGTCAGCCACTGCATCCGGCCCACAATTTTGAAATACCGGAAAAATGTATCTATAAAAAAGACATTGGAGAACTGTAGAAGCAACAAGAACCAGATGAAAACATTCAGAGAGAGCCCTTCCAAGATGAGCTGAATGTCGGCTTCTCTCCCTTTAAGGAATTAACCAGTGCTGGGTATGAGCTGAGCCTCGGTCCCACTGGGGAAGAGGAATTCTACTGGGAGAAATACCCAGCAGGGCTCTTGGCAACCACAGGGGCTGGAGCAGAAAACTGGGACATTTGCAAATTTCTGGGGAGGCTAAGAAGTGAGGCCTGAGGCCTCCGCAGGTGCGCTGAAGTCTCGCATAGCCTTGTGGAGCTTAGTACACAGAGCTTTTCTAGAGGAAGGGGTCCTGCCCCAGGCACAGGTTAATCTGGCCCTTAAGACATTTTCCAAATTTTGAAGCTGCCTGAGCAGACAACTAAAGAGCTAAGCCTGTACCTCAGGGAAAGAAGTGACTCTCTGACAGCCTGTCAGGGATAAGAAGACACGGACTGGCCAGGCTCTTAACCAAAACTCCAGGAAAGCCACACAGAGGGACGATTGACTGAAGTGGCCCAATCCCTAACTGAGCGGGTAGACGAAATGTTCAGCTCCTCTCCCTGTCTGCACTAGAGAGGGAGGCCACGTGCTCACTGTTGGAAGAGAGCAGCTAGACCCCCACAGTCCTTAGATGGAGACCCCCACGGTCCCGAGATATAGACCTCCACGGTCCTTAGATACAGACCCCCATGGTCCTGAGATATGGAGCCCCACGGTCCTGAGATATAGACCCCCACGGTCCCGAGATACAGACCGCCACAGTCCTTAGATATAGACTCCCACAGTCCCTAGATATAGACCCCCACGGTCCCTAGACACAGATCCCTACGGTCCCTAGATACAGACCCCCACGGTCCTGAGATACAGAACCCCACGGTCCCGACATATGGTCCTTAGATATGGACCCCCACGGTCCCGAGATATAGACCCCCCACGGTCCCGACATATGGACCCCCATGGTCCCTAGATATGGACGCCACGGTCCTTAGATATAGACTCCCACAGTCCCTAGATATAGACTCCCACGGTCCCGAGATACAGACCCCCACGGTCCTGAGATACAGATCCCCACGGTCCTGAGATATGGACCCCCACGGTCCCTAGATATAGACCCCACGGTCCTTAGATATAGACTCCCACAGTCCCTAGATACAGATCCGCACGGTCCCTAGATACAGATCCCCACGGTCCCTAGATACAGACCCCCACGGTCCTGAGATACAGAACCCCACGGTCCTTAGATATAGACCCCCACGGTCCTGACATATAGACCCCCCATGGTCCCAAGATATGGACCCCCACAGTCCTTAGATATGGACCCCCACGGTCCCGAGATATAGACACCCCCACGGTCCCGACATATGGACCCCCCACGGTCCCTAGATATGGACCCCCACGGTCCCTAGATATGGACCCCCACGGTCCTGAGATACAGAACCCCACGGTCCTTAGATATAGACCCCCACGGTCCTGACATATAGACCCCCCATGGTCCCAAGATATGGACCCCCACGGTCCTTAGATATGGACCCCCACGGTCCCGAGATATAGACACCCCCACGGTCCCGACATATGGACCCCCCACGGTCCCTAGATATGGACCCCCACGGTCCTTTGAGGCATACCTCTGACAGAAAGCACGAGATACAGGACACAGCAGGAAACAGTGATCAATAATCATGCGGAAAGCTAACAGAAGAAGCAGATTACAGATAAGCCACATATTGGAGTTAGGAAACAAGGGCTTTAAAATAACTATGATTGGGCCAGGCACAGTGGCTCACGCTTGTAATCCCAGTGCTTTGGGAGGCCGAGGAGGGCGGATCACCTGAGGTCAGGAGTTCGAGACCAGACTGGCCAACATGGTGAAACCCCATCTCTACTAAAAATATAAAAAGTAGCCAAGGGCCAGGCACGGTGGCTCACGCCTGTAATCCCAGCACTTTGCGAGGCCGAGGTGAGTGTATCACAAGGTCAGGAGTTCAAGACCAGACTGGCCGACATGATGAAACCCTGTCTGTACTAAAAATATAAAAAGTAGCCAAGGGCTGGGCACAGTGGCTCACGCCTGTAATCTCAGCACTTTGGGAGGCCGAGGCAGGCAGATCACAGGTCAGGAAATCGAGACCAGCCTGGCCAACATGGTAAAATCCTGTCTCAACTAAAAATACAAAATATTAGCCGGGTGTAGTGGCATGCGCCTGTAGTCCCAGCTACTCAGGAGGGTGAAGCAGGAGAATCGCTTGAACCCGGGATGTGGAGGTTGCAGTGCGCCGAGATCGCACCACTGCACTCCAGCCTGGGCAACAAGAGCAAGACTCTATCTCAAAAAAAAAACAAAAAAAAAAGTAGCTGGGCATGGTGGTGGGCACCTGTAATCCCAGCTACTTCGGAGGCTGAGACAAGAGAATTGCTTGAACCTGGGAGGCAGAGGTTGTAGTGAGCCAAGATTGCACCATTGCACTCCAGCCTGGGCAACAGAGCAAGACTCCGTCTCTAAATAAATAAATAAAACAATATTCAATGTCCTATAAAATTTTTAAACTTTGTGGAAGTAAAATATATGACAACAGCACAGAAGTCAGGAGAGGGATAAACAGAATTAAATAGTTGTAAGGTTCTTGCCTTGTTTATGAAGACACGAGATTATTAACTGATAATATGTTATCATAATCTCTGGATGGGTGCAGAAGCTCACGCCTGTAGTCCCAGCACTTCGGGAAGCCAAGGCAGATGGATTGCTCAAGACCAGGAATTCAAAACCAGCCTGGGCAACATGGCAAAACTCCATCTCTACCAAAAATACACAAATTAGCCGGGTGTGTTGGCAGGTGCCTATAGTCCTAGCTACTCAGGAGGCTGAGGTGGGAGAATCACCTGAGCCTGGGAGGTCAAGTCTGCAGTGAGCCATGATTATGCCACTGCACTCCAGCTTGGATAACAGAGTGAGACCCCATCTCAAAAAAATAAATAAATAAATATAACCATCTCTAAGGTAGCCATTAAAGGATAATGAATACATAACCCGGAAGCTAACAGAAGACAGAAATTAGGCCAGGTACGGTGGCTCATGCCTGTAATCCCAGCTCTTTGGGAGGCCAAGGCAGGCTGATCACTTGAGGTCAGGAGTTTGAGACCAGCCTGGCCAACATGGTGAAACCTCGTCTCTACTAAAAGTACAAAAAATTAGCCAGGTGTGGTGGCCCGTGCCTATAATTCCAGCTACTTGGGAGGCTGAGGCACAAGAATCGCTTGAATCTGGGAGGCAGAGGCTGCAGTGACTCGAGATTGCACCATTGCACTCCAGCCTGGGTGACGGAGTGAGACTCTGTCTCAAAAAAAAAAGGAAAGAAAAAAAAACAGAGAGAAGTTAAATAAGATGCATGTTGTTTAGAAAAAACAAACCCTAAATATCAAGATCCAGGAAGATAGAAAGCAAAAGAATAAAAAAAAAGATATATTAGGCAAACATTAATGTTTTCAAAAACCTAGTATAATGATAGTAAGATCAGACAATGTGGACTTTGAAACAAAACCATTATTAGAAGAGATAACATTTCATGATGATAGGAGAGTTCATGCAACCAAACAGAAAACAATCCTAAACTTCTATGTGCCAAATAACTGAGCTTTAAAACATATAAAGCAAACATTGACAAAACTAAAATAAGAAATAGATAAATCCACAAATACAATTGGGACTATAATTGGGAATGTATAGGAATAATTGGGAATTTTAATGAACCTCTCTCTCACTCCACACAATGTGCCAGCTTCCCCAAACCCTCAGACACTCTGGCCTGCCCAGCAGCTGCCAAGAGGGGCCAGTAACACCACCTGAAGATGCAGGGAACTTAATTCCTCGGGAGAGCAACTCTGACCTATGAGAGCAGAAGACAGGAAGGAGCTTGCAGAGAAACTATTCTCCCTTCCTCCTCCCTGTGGACCATTCTGAGGTGGAGCATCGCTGTATGGTCTCGTGGGAGAGGGTGTGCAGACGTGGCCAGCTGAGCTGCAACTTCCAAAAAGCCACAGCAGCTGAGTAAGAAGCAGCCTTGCCTCAGCTTCACCTCCTCCCTGGCTCGGTGTGTTCCTCCCTTCCAGAAAATGTGTACACTGAGCTTTGCATCTGGCTACTTTCTGGGGAATGGAAGCTAAGACTCCCACCATCACCATGTCCACTTAGCATTATAATGGTGATGCCAGCCCATGCAATATGACAAGAAACAAGCAATGTGAGGTTTGGAAAGAAACGAAAGTGCAGATTCATAGATGATAGGGCCATCTACCTGGGAAATCCAAGTGAACCTACAGGCGGCCTGCTTGGAGGAGTAAGAGAAGTCAGAGAGGGTGATCGACAGCCAGCCCATGACAGGCAACAACACATCAGAAATTGTGGTTTTTATAACCTTTCACAAAGCAACCGAAATCATAAGCTCAGGAGTAATATACGCAATGGGAAGACTGTAAGGCCTCCCTGGGGAAGATTATAAGGCAATATAGAAGGACGTCTTCAAACTAAATATGGAGTCTGTGTGAGAAGACACTCCAGTGTCCTCCTAGTCAACCCATCAAGTAATGCAGCTATAATCAAAATGCATAAAATCCCAAGTGTTGGCAAGGGTTTTATTTTATTTTATTTTGAGACAGAGTTTTGCCCTTGTTGCCCAAGCTAGAGTGCAATGGCACAATCACAGCTCACCGCAACCTCCACCTCCCGGGTTCAAGGGATTCTCCTGCTTCAGCCTCCTAAGCAGCTGGGATTACAGGTGCCCACCACCACACCCGGCTAATTTTTGTATTTTTTAGTAGAGATGGGGTTTCACCATGTTGGCCACGCTGGTCTCAAGCTCCTGACCTCAGGTGATCCGCCCACCTCAACCTCCCAAAGTGCTGGGATTACAGGTGTTAGCCACCATGCCCAGCCCTGGCAAGGGTTTTAAATGGAGTTCTTCTAGCCTGCTGGCAAGTTATTAGAATTCTCCACTCAGGGCAACTTTGCAATATCTGGGGACATGGGAGTTGGGGGCAGGGGGCGCTGTGGCTCACGCCTGTCATCCCAGCACTTTGGGAGACCGAGGCGGGCAGATCACCTGAGGTCAGGAGTTCGAGACCAGCCTGGCCAACATGGTGAAACCCTGTCTCTACTAAAACTACAAAAATTAGCAGGGCATGATGGCAGGCGCCTGTAATCCCAGCTACTCAGGAGGCTGAGGCAGGAGAATCGCTTGAACCCAGGAGGTGGAGGTTGCAGTGAGCTGAGATCGCACCAGTGTACTCCAGCCTGGGCAACAGAGCGAGATGCCATCCAAAAAAAAAAAAAAAAAAACTAGGAAAGAAAATAATCCTGTAATCCCAGCATTTTGGAAGGCTGAAGGCCAAGAGAGGAGGATTGCTTGAGCCCAGGAATTTGCGACCAGCCTCGGTAACATAGTGAGACTTCATCTCTACAAAAAAAATTTTTTTTTTCTGAGATGGAGTTTCATTCCGTTGCCCAGGCTGGAGTACAGTGCCACGATCTTGGCTCACTGCAAGCTCCGCATCCTGGGTTCAAGCGATTCTGGTGTCTCAGCCTCCCGAGTAGCTAGGATTACAGGCACGCACCACCACACCTGGCCAAAAAAAATTTTTTTAATTAGCTGGAGATGCTGGCACATGCCTGTAGTGCCAGCTACTCAGGAGGCTGTGATGGGAGGATCCCTTGAGCTCAGGAGGTTGAGACTGCTGTGAGCTATATTTCCACCAGTGCCCTCTGGCCTGGGTGACAGAGTGAGATCCTGTCAAGAAAGAAAAGGAAGACAGGAAGGACAGAAGGACAGAAGGAAGGAATGAAGGAAATGGAGAAAGAGAGAGAGGGAAGAAAGAAAAATAATCTGAGAAGTGTGTTACAAACATGTAAGAGTTGGGTGTGGTGGCACGTGCCTATAATCTCAGCTACGGGAAGCCTGAAGCAGGAGGATCACTTGGGCCCAGGAAGAGTTCAGTCCAGCCTGGATAAAATAGAGGGATCCCATATCTCTTTTTTTAAGCATATACAATAGGATGCTGTCTGCTGCAGTTTTTTTGTTTGTTTTCTTTTTTGTTTTTTGTTTGAGATGGAGTCTCGCTCTGTCACCCAGGCTGGAGTGCAGTGGTGCGATCTCGGCTCACTGCAAGTTCCGCCTCCCGGGTTCAAGCAATTCTCCTGCCTCAGCTTCCCAAGTAGCTGGGACTACAGGCGCCCGCCACCACGCCCAGCTAATTTTTTGGATTTTTAGTAGAGACAGAGTTTCATCACATTAGCCAGGATGGTCACGATCTCCTGACCTCATGATCCACCCGCCTCGGCCTCCCAAAGTGCTGGGATTACAGGCATGAGCCACCGTGCCCGGCCTGCTGCAGTTTTTTATAGCCCAAATATGAAAATAATCTAATATGTAAAAAATAAAGAATTGGTTCCACTCTTGCCATACACCCATGAAATACAGAACCACACAGACGTTATCATCAGGTTGTGGGAAAGCAGCAATGTGGACGAATCTCAAAAGTATTTCCTTAAGGCCAAGCAAGGTGGTTCACGCCTGTAATCCCAGCACTTTGGGAGGCCAAGGTGGGCAGATCACCTGAGGTCAGGAGTTCGAGACGAGCCTGGCCAACGTGGTGAAACCCAATCTCTACTAAAAAATACAAAATTTAGATGGGCGTGGTGGCGGGCGCCTGTAATCCCAGCTACTCAGGAGGCTGAGGCTGGCGAATCGCTTGAAACCGGGAGTCGGAGGTTGCAGCGAGCTGAGATCGCGCCACTCCACTCCAACCTGGGGGAACAAAGAGACTCTGTCTGGAAAAAAAAAAAAGTATTTCCTTGAGTGAAAGATGCCAGGGGCAAAAGTCCTCTCATTGTTTGTTTCCATTGTTTCCATTTTTATAAAGTGTACGAACAGATAGCAGTAACTCACGGTGACAGGTCAGAGGGTGAGGACAGGGCACCAGGGAACTTCTGGGATAATAAAGTTTCTAGGTCTCATTTTGATGGTGATAAAACTACATATACAGTTGTCAAAACCCATCTACTGGCTGGGTGCAGTGGCTCACGCCTGTAATCCCAGCACTTTGGGAGGCCAAGACGGGAGGATCACCTGAGGTCAGGAGTTCGAGACCATCCTGGCCAACATGGTGAAACCCCATCTCTACTAAACACACAAAATTAGCTGGGCATGGTAGTGGCCGCCTGTAATCCCAGCTACTTGGGAGGCTGAGGCAGGAGAATCGCTTGAACCCAGGAGATGGAGGTTGCAGTGAGCTGAGATCGTACCACTCCACTCCAGCCTGGGCGACAAGAATGAGACTCCGTCAAAAAAAAAAAAAAATCTACTTGAATAATGGGTGCCAAGGGCTGGGGAGGGGGTTGGGAAGTTGGTGTCTAATGAGGACAGAGTAGAGTTCCAGTTTTCCAAGACGAAAAGCTCCAGAGATGGGTGGTGGTGACGGTTACACAGAAAGTGAATGTACTTAATGCTGCCAAATTCACTTAAAAATAGTTAATATGGCACACCGTATGTTCCT